>NT_187661.1:0-325800 GCF_000001405.40 Homo sapiens | reverse complement strand
GAATTCTTTGCCTATTCAGAAGTTGACTTAAAAATTCAGAAACATGGCTGGGCACGGCAGCTCATGCCTGTAATCCCAGAACTTCGGGAGGCCAAGGTGGGTGGATCACGAGGTCAGGGGTTCGAGACCAGCCTGGCTAACATGGTGAAACCCCATCTCTACTAAAAATACAAAGATTAGCTGGGCGTGGTGGCAGGCACCTGTAATCCCAGCTACTCGGGAGGCTGAGGCAGGAGAATCGCTTGAACCCAGGAGGTGGAGGTTGCAGTGAGCCGAAATCGCGCCATTGCACTCCAACCTGGGCGACAAAAGCAAGACTCCATCTTAAAAAAAAAAAAAATCAGAAACACAAAGAAATGAAGCACTTACTGGGGTATGCTCCAATGGGTAAAATGAATAAAAACCTTTCTGAGTTTGAAGTTTATGCCAGCAAAATAATAACTGTGGTTTAGTTACTGGTCTTAATCATTACCTAGGCAACCACACTTTCATCCATCAACATCTACAGTGAATTTCACAGTAGCCAAGCAGTTAATCCACCAATGTCAAGATACCTGTACAACATTATACATGCCAAATCACACAGCACATTACTACTGCAACCATTTGAGAGAAAGTATTTGTGCATTTTGGAAAGGCACCATGCACAACATCCAATTTCAAGTACCTTCCAACTCCTCCTGTGTTTAGGGGAAACTCATCTATTTATACTAATGAATTAAGCTGTTTCTTGAATTGCTACTAATTTTTTTTTTCCAGGATACTACCATTTCTGGAAGGGTGGGAGGGAGGAACCAAAGGAACAAAGGTACTTATCTTAAAAATAGAAATCCATTCACATTTTAAAAATTGGTCAGCATCTTGTCTTATATTAGAGATGCACTTATTTAAAAAGTTGACCAATAATGGGATAATCTATGTAAAGTCTCTGTTTTAGCACTTAGTGCCTCATATGTAGTCATCACTTAATAGATGTTAAGACATACATATACACACACACAGGTTAAATTGTGCTCTCATATCATCTAACAGCATTCACCTAACAGTTTATAAAGCTTCTGATCAGAATGATATGAAGTTTAAAAACTATGTATTGTATTATATGGCACTTTGGATATCAGCATATGTGTACTACCCCAAGAAGGTAATTTAAAATATCTGTCTGGACATAAGTGTATGTGCTGACTACAACGCAGTATAACACTGCTCTTTGTGATGCTGCTCTTCCAAACAGTAGTGCTGACCTGATGGTGTAGTACATGATTTCTCACCTTTGACACCTTCATATTAGTAAATATTAGCTGTGTGTTCCACTATCAAAAAAACAGGTAATAATTCAAAGAAATTTCAGCATTAAAATCTTCAGTTTCCCAGTTTAAAACACAAGTGAAACAAGGTTGGCATATAAAAGTGCACTGATAACAAGCTCATTTTCAATTTTTCTACTTGATGTTATTAAAGGATAGAATGTTAGTGTATCCTTGCTTTGTTTCAAACCCAGGATTAAGTCTTCTTGGCCTCCTATATAGACTGCACTTCAACTGAGCCAAATACTAAGTAAGGGCTGTACCAAAGAGGCAGCTTGACGCCTGGTAACAACTTTACAATGGAAGTTTCCTATGAGCTAGGGAGGCAGAAATCGGAGATAACATTTTCCTGAATGAGTCTTTACTATAGTCACTCAGGAACATATCTTACATGTACGATAGTAAGACTCAAGAGGGTTTTTTTCTGATTGTCAATGTCCTGAGACTTCAGTAAAAGAAAATCTCCAGTGTGACAATTCCAAATGCCAGTCTGAAGCCTGAGTCAATTTGCCTAATAAAACTGATTTCACCATTAAAATAGCAATAATTGTTGCCTTGGTGGAACAGTTCTATAATAGCTAAAGACAAGAAGAAGCAGATAATTAGTAAACTCAAGTTGAGCCAAGTTTTCTAACAAGAAACACTGAAAAGAGCCATTTGCAGAAGGTCAAAAATAATTACCATTAATGTAAAAATGCAAAAGGCACAGAATATTGGTATGTGATGTTTGTGGCTACTAATATGCAATTAAAGTTTTAAACTATACGTAGGAATAAAAAGGAATAATACGCACCTACCTGAAGAAAGAAGTTACTTCTAGAGGCAGGGTGGGACGAGATGGAAACGGGCTTTAGTGGTATCTGTGACATTTTATTCCCCCCCAAAAAAAGCATGCACAGTCTGATGAAAATGGGGCAAAATGTTAACATCTGTTTAATCTCATAGTGTGTGACTTTCTTGTATTTCTAAAATACTTCCTAATTTAAAATAAAATTTTAAAGAGATTACAAGTGACCAAATAAACCAAGAACCACATACTTGTATGGTGTTCAAAACAAAATCACTAAAATCTAGAGAACTAATCTCAGTTAACAACAAAAGCCATCCGAAGGCTCAGTTATTTCCAACTGACTCACATACAGATTAGAGTAAGATTTACTTCACAACAAGAGCAGGCTCATTTATGTGGCAAAGTTCGGAGAAGCTTCACAGATAATTTACTACTCAAGACCACATTTACCCAGGTTGTATCAGAGTATCAGTTGTATCTAGAACCAGGAAGCTAAAAAGAAAGAAAAAAAAAAAGGCCTGGATGAAAAGCCAAAATAGGTGATACAAAGTCCGTACAATAAAACACATACCCTTTACTCAGAAGAGAATCCAACAAACTCTCACACAGCAATTGATTTTTTAGCCCAAACAAGCTTGTTTATCTGGCTACTAAGGCTTCTTCAGATGAAGTTCAGTAAAATACAAGAGGGAAGAAATTGCACAACAGGCAGCAACAAGGCACAATAAGCAGCAAGAAGAATCTGAGAGTAAGGAAAACAAAACAATTTTAAAGAACAGACACAGGCTAGCCGGGTGCGGTGGCTCAGGCCTGTAATCCCAGCACTTTGGGAGGCCGAGGCGGGTGGATCACAAGGTCACGAGTTCGAGACCAGCCTGGCCAATATGGTGAAACCCCTTCTCTACTAAAAATTCAAAAATTAGCCTGGCATGATGGCAGGTGCCTGTAGTCCCAGCTACTTGGATGAGGCAGGAGAATCGCTTAAACCCGGGAGGCGGAGGTTGCAGTGAGCTGCGATCACGCCACTGCACTCCGGCCTTGGCGACAGAGAAAGACTCTGTCTCAAAAAAAAAAAAAAAAAAAAAAGAACAGATATGGACTAGGCGCGGTGGGTCATGCCTGTAATCCCAGCACTTTGGGAGGCAGAGGCGGGCGGATCACCTGAGGTCGGGTGTTTGAGACCAGCCTAGCTAACATGGTGAAACCTGGTCTCTACAGAAATACAAAAATTAGCCAGGTGTGGTGGCATGCACCTGTAATCCCAGCTACTAGGGAGGCTGAGGCAGGAGAATCCCTTGAACTAGGGAAGTGGAGTTTGCAGTGAGCCGAGATCGCACCACTGCACACTCCAGCCTGGCCTAGGCAACAGAGTGAGACTCTGTCTCAAAAAAAAAAAAAAAAAAAAAAAGAACAGATATGGCTTGGCGCGGTGGCTCACACTTGTAATCCCAGCACTTTGGCAGGCGGAGGCAGGCAGATCACCTGATGTCAGGAGTTCAAGACCAGCCTGGCCAACATGGTGAAACCCTGTCTCTACTAAAAATACAAAATTAGCCAGGCGTGGTGGTGCATGCCTGTAATCCCAGCTACTAGGGAGGCTGAGGCAGGAGAACTGCCTGAACCCGGGAGGCAGAGGTTGCAGTGAGCCGAGATTGTGCCACTGCACAATCTCCCTCCTGCCATCTTGTGAAGAAGGTGCCTGCTTCCCCTTCCCCTTCTGCCATGATTGTAAGTTTCCGGAACTGCAAGTCAATTAAGCCTGTTTCCTTTATAAATTACCCAATCTCAGGTATTTCTTTACATCAGTGTGAAAACAAATGAATACAGTCCCCTTCCCTGAGGTGCCTTCTCCTTAGGCAACCAGCTGCCCCCATGCTCCTCTTCTGCCCCCCTGGTATTTCCTTTCCCCTCATGAGGCCCAAGTGATCCACATGGCCAGCCACAGCCCCATCCTACTGCAGGCCTGTGTGGCTGCTAGAGAGGCCAGGCTCCTTTCCGCACCCCGAGGCTGCCTGATATGCTTTCTGCATCCTGTAGAAAACTGACCCACTATTCTCATACTGGTGCAACTTCTTCCATTACCTCAAAACTGGACAACGTGAACTTGTTTCTTGTCTCTTCTTGCTAGGGCTGTCACTGGGACAGTCCGAGATGGGGGGGTGGGGGGAGACAATGGATGAATGGATGGATGAATGGACAGTAGTCCAGGGAGATGTCCCTGTGTGTCCTGAACTGGGACCTTCCTCCAATGAGAAGCCTTCCTGAGTGAGTTTATACAGTCATCCCTTGGTATCCATGGATTAGTTCTAGGGTCCCCGGGGATGCCAAAATCCATGGATCCTCAAGTCTCTGACATAACATGGCCTAGTATTTACATATCAGCTATGCACATCCTCCCGTAGACATTAGACCATCTCTGGATTATTCATGATGTGTAATACAATGCAGATGCTACATAAATGGTCGTGATACTGGATTCTTTAGGGAATAATGACAAGAACAAACTCTGCACATGTTCAATAGAAACATAACCGTCCAATTTATTTTCTGAATATTTTCCATCTGCTGTTGCTGAATCTACAGATGCAGAGCTCCTGGATACGAGAGCCAAGTGTGCTTTGAGAGTAGGGTGGGTGAGGTTGCTAATGAGTACAGGGGAGCAGGTGTTGATCAGGAGGACCCTGCACTGGGGCATCTGGACGTCCTGCCTCAGGACTTGAGACTCCAGTTGGATGGCACAGGCAGACTCAGCCCAGGTCAAAGCCGTCCCCTTGAAGTTTCTTTTTATCCCAAGCTCTTTCTGGCCCCTGGAATTTGGCATCCCCTAGGCCCTGTGTGGAAGGACAGATGAGCCAGGTTTTAGATAACATGTCTAGAAGAGTGAGCCCCTACTGTGTGCCCGGCACTTTCCCCACAGGATCCTCTAGCTAGAATATCCAAGGGTCATGGAGAGAAATACCCAGTTAAAATATCAGAAATGAAAAAGCGATACCATTAGAGACACTAAAAAGACCATTAGGTAATAGTACTAGCTTTTGTATTCTGAGATCCAACAGCAGCAGTCACTTCCCTCCACCCCTATGTGTATCCCAGGACCACCCTGGGCGGGGAGGGCTGAGGTTAGGGAGCAGCCATGGATGCTCTGATGCTGGCCCTGGGCCTCGGGGGTGACAGTGATGAGGAACTGGGTGCACACATGAGTGGGGCAGCCGGGCCTGGCCAGAGAAGCAGCACACACGTGCACAGATGTGTATACCCACATACACATGTCCACGCACGTGCACAAACACATTGCAGGCAGGCATGTTGACGCCTCAGGCAGCGGAGGACCCTGACTCTGGGCGCTGCTGACCCGGGCAAGGCCCCACTGTGATTCGTGCCATGACCTCAGAATGTCACTGGTGCTTAGCACCTATCTGCTCTCTGGTCTGCCTCAGTGGTCTACAGCAGTTACACACAGGCAGTGGTATCTGTGAGCAGCTCTGTGGACTCAAAGGTTTTCTCCCTGAGAGGCATGACCCAGGCCAGCTGATTCATCAGAATCAGGTGAGCGTGACCTGCTCTCTTCCCTCCAGGCGGACTTGGGGGCAGTGGCTACGGTGCGGGCGGTGTTGGCCTCTGTGGGGCAGCTACCGAGGAGGGTCATCCCTGAGCACTCACCAGGCGCCCGTTCTACACTGCCCGTGTAGACGATTGGCTCTTTCGTCTCCATGGTGGCTTCGTAGAGTGGGTGCTGTTCCCAAATGTCCCCATTCGACAGATGAGACGTCTGGGGTCAGAGAGGCAGTAACCGGCCTGGGAATCCGGACATGACCCTGAGTTTTGCTCTCAGCCCTGCCGTGTGCTGTGCTGGAATTCAGGCCTGAACCCTGTGACCTCCCTGCCCTAGATCCCAAATCTGCCCAGGTTTCCCATCCCGATGGGGCAGAGCCTGGTCCTGGCAGAGCCACTGGTATAGAGCCACTGGTACAGATCCACTGACGGTCCTCAGAACACCTCTGTGCCCTAAGCTGGGTCCTGATGGTCGCTGTGGGCCCCACTGAACACACATGGTCCCTTGTCCGGGGGAGCCTGCTGCCCTTGGGCAGCTGTGGAAAATGAAGGAGCCCTGGAGGGCTGGCTGAGGGGAGACTATCTTCCCTTGTGTTCAAAGGGGTCCGGGCACTAGGGTTCTCCCCAGGTATTTCTTGCTCTGCGTGGTCCTCTTGAGGCCTCGCCCTCCTTTTGCCTCGAGTATTCCCAGGAGGGACGGTCCATCCAGCTGTTCTCCAGGACCAAGGACCCACTGTTCTTCCTCAGTGACCCAGGAAAATGAAGCCTCCTCCTGTTGGGACGGCTCAGAATGGTGGACTCCACAGTCCCTCCGCGAGAGACGTGGTTTCCATGCGTACAATAGATCTTCCTCATCCTCCAAACCCAACACCCTCCTGCTCAACAGGCGTTATTCCTAAAGTGGCTTCACTGTTCAGACTGAAGAGCCACGGTAGCCAAAGTGATGAGCGGAGTAGAACCGAGCAGTCGGGAGAGATCTTGTTCCCTGTAGGAAACTGGGCATCGCTGAGGCCCTGAGCATCCCAGGAGGCCGATTGCACAGAGACCTCTGGTCGCTGACCCCAGTCTGCCTCCACATCCCTGGAATAGCCCATCATGGGCCCTTCACCCTTGGCAGGTGGAAACCATTCAACCTGCTGGGGCCGGTGTGTCCCCATTTCATGGCATTGGGGGACAACAGGATTCTCTGTCTAGGTCCCACTGTACTCAAGTCCTTGGGAAGATGCCCACCCCTGCTTGGGACTTGAGACTCCAGAGACTGGAGCAGCTGTGGGCCACTGGGTCTGGCCCCTTTTTCCCTGGGGGCGGCGGTGGAATGGGGGTTACGCAGCCAGCCAGCATCTGGGAGCCCGGCGAGAGCGGTTCAGGTGTTCTCCGAAGCCGCCGCGTACAGTGTGACCTTTAGACAATTCTGTCTCACAGGATGGACGTGGTAGAGGTCGCGGGCAGTTGGTGGGCACAAGAGCGAGAGGACATCATTATGAAATACGAAAAGGTACAAGTCGGTCTGCTTCTTGGAGGGAGGCCTCTTCCAGTGTGCCCTGGTCAAAGGGTCCTGGGCTCCCTAGGAGCACAGGGCAGGGACGGGTGGCCAATGCCCCCAGGCCCTTGCACCCTTTACCTTGGACCCCTCACCAAGGCTCCCTCTGGGCTACAGGGACACCGAGCTGGGCTGCCAGAGGACAAGGGGCCTAAGCCTTTTCGAAGCTACAACAACAACGTCGATCATTTGGGGATTGTACAGTGAGTCCTCTGCACTCCCCTCACCCCTAAAGCACCTGTCTCAGCTCAGGGATGGGTTTGCTTTTAGAAAGGCCTTTCTGACGCAGGACATGTCTCACCAGGTCGGGTCAACCTCCTTTCCAGGGACAGAACTCCTCCCTGACTCCCCTGCAGGTCCAGCCCGAGGTTGTTAGGCCAGAGGTGTGGGGCCCATCTAGGGAGCCGGTGGGAATGGAGACTGGGCTAGGTCAGGCCCCTGGGCGCTCAGCAGTTCTGTCGGCAAGTGAGCACAAGAGGAGCGGGGCAGCCTGAGGGTCTGGCCCTGTCTACTTGGAGACAACCCCGGTGAGATGCAAGGGTTATGGCCACAGGGTGAGGGGACGCCTGGCCCAGCCTCAGGGCTGTTGTCCAGCAGGTCTCTGAGGGCCCACCTGCCCCTGTTCTCCCCCATTCCCCTAGAGCTACAGCCCTCACTGTCCCGTGAGGGGAAAAGGCATGGTGACAATGGGGGCTGTAGCCCTAGGAGAACGGGGGAGAAGATGGGCAGGGCCCCGTTCTGGGCATCTCACGGTGAGGCCAGGGAGGCAGCAGGGCTCGCGGCTAAAGACCTGGGTCTGGTGCTGGGAAGGGATCTGGGGCCGGGTAAGAGGAGCCCAGCCAGAAGCCCATCCCTCAGGGATCACAGGATGGAGAGACAGAGGATCCCTGGGGAGGTAGGGCGGGAGGGAGCTGACGAGCGGTGCCACTTCTGAAACGCAGGGTGTGTGGCTCGGGTGCAGGGAGAGGCAGGTGGATGCTGGGAGGTCAGAACCTGCAAGGGCCTTGGGGCTGTCAAGTGGGGTGGGCCCCTGGTGCAGCCAGAGTACACCGGGCAGGTCTCAGGGCAGGCTCCCTTGACCCTGGCGGGGGGATGTGGTCACTCCCTGAGGGACTCCTGTCAGGGCCCGGTCGCCCACCCTGGGCGGCCCCCATCCCATCTCAGGGCTAACCTTTCTCAGCTCCAGCAGAAAGCACCACCTCGAGTCCAGGACGGGCAGCCCCATTGGGCAGCCTGACCGCCCCCCACGCCAGGGGCCCCAGTAACCCCGGCCAGGCTGTCCCTACACTCCTTCTTCTCCCAGGTCCTGCCCCTCCTGGGAGTCAGCCCCACAGGAAGGCCCTTGTCCTCCCTTCCCTGTGCCTTCTCCTGGGCTGAGCCCTGAGCTGGAAAGGGACAGAGCCAGTCCTTTCTGGGGGTCGGCACCCAGGCTGGGGCCGCTCCAGGCCCCGTGCAGTTCCTCAGCTCTGCCTGGGTTGCCTTACAGTGAGACGGAGCTGCCTCCTCTGACTGCGCGGGAGGCGAAGGTAAGAGCCTGATGCGTGGAGGGGCTGGTCCAGGGACGTAGGGACTGGGCGGGTGGTCAGTGAGGCAGAGGAAGCAGCTGGCCTGAGCGGTGGCGGGTGAGGGCAACACGCTGTCACTGGGAGGGGCAGCAGTCCCTGCTGGACCTGACCCCAGGTTGCTGTTCACTTTGGCAGTTTGATAAAATTCCAAAAGGAGAACCACAGTCCTGGCTTGGGGGTGGCTGCGCGCTTGTGTCAGGACCCCACCTAGAGGCTGGGACCTAAGACTGGTGTGTCTGTGGCCTGAGGATGGTACATCCCGGGGTCCCAAAGCCAGCCCACTGGTGCTCATTTGCTCAAAGGCTCTCAGCCCTTGAGGTCTGCCCTTCCCTGGCTCCTTCCAGCTGGCTCCCACCAGGGCTCCAGAGCCCAAGACCCAGCATCCGCGGGCGGCTCTGGGAAGCCTGGCAGCTCCGCTAACTCCAACATGCCTCATTTGACAGCAAATTCGGCGGGAGATCAGCCGAAAGAGCAAGTGGGTGGATATGCTGGGAGACTGGGAGAAATACAAAAGCAGCAGAAAGGTAACGTGTGGAGGGAGGAAGCACTCTCTGCAGAGACAGGGGACAGGCACCCATGGCTGTGGCCTGGCACCATCAGCCTCTCAGAGGGTGGGCGGCACACTGTCCTCGCCCAGAGGACTGCAGGCCTGGTCGCCAGATTTCCTGCCTATTCGTGCAAGCGTCACCTTGCAGGGAGGGAATCTGAATCTAGGGCTGGGACTACCCGGAGCTCAAGGCTAGGGATGCCCTGGGGACCTGAAGGAAGGAAAAGGTTCAGATCAGAGTTTCGACTCTGAGTGTCCATCCACTCTTTCAGTCCTGGGAAGGGAGACCCTGTCCCAGCTTGATCTCACCTCTACTGAGGAATCATGGGGCCAAAACCGACAATTTCCAGAATCCCCGGGCTCTGGTCCTCACTGGGGTCACCCCGTGGCCTGTGACACCAGATTGTTTTCTGCCTACAGCTCATAGATCGAGCGTACAAGGGAATGCCCATGAACATCCGGGGCCCGATGTGGTCAGTCCTCCTGAACACTGAGGAAATGAAGATGAAAAACCCCGGAAGATACCAGGTACGCTCAGCCAGAGCACAACAAACAGGACAGGCCGTGTCGGTGCCCAGGTCTCCAGCTGGAGGGAACGTCAAGACCACCCTGGGGAGCTGGGGGTGAAGGTCAGATGAACACCCTGGGCACAGATGGTGACACAGTCACCACAGACAAACTCAGCTCTGGTGACCCTCCCTGGCTTCAGTAACAAGCCAAAATGCAGCTTTCTGCAGAAGGAAACCTTCCTTCTGTCCTTCCTTCCCGAAGTGCTGACTGTGGGCTGACTGCCACTGGGGGCAGGGAGTCTTCCATCTGTTCTGAGACTGCTTCCTCCTCTTGGCCCTGCCCTACAGATCATGAAGGAGAAGGGCAAGAGGTCATCTGAGCACATCCAGCGCATCGACCGGGACGTAAGCGGGACATTAAGGAAGCATATATTCTTCAGGGATCGATACGGAACCAAGTAAGCCTACGGGAGCCACAGGGTCCCAGCAGAGATGGGGTGAATGAGAGGGATGGGGGCTTCCCCGGAGCAGAAGCCAGGGTCACCCAGGAGGGATGACACAGCTGCCAAGAGCTCTCCCGGCCCAGGGAGCAGCCGGCACCATGAACCGAGCACCTCCCTGGTTCCAAGCCCTGGGCCAGACTGGAACATGTGGGGCCAGAACCCAGGAGGATCCTGAGGAGATGGAAGGCAGCAAACAAAATCATGCACAATGGTGAAGGGTGCTCTCCCTGACCCATGGGGACCCATGGTAGGACCCACGGGAGGGTGGCAGGATAGAGGGCCCATGAGCCCCCGCCAGGCAACAGTGACAGCACCAAATGCTGGGAGAATTAGGGGTCCTGGAAACTCTCATCCAGGTCCGCTGGGAACATGACATGGCACAGCCACGTTGGCAGCCCGTTGGGCAGTGGCTCACAAAGCTCGATGGACTTGAACCACACATCCCCAAAGTGTCACAGATATTGAACCCACTGATTTGCAAACTGACATCCACATGAAACCAGCATGCCAGGTTCACTGCTTGACTCCTCGTCACTCACACACGGAGCCTTCGGGGACGGCCTTCAACACGGGGATGGGGAGAGCAAGGCTGGTCCTCCCTTCAAACGGAAGACCCAGTGAGAAAAGGGAACGAGCCGGTGATGCCCGCACGAACGTGGGTGGATCCTAGATGCATTTTGCTGAGGGACAGAAGCCAGACCCAATAAGCTACCACAGTAGGATTCCCATTCCTAGGCCATTCTGGAAAAGGCCAAACCACAGGGACTGAGAAGCAGTCTGGGTGGCCAGGGGCTGACGGATCGGGGAGAGGCTGGTTGCATAGGGGCCACCCTGGAGACTTGGAGGATGAAGGAGTCGCCCCAGGAGGGGCTGGAGCGGTGGCCGGGAGACTCTGCACATCGGTTTGGAACCGTGGAGGAACTGTACACCCACAGACTGAACTGGCGTGTGTGCAAACTGAAAAAAAAAATCATTCAGAGTGAAAAGGATCAGGCAAGTCACTGTACAACTGGGCTATTTGCATGTCACAGATGTGGATTTTACTGAAACATTTCTTCAAGAGTCTCAGGCCCTGAAGAGCTCACTGCTTATCTGGTGAAACATCTGAACCTGAAATGGGATTTGCTGTTAGGCTTTGTAGACAAAGTGAAATTAACAACATCTGCACAAAACAAACCAAAGCCCCCTTTCTCTGTTTCCTAGGCAGCGGGAACTACTCCACATCCTCCTGGCATATGAGGAGTATAACCCGGTGAGTATTCCCGGCAGTGAGGTTCCCGGGCCATATTTCCATATTGACAGGAGTGGGTGTCTGGTGGGGGTGTCGTTGCTTCTTTTAAAGTTAGTATTTGTGACCCACCAGGATATAGGAGGTAGGATGTCAGCTCACCGCTGGCATAAACCTCCAAGGAAGGGGGTGGTCTCAAGGGGTCAAGCTGAGACACAAAGGAGTCAGGGCCGGGACTCCTGGTGTCACCTGGGCCTGACCACCACTTCTCAGAACAAGAAATGACGCCCTCCTCCTGGGGCTGCCCCAAAGCCCAGGAGCTTGGCAGCATCGCACACAGGATGGTGCTATCAGCAGACATTTTGGACAAGGTGCTGAAGTGCCTGATGGACTTGGCTCTTGTCATGAAATGAATGTGCATCCTGAGGAAGCCTCTTTTTCAGAGGAAGCCTCTCCTTCAGAGGAAGCCTCTCCAGTCACCTCTGCCCTCTCCAATGACATGAGTCCTCCCAGGTGACCTCAGCCCTCCCAGGTGATGTCCTTCCATGGTGACTCTGGCTCTTGCAGGAGGTGGGCTACTGCAGGGACCTGAGCCACATCGCCGCCTTGTTCCTCCTCTATCTTCCTGAGGAGGATGCATTCTGGGCACTGGTGCAGCTGCTGGCCAGTGAGAGGCACTCCCTGCAGGGTAAGTGAACAGCTGCCCCGGGGACCTCCTGCAGCCAGACCTGGGGATGGCCACCCTGGCCGGGTGATCACAGCTTTCAGCCAAGGCACCCTCCTTGTGTCGCCAGCTTGTTGGGAGACTTTAGAATGTCTCTGCTGAGGGTCCCACAGGAGTCCACGGCTGACCCCCAAAGCCCAAATCAGACGCCTGTCATCCCCATCAGCAGAGGGCATCTCATCCTCCCCGTGGCCACCCTCTGTGTCCTGGAGCCACGCCCTCCGGCTCTGATTCTGTGCAGCTGACTCTCCCCTCCCTGAGAGTCCTCCTGCCCTCCAGCTGCCCAGGCTCCTGCTGCCATCGGTGCCCACGAATGGGCCGACCAAGCCCAGGTGGCAGCATCTCCCCATCCCCTGTTCCCTGGCCCGACCCCACTACCAGGAGATGACCGGGAAGCCCAGCGCCCACCCAGTTCCGGCCACCCTGTCGTGGCCTGAAAGTCAGGCTTGCCCTTTTTGCACCCTGGCCCAGGAGGCCTCCAGGGGAACCTCCAGCCAGGCTCCAGGGAATGTTCCCGCCCCACCTCCCCAGGGTAAAGGCCGCATGTTGGGGTCACCAGATGGGAGGGTGGGAGGCCTTGGGGTTTGGGGGCCTCTCCAGCTGCCCAGCTCTTGCAGCTGATGGCTCCACATCTTGGGGGAAGGCTCTGATTTCATGATGGGCTGGGGGCTTCTCAGGATTTCACAGCCCAAATGGCGGGACCGTCCAGGGGCTCCAAGACCAACAGGAGCATGTGGTAGCCACGTCACAACCCAAGACCATGGGGCATCAGGTGAGTTTATGGTCCCCTCAGCTCTTCCCAGAGGCCCTGCCTCCCGTGGGGCTGTAGGAGCAGGGGGGCTGGAGCCCCTCGTGGGGCTGGTGACTGGCTGAGTCCCAGCCAGGGCCTGACCTGGGACGTCGGGTTCTCCATGGGCTGGGAGTTGGTTTCCTTTCCTGCCCTGGAGGAGACAGAGGCACAGGGATGGGGGCCCAGCTCCCGCAGAGCAGGGCAAAGGGCAGTGTGTCCACCGGGAGTGTGGGAAGGTGACAGTGTTGTGGGGAGCTCTGGACACCGCCCAGTGTTCTGCACTAGGGGAAGGGTCTTCAGAGGCCCTGGAAGAGGGAGGTTTTTAGGGCAGCCCAGTGGCCTGAGCACCTCTGTTGCTTCCATCAGGACAAGAAAGATCTATGTGGGCAGTGTTCCCCGTTAGGCTGCCTCATCCGGATATTGATTGACGGGGTAAGGAGGCATAGGGAGACCCTGGCTCAGGGACCTTCCTTGCCCTGCAGTGCCCTGCTTCCCCAGCCCGGGGGTCTGGCTCACTCCCAGCCCACAGGAGGCTCAGGCGGGACCCCAAAGGACACACAAGCAAAACCCTCTGCCCAAGGGGGGTCATCCCAGGGCCATGGCTGGGGCTCAGGCCCAGCCTCATGGGCAGACTGGGCCAGGACCCGACTTGAGAGGGCTCAGGGAAGCCTCAAGCCCTGGGCAAGCCCCTCTCTCCAGGAGCCACATCCCCACTCAAATGAGTGCCCCCCATGAGGAGCTTCAAGACCTTGTCTGACCCAGCGTCCTGGAGGGCTCAGGCGACCCTCATGGGGAAGGTCACTGACTCTGGAGACTGAAGCCCCAGTGTGCGCAGCTCGAGCCACCAGCCCCAGCCTGGAAGGACCAGGTTCTTTCACACCTGCTGTCCCCACAGATCTCTCTCGGGCTCACCCTGCGCCTGTGGGACGTGTATCTGGTAGAAGGCGAACAGGCGTTGATGCCGATAACAAGAATCGCCTTTAAGGTTCAGCAGAGTAAGTCTACGTGTGCCCAGCGGGGCCTGGGGAGCCCTGGGGTCAGACCCCGACTGGCCCGAGGGCAGCTTCCTCACACTGTCCTCATGATCCTCTGTTCTGGCCCAGAGGGAGGTCTGGCCAGGTGGGCTGGGCAGGACACTGTGACACCGAGCCCATCCCCCACATGACCCAGATGAAAGTCGAGAGTGTGGTGAGCACTTCCCTGTCCGGATCGCCCCCCAGCCACAGTCTCCTGTGTATATCTGGACACCTGGGGTGGCCACAAAAGGATCCGGCACCGCCCAGTAGGAGACTGAAGTGGCCACGGGATATGAGCTGTGACCATTCCCAGGTAACTCCCCTGGCCTGATATCCACCCTGTCCCTAGAGCGCCTCACGAAGACGTCCAGGTGTGGCCCGTGGGCACGTTTTTGCAACCGGTTCGTTGATACCTGGGCCAGGGATGAGGACACTGTGCTCAAGCATCTTAGGGCCTCTATGAAGAAACTAACAAGAAAGCAGGGGGACCTGCCACCCCCAGGTGGGCTCCAGTGCCATGTCCCCTCCCATGTCACCCTCTGGGGTAGTCAGTAGTAGGGGAGTGCCCGGGACCCGCAACCCTACTACCTGGGCCTTCCTCTTCACCTTTTCTTCCTCCTCTTCCTCCTGGACTCTAAGAAAGTACAGGAGGCCCACCGGTCCTCAGGGCAGGCGCTCAGTGCGTGTATACTGGACATGCTGTGCACGCAGGAGGGGGATGTGGGCAAGACCCTCCAACAAGCCCCCTCCCACTTTCCACGGTGTCTCCCTCTCCCCCTCGCAGGGCCCTCCAAGTTACTAGACGAGCCCAGACCCATTTGTGGGAGACCCCGCCCCTCCCTGCAAGCACCCACAGCCTCAGAGAGCAGCAGAGGCCCCTCACTCCTGCACGCTCCTCCAAGGTTGCCAGGACAAGAAGCCTGGAGCCAGGGAGACAAGGGAATCCGTGTCCCTGACCCACAGAGCATTCAGGGAGAGGGCCCAGAGCCAGAGCCAAGAGTTCAGCCAGAAGTGGGAACGGTCAGTCCTGGCATGGACTGGGCAGCCCAGGAGGGCAGAGGGTGACCCACGTCCGGGCCCAATCACCCACTGCGGAGACGGGTCCCCACGTGAGGTGACAAGGGGCTGGGTGACATCCAAGGCCCCTCCCACCTGAGTTCTGACTGGGGGCCGTATCCCAGGCCCAACAGCCCTGGGACGAAGGTGTGTGGCAGGAAGCCCCCAGCCAGTCTGAACCCTGGGGGCAGTCCCAGGAGCCACCCGCCATGCCACGACAGCTTCCCCACGCCAGGCAGCATGCACCCCTCCCTCTGGGATCAGCAGACTACAGGCGTGTCCTCGGTGTCAGGCCACGGGGGCCACACAGAGACCCCGAGGACTCCGAGATGCAGGCAGGTGGGGCCCAGCCCGGAAAGGCCTGCGTGGGCTCACTGGAGATGCTGACCGCGTCTGTTTTCCTTTCAGCCAAACCCGAGCAAGGGTCGTCGGCATCCAGGCCTGTGCCGGCTTCACGTGGCGGGAAGACCCTCTGCAAGGGGGACAGGCAGGCCCCTCCAGGCCCACCAGCCCGGTTCCCGCGGCCCATTTGGTCAGCTTCCCCGCCACGGGCACCTCGTTCTTCCACACCCTGTCCTGGTGGGGCTGTCCGGGAAGACACCTACCCTGTGGGCACTCAGGGTGTGCCCAGCCCGGCCCTGGCTCAGGGAGGACCTCAGGGTTCCTGGAGATTCCTGCAGTGGAACTCCATGCCCCGCCTCCCAACGGACCTGGACGTAGAGGGCCCTTGGTTCCGCCATTATGATTTCAGACAGAGCTGCTGGGTCCGTGCCATATCCCAGGAGGACCAGCTGGCCCCCTGCTGGCAGGCTGAACACCCTGCGGAGCGGGTGAGATCGGCTTTCGCTGCACCCAGCACTGATTCCGACCAGGGCACCCCCTTCAGAGCTAGGGACGAACAGCAGTGTGCTCCCACCTCAGGGCCTTGCCTCTGCGGCCTCCACTTGGAAAGTTCTCAGTTCCCTCCAGGCTTCTAGAAGCATCTGGGCCAGGGCTCATGGCTGGATAATTTCCCTAGGCTTAACAACCCAAGCAAGCTTCGCGTCCTCGTTTTATTTTTGGTTAAACTTATGAAAATGTATTAAGAAAGAGTGCAGCTCGAGAGAGATTCAGAGATGGAACACACCAGACCCCAGATCACAAAGCCAACCATGCCCAGCCCCTCCCAGCACCCCCAGCCCCACGACCATCGTTCTGAATTCTGACGACACCGTGAGCCTGCCTTTGTACTTCAAACTCATGGAAGGATAACCACCTTCATGTTTTGAAATAAATGTTTCCTGTTGAAATGATTTTAGATTTTAGACAGAAATATTGAAAAGGCACTATAGTATCCTCCTATACCTTCCATCCAGCTGCCCCTAATAATGATGTTTTGCAGTCCCATGGCACATAAGAAATTTAGGCCGGGTGTGGTGGCTCACACCTGTAATCCCAGCAATTTGAGAGGTCGAGGCGGGAGGTTCAGGTTCACTTGAGTCTAGAAGTCTGAGACCAGCCTGGGAAACCTAGGTGGACCCGGTCTCTAGAGAAAAGTCAAAGAAATTAGCCAGGCATGGTGGCGTGTGCCTATAGTCCCACCTAGTCAGGAGGCTGAGGCAGGAGGATTGCTGGAGCCCACGAGTTCCAGGAAGCAGTGAGCCATGATTGCACCACTGCACTCCAGCCTGGGTGACAGAGTGAGACTTTATCTCTTAAAAAAATTTAAGAAATTTAATGTGGGTACAGTTCTATTAACTAAATAATAATGTGAACTGTTATCTAAGGTTATGAAGGCTAGAATTATCCCATTTTTGCCTAACTTCTCGTACCTGTCCCAAGATCCCACCTTGGACTCACCCTCTGCCTTCAGCTCACGTCTCTTCAGCTTCCTCCACATGGTCCAGCAAACACACACCTGGGCTGAATGGTAGAGCTGATTGCTCATACACAAAGGTAGACCGGTGGGCAGGGATTTTCAGACTTACACAGTCAATGAGTTTTCCTTGGTGTTCTGGAGAGCACCGTTTGAGAAACACTTTGACAGTGAATCTAGGCCTCAAGATCCATCAGCTGCTCTAGCTTGAATTTTGCTCAAGCTCAGTGAACACCTGCTCTGCCGGGTGCACGTGAAAGGGGCAAGGATGAGAAAGCTGTAGATAAAGAAGACAGGACGCAGGGGGTCTGTCTAAGCTCTATCCCCTGCCTTCAGCACTGAGGGATGAAATCCAACTCTTAGGGAACGGTGGCCACGTGCTGGGCCAGCCCCAGGCTCTCAGGATCTGACAGTGGGTGACGCAGAGCCAGGCCTTGCCCCTGGGGAGCTCTCCAGCATACACCTCCCTCTCCCCTCCCAGCGTGCCGCAAAGCAGGCGTCAACTCCATTGTTAATGCACGGAGGAGGAACCTGACTGTTAGACCTGGGTTTTCCAGGGTTGCACGGCTTCTGGGAGACGGATGTGACCCTGAGGACAGGGCACAGGCCAGTGTAATGCCAGGATGGAATGAGCTGTGATCTGTGCTGTATAGAGGCCTAGGCCAAGGTGGGACTGACGGATGACCAGGTCAGCCGGGTCACTGAAAACACTCTTGGGTCCTCACCTGCCGGTTCCCAGGAGTCCGGAACTGCCAGGAGAGTGGTGGCAGGTCCCCCATCCTCAGCTGGGTGGGCCTGGATAGAACAGCAAGGCGAGGGCACATTTCCCTGGCCATTCCCTCCAGGCACAGCTGTGACCTGTTCATTCCAAATTTGTGGAAGTATTTCCACACACACAGAACTGCAAATAGCAGTGGACATGGTGAGAGGCGTTTGCACATGGGATAGGCAGGATTTTGGAGGCAGAGCCTCCAGGGCTTGCCGATGGGTTAGCTGCAGGGCTTGAGAGGGAACGGAGAATCCAGGATGATGTGTTCAAATCGGTCCATTCACCTCTTCCCTTCCACGCCTGTGCTGGGCACTGGGAGAGACAGATGCACACAGGAGCCCCGGCCGAGGGGAGGTGTGGGGGGAAGCCCAGAGTGTCTGGGCAGGGTAGGAAACCCAGAGTGTCTACTGGGAGCTGAAGGCTTAGGTCCACCTGGGTGCCGTCCAGGTTCTCTGCATGTAGAAGTATAGGCTGAGCTTCCCGGAGGAGGAGCAGCTGCTGTTGCTGGTGACCAGCACATTCAGGAACGGAGACTACTCTGTCAACAGACAGGGGGATGACCTGAGGTCTGGATGGTCTAGGGGGTGGTAGGGCCCAGGAGGACCCAGGAAAGGGTCTCGGGGATGCAGAACATCCTATGGAGGGCATTTGGGAGTCAGTGCTCAGGCCACTCCGGGTCACTCAGGTCATTTGCCGGCCCCTGTCATAATTATTGCCATATGAGAGTGCCACCCGTCCTATGACATATTTTATATATTTCTGTGAATGGCCTACTTGTTTGTATTTATGAATTTATGTTTAAAGGATGGGCAGGGGTGCTCGAGAGGTCCCCAGGAGTTTCCCTCTGGGGAGAGAGGGGCCCACCCCTTCCCAGCAGCCCTCTGAGCCCCCCGATCGCTTGGCCACAGCCTCTGCCTGGAGAAAGCATCCCCCTCGGAGATATATGGACATCAGAAGAAACCTTTCTCTGTCACCAGGACAAATCCTGTTCTTATTTGAACCAAGGCCAGTTTTCCTAATGAATGCAGGGAGGACAGCACAGATCAATGAAACCAGCAGATAATCCACAAGACTGTTTCCCAGAGCTGGGAGATTTCCTTCCCTGCCAACACTTTTCCTGAAAGGTCTTAAGAATGAGGCAAACAGTTTAAGTCTCTCTTGCACTGTTCTTTTAGTGAAAGAGTTCAATGAGGAAGGAGAGGAAGTGGAGCATATGCTTAGTTTCCAAGCTGGAAAAGTGGCCCATGGTTAACCAAGACTAGATGTAAAAGCACAGGTGGCCGCGGGTCCAGGTGAGTCGGTCCTACGATGGCACGGCTGCTAATGCCAGCAGATGCTCCTGTCCTCTCCTTTCAAGACTGACTTCTTCTGGTCTTTCATTCGTTAAAATAAAATTGACAGGGCATCATCCAAGAAGCTCTACACTTTCCCTTACTTGGATTTCAGACTCTAGATTCTGCTGAGATTTGAGCTTCATGGTGAACACATTCTTGTTGTGCTTGCTGCTGAGGGGTGTGGAGGACAGAGAGATGGTGAAATGGCAAAGTGGCTCTTGAGCATGGGTGGGGGAAGCCCCCACATATCTGAGTCAGTGCCACCTGGACACTACCCTTGGAGCATCCTGCTGAGGTGGCCATTCAGGTTTTCTTTCCTTTCCTTTTATTCCACTGTTTCTGAATCACAAATAAAGATCCAAGGCAAACAGCACATTCAGATCCCCAAGCTCTCCACCTCCAATGTGACCAGGGACGTGCACCACTTCAGGCTCATGCAGGACCCACAGCCTTTGGACCTCAGCTAAGGGACCTGCTTCTCTTCAGCACACGGGGCTTGTTTGTGTTGGGGTCTGAGCCCTGAGCGCATGGTCAAGGAGACCCCCAGGTCTTTCTGAACAGAGACAGCTGGCCTGGCGGCCTCCCTCTCACTGCATGCAAGAGTCTGTTAGGGCGGCTGTCTTGCTTCTGTGTGTTGGGAAATTCAATTTAGGTACCTAAAAATGAAAAGTCCCAGGACATCTCCATGGCTTGGGATCCACAGGAGAGCATCATTGATGCTGGGGACAATTTAAACATATAGAAACCCACAGGGCTACCTTAGACAGGGCACAGGGCACAGCACCCGGGGATGCAGAGTGGAAAGTTCACCACTACAGCCTGGAATTGCCTCTGTGATGCCTTCTTCATGACACTTGGCTGCCTTCGTGGCTGGAAGGCTGAGGCCCAGATCCCAACATGGCCACAGGCTAGCAGCTTGCTTCACCTTCCTGAACTGCAATTTCTCCATCTGAGCCTCTCTCCTAAGAGGAGTGTGCAGGGTCACTTAGCCCATATGGGCCAGAAACCCCACACGGTGCCAGGCACACAGGAGGGCCTCGGCAGATGCTGCCCCCTTCTGTCTCCACCACCCTCCTGGGGCTCCCTCCTGAAACAGCCTCCCTCAGCGCCTTGAGTCTTGCACCCTAACAGCCTCTTGCACGCAGTGAGAGGGAGGCCCCCAGGCCAGCTGTCTCTGTTCAGAAAGACCTGGGGGTCTCCTTGACCATGGGCTCAGGGCTCAGACCCCAACACAAACAAGCCCCGTGTGCTGAAGAGAAGCAAGTCCTTTAGCTGCGGTCCAAAGGCTGTGAGTCCTGCATGAGCCTGAAGTGGTGCAGGTGCCTGGTCACACTGGAGGTGTAGAGCTTGGGGATCTGAATGTGCTGTTTGCCTCGGACATCAAACATCTCACAGACTGCCTGGAAGAAGGTGGAGCAGACTGGGGTTAATGGTCAGCAGCAGCAGCATCCCCACCACTGGGGCTATCCCTTTTTAGGCCCTTACCGTGGGCCAAACACTGAGCCGTGTGCTTCGTGTAACTTCTAAGCACGCTTACCTGATAGGGTGACAGCAAAGACTCGAAGAGGTGCCTGGGCTTGGCACATAGTAGCTATTGCTACTATTATGAATGTTGTTTTGTCTTTGTTTTTGTTTTGAGACAGGGCCTCACTCTGTTGCCCAGGTTGGAGTACAGCAGTGCCATCATAGCTCACTGAAGCCTCAACCTCCCTGGGTTTGAGCAATCCTCCCACCTCAGCCTCCCAAGTAGCTGAGACTACAGGTGTGCGCCACCAAGCCCAGCCAATTGTTTGTATTTTCAGTAGAGACTGGTTTTGCCAAGTCGCCCAGGCTGGTTTCGAACTCTGGGGTTCAAGCAATCTGCCCACCTCAGCCTCCCAAAGTGCTGGCATTACAGGCGTGTGCCACTGCGCCCAGCCATTATGAATGTCAATATTGACATGATCTTGTATCCTTATGCCCACACTGGGAGAGGTCTGATTGTCCCCATGTTCCTGGTGTGGAACCACATGGAAGAGGCCTATGTTATCCCAACAGTGCAGAAGCACAGCCTGAGTCTCTTCTTTGGCTGAGCCAAGGGCGTGCTGGAGAGGCCTGACAGAAGAAGGAGCGGCCCTTGTGACCAGTGCCCTTTTGGTTCACAAGGAACTTCTCCTCTTGTTGAAGTGACTTGGCTGAGCTTGCTACTTCTGCTTTGAGAGTCAAATATCAGGATCAAGACTTTAATTATCCCCAATTTACAGATGATGAAACCATATTGGGCAGGAAAGAAAGTCACCCCAGGAGAGCAAGTTGGACCTGAGCACTGGCTGAGGACAAAGGGGAATGATAATTTGGGATGTAACTTGTTAAGGGGTCTCACAAGTGTTCTTGTGATCCAGGTGTCGAGAGGATACAGCAGAAAGGTTGCCAGGGAGATGAGGGTAGGGTACACCGCAAGAGTGGGAGAAATTAAAGAGAACACGCAACAAAGCCTTGGGACACTGGGAGGGGGATGGACCACCCAGTTTTGTGCTATGGGAGAAGAGAGCAAGAAAAGGAATCTGTGTTAAATCCCGACAGCCTGCATGAGAAGGAAATGCCCTTCATTTTCTTCATCAGCGGCGAGACTGGCATCCCTGCAGCTTTGGGAGACCATGCTAGTGTAGATGCCAGCTCACACCAGCGGGCCTGACTGGGAGACCTTGGGCTGGGGTTCTGGTCTGGGGCTCCTAGGCCTGATGGGAGGAGAGTTCAGCCCCAGGTTTCCTGTACTTCAGCTCATATCCACACAATGGTAATTATTGAAATGAGAGACTCAAAAGAAGATGGAACGTGAACTTTTTTGTTGTCCCATGTGGACACCTGTGTTCGGTTTCCAGTTCTACCTTTGCTGTCTGTGTGTTCTTAAGTAACTCACTTAAACCTTTCTGAGTCTCATTTTCTTCATTTATAAAATAAAAGACGTAACATTTATGTCAGATATTGTCCTGAGGATTAAATGGGAGAATGAACAAGCCTCTTCTGCATTCCCCTGGCATCCAGTGGGTGGAGGCCAGAGAAGCTGCTAAACATCCTGCCAGGTGCAGGACAGCCCCCATCACAAAGAATTGACCGGATCCTGATGTCAGTAAGGCAGAATTGAGGATCCTTGGTGTGGGGGAAAAAGAATAAACTCAGAAGCTTGGCAGATCTCAGTTCAAACCCTGGTTGTATCACCTCTAGCTGAGTGACCTTAGGCAGGTCTGTGAACTCTCTGAGACTCGGCCTCCTCATCGGTAGAATGAGGTAGATAAAAATGCCAAGCTCGGCCGGGCGCGGTGGCTCACGCCTGTAATCCCAGCACTTTGGGAGGCCGAGGCGGGTGGATCATGAGGTCAGGAGATCGAGACCATCCTGGCTAACAAGGTGAAACCCCGTCTCTACTAAAAATACAAAAAATTAGCCGGGCGCGGTGGCGGGCGCCTGTGGTCCCAGCTACTCGGGAGGCTGAGGCAGGAGAATGGCGTGAACCCGGGAAGCGGAGCTTGCAGTGAGCCGAGATTGCGCCACTGCAGTCCGCAGTCTGGCCTGGGCGACAGAGCGAGACTCTGTCTCAAAAAAAAAAAAAAAAAAAAAAAATGCCAAGCTCACCCAGAAATAACCCCGTGCATATATGGTCAACAGATCTTTGACAAGGCCATCAAGGATATACAATGTAGATTCTTTTATTCCTTTACTTTCTTAATAGACTTGCTTTCACTGTACTGTAAAAAAAAAAAAAGGCACAATGTAGAAAGGAAACTCTCTTCAATGAATGGTGTTGGGGAAAGTGCATGAAAAAGAATGAAATTGCACACTTGTTTTACATCATATACAGAAAATTAGCTCAAAGTGGATTAAAGATTTAAATGTAATATCTGAAACCATGTAAATCCTGGAAGTAAACATAGGGAAAAATCTCCTCGACATTGGTCATAATTGGCAATATTTTTTTTGATGTAACACCAAAGCACAGGCAACAAAAGTGAAAATAAATAAATGGGACTACATCAATCTTAAAAGGTTTTACACAGCAAAGGAAACCATGACAAAATGAAAAGGCAACCTACGGGATGGAAGAAAATATTTGCGACCCATATATTTGATAAGGGGTTATTTGAAAAAATATAAGGAATTCACACAATTCAATAGCAAAAATTAATAAATACATGAATAACGCAATTAAAAATAGGCAAAGGACCCCAATGGACTTTTTTCCCCAAGGAAGATATACAAATGGCCAGCCAGCATATGAAAAGGTGCTCAACACCACTAATCATCAGAGAAATGCAAATCAAAACCACAGTGAGATATTGCCTCATAGGATAGGATGGCTCTTATAAAAAAACGACAAGAGATAACAAGTGTTGGCGAAAGCATAGAGGAAAGAGAACCCTTGTACACTGTTGGTTGGAATGTAAAGTGGTATAACCTTTACAGAAAACAGTATGGAGGTTCCTCAAAAAATTAGAAGCAGAACTACCATACGATTCAGCAATCAGGTTAGAACCTTGAAGAGAGATCTGCGCCCCATGTTTATTACAACACTATTCACAATACCCAAGATATGGAAACAGCCTAAGTGTCCAGCAACAGATGAATGGATAAATAAAATACATATAAACAATGGACTATTAGCCATTCAAAAGAAGAAACTCCTGTCCTGGATAAACCTGGAGGACATTACGCTAAGTGAAATAAGCCAGACACCGAAAGACAAGTTTTGTATGATCTCACTTATATGTGGGATCTAAGAGAGTCAAACTCATAAAAACAGATAGTAGAATGGTGGTTGCCAAGGGCTGGAGGTGGGGAAAATGGGAAGCTATTAATCAAAGGGTGTAAACTTTCAGTTATAAGATGAACAAATTCTGGAGATTTAATGTACAGCATAGGTGGTAATGGATGTAATAAATTTGATTGTGATAATTAGTACACAATATATACATATATGAAATAATCACATTGTATGCATTAAATATACACAATCCTTGTCAACTCAATATTTTTAAAAAAATTTTTAAAATGCCTAGGTCATAAGAATTCTGAGAATGAAATACAACAACATACATGAATGGACCTGCTACACAGAAGGTGCTAAATAGGTTTGTTTTGTTTTATTTTATTTCAACTCTGGCAGATGTAGACCTATTGGGAAAGAATATAGAATGCACTTGTGCACAAGGATTATCTATACGATGGTTAAATATCCTGCATACATGCCATGTCATTTCTACTCCTCAGTCAATGGATAATAAAAGCAGAACCAGCCTTCTGGTGGTCACAAAACATTTTGACATGAGAAAGGCTGATCATGAGCAATCTGGCAATGTACATCCCAGAGCGTGCATGCCCTTTGACCCACAGCTACCATCATGTCATGTCTAGCAATTAGTCCTAAGGAGATGATCAGAGATGTGTAAAGAGATTTCATTCTAACAGCATCCTCTGTAGTGGTATATGTCAGGGGCTGGTAAGCCATGTCCAGAGGAGCAGGCTGCATCTAGTCCACCACCTGTTTTTGTAAAGTTTATCAGAACACAGTCATGCCCATTCATTTACAAATTGTGTATGGCTTCTTTCCCTGCAACAGCAGAGTTGAGTGTTGCAACAGAAACCTATGGCCTGCAGAGTTTAAAATATCTACCCTTTGGCCTTTTATAAAAAAAGTTTACTGATTCCTGGTGAGTATATTAAAAAGTTAGGAAAACCTAAATCTTCCAGAGTGGAGAATTAGAAAGTAAGACGTGTTGTATATAAGACAGACAGTTTGTGTGTGCGTTTATTTATAAATATATTATTCTGAAATAATGTTGTCGACATATGTTGCAGGTCTTAAAAATTGGTCAATATATAGTGTTAATCAAAAAATGGCAAATTGTAAAATGTAGACAGAATGTGATTGTGTATTTTGTGCATACACCAACAGAAAAGGGTGCTAGGAAACCTGTGGACCAACATACTAAGTGTGGCTCTTTTGATGGTGGTATCATGGATTTTTAAAAATCTTCTTGGTTTTCTGTAGATTCTGACTTTCCTGTCATGAGTATGAATAAGTATGTATTTCTTGAGAAATGTGAAAATAACTTTATCTTCCCAGATTTCTCATAATTGAAAATGTTGGAATAAATGGTCCTGGGACAGATCTTTCCATTGAGAAGGGCAGAAGGGAAACCCTGGGGATTCAGCTGGGTTTCTGTTGCATTTCTGGTAACACACAGTTGTGAAAAGCCAGTGTTGGCCGTTCCCCAGGACAGTCTGGGGTAGAGGAGGTCAGGATTTAACTACTTGAGGGTCCGGGGAACAGATGTGGCCACAGTCCTTCCTGACTCACTGTTTTCCCTTCCACAGTCCCCGTCTTCTCTTCACTGATGCACATAGATGCCTGACCAGAGGAGAGATTTAGTTTTCGTCCAAGGATTATCTGTTATGTTGCAGTTCTGAAATTCCCATAACGTTTAGGCTAGAACACAAGTGATTTCATTATCTCCAATGTGTATGGCTTGATAGAAATAGATTCCATTATGTAGCACCTTAAATCCAGATAAAACATAAGGAATTTCTATTCCATGTTTGTATGATCAATGTTAATAATCTAAGAAAATCTAAAAAGAAGCTACTTCCTCTATTACAGTATGAAATAAATATGCTGAATGATTTGTTTTGGGGGGTGGAATGGAAAGGTATAAGACTGAGGAGGGTGCCTGTGGGAACAGTGATAGGAATCCTTTCTTAAGGGTTGGGTTTTACATACGTCTTTTAAAATAGATGATATCATTAATAAATTATCTGTGGGCATCATGAAAAAAGTGTATAACGTACAACTTTATGAGCTTGACAGTTGGTGAAAACTTTTCTGTTTAAAATTTTATTTGGCCCTCCCCAAAAGAAATGTTTATTTATGAGTATTAGGATAGTTCCAGCAGTAATGCCTCAAAAGAACCAGGAGGTATAGTGTTGTCTAAAATGTGGACTCAGGAGCCAGACTGCCTGGCTGTGCAACTAGCCTTGTCACTTCCTAGATATGTGGCAAGTTAATTAACTTCTCAGTGTTCTTATCTGTAGAATGGGGATAATCCTAATATACATCTCAGGGTTATATTACAAATTAAAAAAGTTAATTTTGTAAAGGACTTAGAATGATATCTGGCAAATAAAAGTGTTCATAAAAGTAAACCCTATAAAAGTGTTTACTCATTAAATACAATAATCTGAAACCATTAGTAATTTAAACATTTGTGGCTGACTTGGTAATATTTATGAAAATAAATACTGTATTTATAATCTTTGACCTTATTTGACTCCTAGGAATTTATTGTCCAGCAAACATTTTCACAGGCAGACAAAAATATTACTATAAAATCACGTTTATTACACCAATCTGTGCAAAAGGAAAAAATAGACAATTAAAATGGCCATCAAAAGGAGTATTGATTAAGTGAATGATAGTAAATCCATTCAATAGTAATCATATTATCCAAAAAGAATGAGGCATAGTCATGTGATGTGGGAAGATCCACGGCTAATGTTAAACGGTAAATGATACAAACTGTTATGCCCAATAAAATACTTTCTGTGAGAGAATATATGTTAATTTATGCGAGTGGCGCCAATGTGGAGGGTTTATGCTAATTTCATTATACCTCACAGACAGACCTGGGCTCTCCCACTCATTTTCTATGTGGCCTGGGGTAAGTCATTTATCTGCTGGAAGCCTCAGCTTCTTCATCTGTCAGGCAGTGATACCCTGACTACTCTGCAGGGTAACTCTGAGATTTCAACGTGATCATCTCAGAATATGCCTGGCAAACAGTAGGAGCTCAGAACTTGATGTTTTTTTCCTACAGCAACTGCTGTAGGGGATAGCAGCTAATGCAAGAGGTTGGTAAATCCTTATATATATCAAATATTGTAGAAACATAACTACATGCTACTATTTTTTCAAACCCTCCCCTCACCCTTTTTTTTCCCCTGAGACAGAGTCTCACTCTGCTGCCCAGGCTGGAGTGCAGTGGCGCCATCTCGGCTTGGCTCACTGCAACCTCTGACTCCCGGGTTCAAGCGATTCTTGTGCCTCAGTCTCCCAAGTAGCTGGGATTACAGGCATGTGCCACCATGCCCAGCTAATTTTTTTGGTATTTTTAATAGAGATGGGGTTTCTCCATGTTGGCCAGGCAGGTCTCCAGCTCCTGGCCTCAAGTGATCTGCCTGTCTCGGCCCCCCAAAATGCCGGGTCAAACCTCTTATATCCAGTAAAACAGCCTCACTGGGTCAATGGATATCATGTGGCTGCCTAACATTTTTACTTTATAAAAGGTCTTCCTGAGGCCATTTGAAAGTATGGATCAAAACACTTTATGAACAGGGCCACAGGTTTGCATGAGGCTTGTCAGTGGACCTCCAGGATGAAGACCAAAGTGACTGTGCAATTTCTAGTGGAATAATTTACACTTAAGATCTTATTTATTTATCAAAAGACTGCTGTGAGGTAGGAATTCTTAACCCCCATTTGCAGAAACAGACTTTGCCTGACACCACAGAGCTAGGAAAAAGTGGGCATAAGATCCTCATCAAGTCTGACTTCCAAAAGAAGATTCAAAAAGAAACCTCCTTGCTACCCGCCAAATCTCTGTAGAGCCAGCCATGTTCACACATGAAACAGGACAATGACAATAGCACCAGGAATAGCTACTCCTGGTCAGATGCCCTCATGAGCTCAACTCCGCGGGATGGGGACACCGGGCCCTGCTTAGGGGAAAGGAAGGGGGTTTGTAGAGGAAGCCCAGCCAGCCAAGCAACCAGAGATGGGAAAAACCTATTGGGAAGAACTTGCTTGCTCTAGCTGGGCTTTGCAAAGAACAGGAAAAGATGAGTCTGCACAGACAGAAATGGTCTAGAATGGCTGAATGTTTCATGTAGAAATTTTATTTTATGATTAATACACTCGTGCCATTTCTTGGAACCACTTGCTTGTTTAATTCTAGTCTATCAAGTGATAACTTTGTTGATATTTAGAGGCTCCTCAGTTAATTTCTGTGGGATTTTTGGTTATATTTAATAAGGAAAATAATATGAAATGTCTAAGAAAAAAAGAAACAAAGTCAACTATTCCTGAGAATGTTTAAATTTATTGAAGTACACTTGTTAATTGTTAGTATAGAACCTACATTTCATGATAGAAAACCTTGGACTTGCCAGTTGTAGCTGCTGGAATGAGGTCTTTGTCCAGTACATCCAGAACGTCGCCACAGATTAACTTTAGCTCAGTCTCAACCTGAAAAAATAAAAATAAATTTAAAAAATCAGATCGTTGAAGTCTAGAAATTCTGTAAATTATTACACATTCTATCTACCTCTGGTTTTGAGGAAGAGAGCTTAGTGTTACAGAGAATTCATTTCCCTCTCCAAACTCCCTTCCTCCCTTTTGACACAAAAGCAGAGAAAAGCTGCCTGTCGGTTATCAAAAGTATCTTTTCCTTCCTGCCTGCAATTAAGTGCTACACACACACCACCCCCCACCCCAATACCCCCTCACAGTCCAACTGCAGAATCACCAATGACTGAAACTAAACACTGATGCTACTTGGTAAATGCTGGTCAATTACATGAATCTTTCACAAAGTAGCAACTATTGTGTCCATTTACTGGGGAAAACAGAAGCTAAGACATTTGCTCAAAGGTCATCCCCTTAAAAGAACGTAATAAGCAGAGCTAGGATTTGAAACGAGGCAGGGTGCAAGGGACAGAACAAAATTCAAACCCAGGCAGTTTGCCTTCAGTACTTACATTCCTAACAAGGTTCAACAGGCAATGCCTTTAGTGGAAGAGACCAAAAACTAGTTAAGATACCAAAAATCTGTGGACCAAAGTAACAGTTGCCACTCATTTATATTCATTTATAATGCTAAAAATGTGCACCACCTCTAAAGGCACATACCCAGTTTACGTCTTTTTTTTTTTTTTTTTGAGAGGGAGTCTGGCTTTGTCACGCAGGCTGGAGTGCAGTGGCGTAATCTCAGCTCACTGCAACCTCCACCCTCCCGGGTTCATGTCATTCTCCTGCCTCAGCCTCCGGAGGAGCTGGGACCACAGGTGCCTGCCACCACGCCCAGCTAATTTTTTGTATTTTTAGTAGAGATGGGGTTTCACCGTGTTAGCCAGGATGGTCTCGATCTCCTGACCTCGTGATCCGCCTGCCTCGGCCTCCCAAAGTGCTGGGATTACAGGCATGAGCCACCACGCCAGGCCTGTTTTTTGTTTTTTAGACAGAGTCTTCCCCTGTCACTCAGGCTGAAGTGCAGTGGCCCTATCTCAGCTCACTGCAGCCTCTGCCTTCCAGGTTCAAGCAGTTCTCATGCCTCAGGCCCCTGAGTAGCTGGGGTTACAGGGGTGCGCCACTGTCTCGGGTTAATTTTTGTATTTTTAGTAGAGATGGGGTTTCACCATGTTGGCTAGGCTGGTCTTGAATTCCTGGCCTCAAGAGGTCCACCTACCTCGGCCTCCCAAACTGCTGGATTATAGATGTGGGCCACGCGTGGCCCAACTCTACTATTTCAATGCAGCTCCTGTACCCTAGGTCATCACTGACTTCCCAGTTGCTGAATCCAGTTGTCTTTACTGAGTTGGTCCTTAATTTAACTTTCTTTTGCATTGAAGCTACTGACTGACCACAGCATTTTGAAACTCTGTTCCTCTTATTACTGTGATTCTACTTTCCTTATTTTTCATCTTATCTCTTAAGTCTGTGGCTTCTCAGACTTCCTCACAATTGATTGCTTATTTTAAAAATTCAAAAATTTAAACCTCCCGAGCAGTTCAAAAACAATATACCTTTGAAATTTTTTAAACTTTTCAGAGTTGCAAGAATAGTTCAGTGATCACCAGGTGTTACCATTTTGCCATATTTTCTTTGTCTCTGTGTCCCTCCCTTTCTACCTGCCCCCACATATATGTGTATCTATGAATATTGACATTTTTTAACATTAATAAATTTTCTTTCTGTACAATTTGAGAGTTAACTGCAGATTTCATAGCACTTCACCCCTAATTTCTTCTATACATCTCCTAAGAATAAGGGCATTTTTTTTTTTTTTTGAGAAGGAGTCTCACTCTGTCACCCAGGCTGGAGTGCAATGGTGCAATCTTGGCTGACTGCAACCTCCACCTCCTGGGTTCAAGCGATTCTCGTGCCTCAGCCCCCCAAGTAGCTGGGATTACAGGTGCCTGCTACCATGCCTGCCTAAGTTTTGTAATTATAGTAGAGATGGGGTTTTGCCATGTTGGCCAGTCTGGTCTCAAACTCCTTACCTAAGGTGATCCGCCCTCCTTGGCCTCCCAAAGTGTTGGGATTACAGACGTGAGACTCCATTCTCAGCCTCTTTTTCCTTTTGTAATTAACAAGTGATCTATGGCATGATAGAAACAGTGTGAATATTCTGTCCCATAATAATCTTTACTTAATGGTTTCATCTGGATGGCTTCTTGCCCAAATCAAATATTACTATAGTGATTAGAAAATGGAGACTTTTCTACTTTTTCTGTATTTTTCCTATATTGTCATTCTTCTGTAAAGAATTTTTTAAACTCTTTTTTTTTTTTTTTTTTTTTGAGACGAAGTCTCGCTTTGTCACCAGGCCGGAGTGCAGTGGTATGGTCTCAGCTCACTGCAACTTCCACCTCCGAGGTTCAGGCGATCCTCCTGTCTCAGCCTCCAGATTAGCTGGGACTACAGTCATTCGCCACTGTGTCCAGCTAATTTTTTGTATTTTTATTAGAGATGGGGTCTCACCATGTTGGCCAGGATGGTCTTGATCTCTTGACCCCATGATCCAGCCACCTCAGCCTCCCAAAGTGCTAGGATTACAGGCGTGAGCCACCGCAGCTGGCCCTATACTCCCTTTTTAAATTTTTTTTTTTTTTTTTTTTTGAGATGGAGGTTCACTCTGTTGCCCAGGCTGGAGTGCAATGATGTGGTCTTGGCTCACTGCAACCTCCGCCTCCCAGGTTCAAGCAATTCTTCTGCCTCAACCTCCTGAGTAGCTGGGATTACAGGTACATGCCACCACACTCGGCTGATTTTTGTATTTTTAGTAGGGATGGGGTTTCACTATGTTGGCCAGGCTGGTCTTCAACTCCTGACCTCATGATCTGCCCGCCTCAGCCTCCTAAAATGCTGGGATTACAGGTGTGAGCCACTGCACCTGGCCCTTTTTTTTTTTTTTTTTTTTTTTTGAGACAGGGACTTCCTCTGTTGCCCAGACTTGAGTGCAGTGGTATGGTCATGGCTCACCACAGCTTGGACACCAGGCTGCCTCAGCTCACTGCAACCTCTGCTTCCCGGGTTCCAGTGATTCTCGTGCCTCAGCCTCTGGAGTAACTGGGAGTACAGGTGCTCACCACCATACCTGGCTAATTCTTGTATTTTTAGTAAAGATGAGGTTTCACCATGTTGGCCAGGCTGGTCTCAAACTCCTGGCCGACATGGTGATCCACCTGCCTTGGCTTCCCAAAGTGCTTCATATTGTTAGCCCTAATTCTAGTCAAATTCCATAGCGTTTTTCTTCTTTATTTTTATTTTTTTATTTTTGAGATGGAGTCTTGATCTGTCCCCCAGGCTGGAGTGCAGTGGTGTGATCTCGGATCACTGCAGCCTCCACCTCCTGGGTTCAAGCAAATCTCTGCCTCTGCCTCCTGAGTAGCTGGGATTACAGACACCTGCCACCATGCCCAGCAAATTTTTGTATTTTTAGTAGACACAGGATTTCATCATCTTGGCCAGGCTGGTCTTGAACTCCTGACCTTGTGATCCACCCACCTCGGCCTCCCAAAGTTCTGGGATTACAGGCGTGAGCCACCGTGCCCGGCCTGTATTAGATATTTTTAAGTCAGTTTCCTAAGACAATTAAATATTTCAGGTAGTTGGGACTTTTCTTTTTTTGGTTTGTTTTATTTTGCTTAATTTAACCATTTTAAATATGATTCTCTGGGAATTTTTTCTTCAAAATATAGAATATGTGTGCATTAGTTTGCTAGGCTTGCTGCAACAAAGTACCACAAACTGGGTGGCTTAGACAACAGAAATTTATTATCTCATAGATCTGGAGACTAGAAGTTCTAGATCACGTTGTTAGAGTTGGTTTCTTCGACAACTGTGAGAAACCTTATGTTCCATGCCTCTCCCCTGGCTTCTGGTGGTTTGCTGGTCATCTTTGGCATACTTTGGCTTGTAGGTGCATCACCTGGATCTCTGCCTTCATGTTCACATGGTGTTCTACCTGTGTGCGTATCTGTGGCCAAATTTCCCCTTTTTATAAGGATACCAGGCATATTGGATTAGGGTTCCTCTCTACTCCAGTAGGACCTCATCTTCACTAATTACATCTGCAATAACCCTTTCCAAATAAGGTCACATTCTGAGGAACTAGAGGTTAGAGTTTCAACATACGAAATTTTCTGGGGGGTGAGTAAGGGACACGATTCAATCCATAACAATATGTTTATGAGTAAATGAGTTAGTGTGTTATTGTCTTTCTGCCACCTCAGAATCTGAGAAAACACAGTTTCTTTTTCCATTCCTTGGGCTGTAGGTGGAGAAGGAGGAGGATGATGATGGTGATTATTTTTTGGTCATGCCCCATAATGTGACCCACTTTAAAAAACAACAAACAATTGTAAGGAGGAGAACTGTCATACACCTACTGCCCAGCTTAAAAATAATTAGATCATCTTCTTTAAACATAACTGTCATCCCATCATCACACCTAAGAAGTTGACAGTTTCCCCAGTTTTTTTTTTTTCTCTTTTTTTTTTGAGATAGGGTCTTTCTCTGTTGCCCAGGCTGGAGTGCAGTGGCATGATAGTGGCTCATGGCAGCCTCAGCTTCCCAGGCTCAAGGGATCCTCCCATATAGCTGGGACCACAGGGGTGCATCACCACATCCAATTTTTTGAATTTTTCTAGAGATGAGGTCTCCCTGTGTTGCCCCACCTAATTTTTTTGTTGTTGTTGTTCCATTCTTTTTTTTCCTCCTGTTAATCAAGGTCTGTATGTAGTTTGGTTACTATGTCTCTTAGGTCTCTTTTCCTTTATAGATTCCCCTTGTGATTTACTGAAGAAACGGGGTCATTTGTCCTGTAGAATTCTCAAATTTTGATTTTGCTGATATTATCCCCAGAGTGTCATTGACCATGTTCATCTGTTCCCCAAATTTCCAAAAACTGGTAGTTAAATTTAGGTGGTTGATCTGATTCAGATTACACTCTCAGTATCGCATATGCTTTGATCAGGAGGCATAATGTGTACTTGTGTGTGCGTATGTGTGTTTTTTTAGTGATGTTAGTGGTCACTGCCTGTGTCAGCATTTCACTACCAGGGTAATTTGGCAATGTCTGGAGACACACTGTCACAGCTTGGGAGAGGGAATGCTATAGGTACCTTCAGGGGTAAGAGTCAGCACAGCACAGCCCCCTAACGCAAAGTATTAATAGGCCTAAAATGTCAGTAGCCCTGAGGTTGAGAAACTCTGGCCTACTTTTGTAGTTTCATCAGGTGTTTGTGAAATGGTTTTATTCTAACTGTTATTTCTTCTTTCTTTGTTAGCTGGAATTCTTTCATAAAGAGAAACTCTTTGATCAGTTAGTTACCCAAGGTACAGTTCATACAGAAAAGGCAGGATGTATGTTTGATTCTTTCCTAGTTTTCAAAATAATGAATTAGTTTCCTAGCATCTTCCAAAATTGACCAATGAACTTTGTGTGTGTGTTTTTTTCTTTTTTAGTATATTATGAACTTACACGTTTTAACATATTTGTGTTTCCTTTCATCGCAGTTATTTTTATTTTATTTTTATTTATTCATTTATTGTTTTGAGGCAGGGTCTTAACTCTGTCACCCAAGCTGTAGTGCAGTGGTATAATCGCTGCCCACTGCAGGCTTGACATCCCGACCTCCAGCAATCCTCCCACCTCACCCTCTTGAGTAGCTGGGACCACAGGTACACCACCATGCCCAGCTAATTTTTGTGTTTCTGGTAGAGACGGGGTTTTGCCGTGTTCACCAGGCTGGTCTTCAAATCCTGAGCTCAAAAGCAATCCACCTGCCTCTGCCTCCCAAAGTGTTGGGATGATAGGCGTGAGCCACCGCACCTAGCAGTTATTTTTATTGGTGCTCGTTTTTTCCCTTCGTTGAATGCTGGGTGCAGTGAATGCTGGGTGCATCTTCATGTTGGGTTCTGAGTCCTTTTGACATGAGCACATTGTCTGGTGTTGTACGAGAGAGCAAAATAAGGAAACTGGTGTTCTATGCTTATCTTGTACATTTTCCCCACACTTGGAATCAGCCATTCCTCCAGGGAGTGCAGGTTCACAGTCTGGGCTCTAAGAGAATTATAAGGTCAATGTGGTCATCATCTTTTAGTATTAAGTCAGATATTCTAAATTATTATTTACTTCTTACATTTGGCCCAAGAGTTTAACCAGATATTTTGGGAAAGAGAGAAGGAATTAAATAAATAAATCTCATGGTTAGAACTGAAGTGATAACTATACTTTCACAAGGAAATATAACTTATAACCCATGCGGAATAGAAAATTATTTTTGCTCCTTTAGATTTCTGAAGGAATGAAATGAGCTGTGAGAAGAAACTTTAACTGGAGCATCTTACCAGTATTATTCATGTTTTAACTCTGCTTCAGTAGTTTTTCAGGTTTATTACAAACCTGCAGTAGCCAACTGAATTAATTATCTCTAAACAGGGATTTAGCCAGTGGACTAGGCACACTGAAGCTTTGTGAGAGGGGAAATTGATATTCACATTTTTTCCAGCTTGTTTTGAGCTCGATATATTCTTTTCTTTTTTTTTTTTTAATTGAGACAGACTCTCGCACTGTCACCTGGGCTGGTGTGCAGTGGCACGATCTCTGCTTGCGGCAACCTCTGCCTCCCAGGTTCAAGCAATTCTCCTGCCTCAGCCTCCCGAGTAGCTAGGATTACAGGCGCCCGCCACCACGCCCGGCTGATGTTTTGTAGTTTTAGTAGAGACGGGGTTTCGCTTTATTGGCCAGGCTGGTCTTGAACTCCTGACCTCAGGATCTGCCTGCCTCAGCCTCCCAAAGTGCTGGGATTACAGGCCTGAGCCATCATGCCCAGTCAATATATTCACATTTTTAATAGGAATAACAGTATACTAAAATCTTTTTTAGTGCATGTTTAAGATTTGAAGATGTAATTTGACTCAGTACTTTCCACTTGCATTTTTTTCTTCCACTTGCATTTCTCCACTATTAGAAAAGTGCCTGCTAAGACTATTCTAATACTTTATTATAGTTAACCCCTGCGAAAAGAGCTCCCAGAGCTTACAGTGCATTTAATTGATGTCATATGGACTATTCATTATTTTCTAAATTATTTTGTTTGTATAAAGCAATCTGAAGAGGATGTAAGTCAGTTTGATTCCAAGTTTACACGTCAGACACCTGTCGACAGCCCAGATGACGCAACTCTCAGTGAAAGTGCCAATCAGGTCTTTTTGGTAAGTGAAAGAATTTCCATGTAGTCATGGGAAATTTTAAGTATGAGGATGGGCTCTTCGATAAGAAAATTCAGTTTGCTTGCTTTGCAGCTCATGTAGGTAACCTGGCCCACTTTTTTTTTTAAATAAGCCATGCTCTTATAACTTATTGATACCTATAAAATTGATTTTCATAATCCAACATTTTATTTTAGCAATTAGAGTGGGAATGTACAATTCTTTGGAGAGTATGATTCCCTTTTTTGGTTGGGCCACAGACTTAAAATGATGTTTGGCTTAGCATCTCAACCAAAAATTAAGTCATAGCAGTGGGAGAGAAAAACCTCACTAACTACATGTATTTTATTCCTGAAACAGCTATAGATTTTTGGTACCTTTTTTTTTTTTTTTTTTGAGACAGGGTCTCACCTTGTAGCCCAGGCTGGGTGTAGGGTGTAGTGGTGTGATCACAGTTCACTACAGCCTTGACCTCCCAGGCTCAAGTGATCCACCCATTTCAGCCTCGTGAGTACCTGGACTACAGGTGTGTGCCCCATCCAGCTAATTTTTTATTTTTTTGTAGAGACAGAGTCTCACTATTTTACTCCTGGACTCAAGCTATCTTCCCACCTCGGCTTCCCAAAGTGCCAAAATTATAGGCATGAGCCATCATTCCTGGCCCTATTTTTGGTACTCTTAACATAAGTAGGGGATTTTTTTTTTTTTTTGAGACTGAGTCTCACTCTGTCGTCAGGCTGGGGTGCAGTGGCGCGATCTCAGCTCACTGCAACCTCTGCCTCCTGGGTTCAAGTGATTGTCCTGCCTCAGCCTCCTGAGTAGCTGGGACTACAGGCGCCTGCCACCACGCCCAGTTAATTTTTGTATTTTTAGTAGAGACAGGGCTTCACCATGTTGGCCAGGATGGTCTTGGTTTCTTGACCTCATGATCCACCCGCCTTGGCCTCCCAAAGTGCTGGGATTACAGGCATGAGCCACTGCGCCCGGCCAAGTAGGGGATTTTTTAAACCTAATTGTGAATATTTGACATCAAATTATATTGGTTCATATGTAATAATGAATTCTCATTGTAGAAATATCCGTATAGATTTATAGCTTGTCTCCTCAGAAAAGTGAAGGTTTTAGATGTTGGCCAACAGAAATGATGGATTTATATCAGATGACCATCAATGCATACATACTATTTTGCTTAAATACCATATATGCTTGTTGATTTTATTACTGTACTTATATGTCACATGAACATCTTTCTCATTTTGTATCCTTTTTTTTCTTTTGTCGTTCCTGTATGGACTACCTCTAGGGAGAATAGAATATGGGGAAAACAATTGTTTGGGAGTGGTTTTTTCCCTCTTTTTGAGTTCACTGGATTTGTCACTAACTTAATTCTATGCTTTTCTTCCCCACACTGCTCACTATATAACACAAGTAGTGTTGTATCTTATGGGATGGGAAATAAGCTCTAAAGTTAGCATGGAGTTGGGACATCGTGGCTCACGCCTATAACCTTGAGGTCAGGAGTTCGAGACCAGCCTGGCCCACATGGTGAAACCCCATCTCTACCAAAAATACAAAAATTAGCCGGGTGTGGTGGCATGTACCTGTGGTACCAACTACTTGGGAGGCTGAGGCAGGAGAATGACTTGAACCCGAGAGGCAGAGGTTGCAGGAGCCAAGATCGTGCCACTGCACTCCAGCCTGGCCAATAGAGTGAGTGAGACTCTGTATAAAAAAAAATTAGTTAAAAAAATAAAGTTAGCATGGAATGCAAAAGTTGTGTATAGTACAGTATGGTTTCAAGTAAACAACACTGAATAGTAATAATCCTATAAATTAGTAATATAGAGCACGTAGGCAAAATATAATCTTACAGTATTAATTACATAAGAGATAAAAGATGAGTGAGTGCATGCATGTTTTTAAATTCAAGTTTGATGTGTGCATGATCAAAGTTACGGCATCTCTGTTAGTAAAATCTTAGGTTCACTCAGGGAAGTGGGCATGGATCACTTTAATTTTGGCTTTTTTTTTCTCTTTCATGTACTACTGATGTGGAATTTATACCTTTGATTTAACATAGAGACCTTTTCATCAATTGAACATTGCAGAATTTCAACTTATGTGACAGTTTCCCCCCACAAAATAGAAGCATTTTATTTAGCTACCAAGAAATCCTAAGTTGTGGTGGTAAATGTGAGATATTGACGCTTTCATTGCCAGTTAAAGTATTGTTGAGCTTTTCATAATTACTTAAATTGGCTATAACTGATGAACAGAGCAACTCATTTGTTAGGTTGTAGCCAGAATTCTGTACATAAAGTGGGTCTCTTGAAACATTAGTAAAAACAAAAATAGGCCAGGTACAGTGGCTCATGCCTGTAATCCCAGCACTTTGGGAGGCTGAAGTGGGTGGATCACAAGGTCAGGAGTTCTAGAACAGCCTGGCCAATATGGTGAAACCCCATCTCTACTAAAAATACAAATATTAGCCAAGTGCGGTGGCACACGCCTGTAATTCCATCTACTCGGGAGGCTGAGGCAGGAGAATCACTTGAAACCAGGAGGTGGCAGTTGCAGTGAGCCAAGATCGTGCCAGTGCATTCCAGCCTGGGCAACAGAGCAAGGCTCTATCTCAAAAAAAAAAAAAAATTCCGCATACATAAGAAGAGAATATGCATTAAAAAAATCAGCAGAGCCTCACATTCCAGGATTTTCTACACAAGAAACCATTCCTAAAATATGTGCTTGGAATTACTAGGGTTTCTCTTGCAAACATTTTAATAACACCTCATTCGTTTTTTTTATTATAATATTTATTTAAGCAAAATTTCTTTTTTTAATTTTATTATTTTATTATTATTACACTTTAAGTTGTAGGGTACATGTGCACAATGTGCAGGTTAGTTACATATGTATACATGTGCCATGCTGGTGTGCTGCACCCATTAACTCGTCATTTAGCATTAGGTATATCTCCTAATGCTATCCCTCCCCCCTCCCCACACCCCGCAACAGTCCCCAGAGTGTGATGTTCCCCTTCCTGTGTCCATGTGTTCTCATTGTTCAATTCCCACCTATGAGTGAGAACATGCGGTAACACCTCATTCTTTAGGGGTGTGGTTATATGTGTCATGTTATTAGATCTTTACAGCAACTCTCCTGGGTAAAGCGGTTATTACTAGGTCATTTTATAGAAGGAAAAATAACCAGTACTTTTTTTGCTTTACTTCAGTAGCTATTGCCTCCTTCAATTTGACATTTCAATCCTGGCACATAGTGGGGGCTCAACAAATATTTGTTGGAGGAATGCCATTTAAAATACAGTGATTGGATAGGAGAATATTTGAGGGCATTAACAGTTTTTAAAAGCCAAAAAAAAAATTACAACTGGACTTATGAGATTTTGATTTTTTTGTGTATTTTCTTTTAAAAAATAAGCTTCTCTAGGCTGGGCTTGGTGGCTCATGCCTGTAATCCCAGCACTTTGGGAGGCTGAGGCAGGTGGATCACCTGAGGTCAGGAGTTTGAGACCAGCCTGGCCAACATGGTGAAAACCCGTCTCTACTAAAAATACAAAAATTAGCTGGCCGTGGTGGCACACACCTGTAATCCCAGCTACTAGGGAGGCTGAGGCAGGAGAATCGCTTGAACCCGGGAGGCAGATGTTGCAGTGAGCCAAGATCACACCACTGTACTCCAGCCTGGGTGACAGAGCAAGACTCTGTCTCAAAAATAAATAAATAAAGTATATAAATAAATAAGCTTCTGTTTTGGCTTCCTCCAATGTAGTCTCTTTGAGTAGGAAGAAATTGTTATGATTCAAACTAGTACATTCTTTTTTTTTTTTTTTTTTTTTTGAGATGGAGTCTTGCTCTTATTGCCCAGGCTGGAGTGCAGTGGCGTGATCTTGGCTCACTGCAGCCGGCTCACTTGAACCGGGTTCAAGTGATTCTCCTGCCTCAGCCTCCCAAGTAGGTGGGATTACAGGTGCCTGCCATCACGCCTGGCTAATTTTTGTAGTTTTAGTACAGATGGGGTTTCACCATCTTGGCCAGGCTGGTCTTGAACTCCTGGTCTTGATCTGCTGACCTATATCCGCCCGCCTCGGCCTCCCAAAGTGCTGGGATTACAGGTGTGAGCCATTGCACCCGGCCGACAGGTAAATTCTTATATCAAAAAACTGAGTTAGACTTGGTCCCTGGAGCTGTTTTCCATCCCTAAAAAGATGATGTCAAGCTATCATGTATAATAAATAACAACTCAATTGACCACATATTTTCCTTTAAGCCTAATGATGAAATAATATTATAATGAAATACTTAGAAGTTTTAAGGGAAAAAATCCTTTAAGTCATTAAATTAAAATTGAAACCAAAACAATAACTTCACTGTTTTAGGATAAAATTGGCATAAGAAAGGTTTGATAGTGAACGACAGTAAGATTAACCTACTACAGCATTTGCCTTTAGCTTTTACTGAGTAATACTTGGAGCTATATATTTATAGCATTTGCTATAAATGTGCAAATGAAGACATTATTTATTGTATTACTGCTGAGATTAATATTGTCTTTTTCAGATTTCTAAAACATTACAGCAAATGCGCACGAGGGCGCTCTAATCAGCTAGATATGGAGAGGGTAGGCATTTGTTGACTGTTAAGTCAAAACTAGTTCTATACTTTTACAGATGGAAAAATCAAGGTCCACCAAAGAGGTTATGATTCTACACGAGTTATTCTCTAGAGGAAACAAATTGGGTATTAGAATTTTGAAAAGATTAAACAGAAATCCCTGTCAGTGAATTTATGCTGGAGAATTTTGACTTTTATCCTAGCAACTCCTTATTGAAAATCTTTACCCATGCCATGATATAATTTATCTTCAATCTTAAATGGGTTTGGTAATAGTGTTTATAAGATGTAGGAGAGTTAATTAGAATATTTATTTTTATGAACTTTTGCTCTATAAAATTAAAAAATGTTAATTGTGCTTCATTTATACTTTTTTTTTTTTTTTTTTTGAGACGGAGTCTTACTCTGTCACCCAGGCTGGAGTGCAGTGGCGTGATCTCAGCTCACTGCAACCTCTGCCTCCCAGGTTCAAGCGATTCTCCTGCCTCAGCCTCCCAAGTAGCTGGGACCACAGGCACGTGCCACCACGCCTGGCTAATTTTGGTATTTTTAGTAGAGACGGGGTTTCACCATGTTGGCCAGGGTGGTCTCGAACTCCTGACCTCAAGTGATCTGCCCGCCTTGGCCTCCCAAAGTGCTAGGATTACAGGTGTGAGCCACCAACACCTGGCCCATTTATACTTAAGGCTGATTCTCAACTGATTTGGGTAAGATCCTTAGTCTTTCCCCATCTCTGACGTAATTCCTAGTTTGTCCTTTGGCTTTCCTGTGTATATAAAGCTACCAGGCTGCTTGCAGATTTTTCGGGGAATAAGTCCCATAAACACTCACAAAGATTTTATTAGGGAGAAGCTATGATGCGAATATAGAATGTAGATTTTTTAAATTTCAAAATCAGTATGGGCCGGGCGCGGTGGCTCACGCCTGTAATCCCAGCACCTTGGGAGGTCGAGGCGGGCGGATCACGAGGTCAGCAGAGCGAGACCATCCTGGTTAACACGGTGAAACCCCGTCTCTACTAAAAATACAAAAAATTAGTGGGCGCAGTGGCAGGCGCCTGTAGTCCCAGCTACTCGGGAGGCTGAGGCAGGAGAATGGCGTGAACGCGGGAGGCGGAGCTTGCAGTGAGCGGAGATCGCGCCACTGCACTCCAGCCTGGGCGACAGAGCGAAGACTCCATCTCAAAAAAAAAAAATCAGTATGTAGAGCTGGGCATGGTGGTGTGTGCCTATTAGCCCAGCCACTGGGGAGGCTGAGGCAGGAGAAGCCCTTGAGCCCAAGAGTTCAAGACTAGCCTGGGCAACACAGCGAGACCCTCATCTCGAAAAATAAATAAATAAATAAATAAAGTATTGCAATATTTATTATATAGGCAAATTTTTTTCAACTTAAGTGCTACCCTCATCAGGGGAAGATTTGTTTGATTAGATCCCCACACAGGCTGGCCGCTTCCTCATTTCTACTTTTTCTTTTCTTTTTGAGATGGAGTTTTGCTCTTGTTGCCCAGGCTGGAGTGCAATGGCGCAATCTTGGCTCACTGCAACCTCCGCCTCCCGGGTTCAAGCGATTCTCCTGCCTCAGCCTCCCGAGTAGCTGGGATTACAGGCACCTGCCACCACACCCGGCTAATGTTTGTATTTTTAGTAGAGATGGGGTTTCACCATGTTGGCCAGATTGGTCTCAAACTCTTCAGTTCAAGCGATCTACCTGCCTCGGCCTCACAAAGTGCTGGAATTACAGGTGTGAGCCACTGCGCCCGGCCTCATTTCTACGTTTTCAAAGAAGTCAATTTTCTTTAAAAAATAAACTCTTTTGGCCACGCGGCGGCTCATTCCTGTAACCCTAGCACTTTGAGACTCAGAGGCAGACGGATCGCTTGAACTCAGGAGTTCAAGACCAGCCTGGCCAACATGGTGAAACCCTGTCTCTACAAAAAATTAGCTGGATGCAGCGGCACGTGCCTGTAGTCCCAGCTACTCAGGAGGCTGAGGCAAGAGAGTCACTTGAGTCCAGGAGGCAGAAGTTGCAGTGAACTGAGTTCACGCCATTGCACTCCAGCCTGGCTGATGGGAGTGAAACCTTGTCTCAAATAAATAAATAAATAAACTCTTATTTAAAAAAAAAAAAAGCAAATCATGAAACAAAACAAAACCCAGGGCTCTGAATGAAAAAGATCTCTCCTTTAGGGGGCTAGGTGATGGAAAGGAAAATAGGTCATGAATTTCATGTTCTCATTTGTCTTCGTTAATGACTTGTATGTATATATATTTCCATTGAAGACATAGATATGCATTTGATCACCTACACTTGTTTGTATTTTGAGTCATAAATTAAGGCATTTCCTGTCCAGAAAGCACCTGACAATCTTATGATAAAAAACATGGAATTTTAAAATCACAAATGCAAATAACAAGCCAGGCACAGTGGCTCACGCCTGTAATCTTAGCTCTTTGGGAGACCAAGGTGGGTAGATTGTTTGAGCTCAAGAGTTTGAGACCAGCCTGGGTAACATGGAGAAACCCTGTCTTTACAAAAAATAAAAAATTAGTGGGGCACGGTGGCATGTGCCTGTAGTCCCAGATACTCAGGAGGCTAAGGTGGGAGGAGTGCTTGAGCCCAGGAGGTCGAGGCTGCTGTGAGCTGTGGTGGCAACACTGCACTCCAGCCTGGGTGACAGAGTGAGACCCTATCTCAAAAAAAAAAGGAGTGCAAATAACAGATGACCTTACAAACATCAAAAGTTATGTCTTTATAATAAGTTTTGTCTACATTCAATGAAATATGTTAGCAAGGAAAAAATGTAGCAGTATGCATATGGCTTTATTTTATCTTGGCCCTGCCCACTACTGTGCCCTCATTTCTTTTCCTTCCCACTGAGTCCTTCCACACTAGCCACACCACAGCAAACCTGACAAGCTTCTGCCTGAAATAGCACCATTGCACTTCTCTTCCCTTTGCCTGAAACATTCTTTTTTTTCTTTTTTCTTTCTTTTTTTTTTTTTTTTTATGAGATGGAGCCTCACTCTCTCGCCAGACTGGAGTGCAGTGGCACGATCTCAGCTCACTGCAACTTCCACCTCCCTGGTTCAAGCGATTCTCCTGCCTCAGCCTCCCGAGTAGCTGGGATTACAGGTATGCACCACCATGCCCGGCTAATTTTGTATTTTTAGTAGAGACAGGGTTTCTCCATGTTGGTCAGGCTAGTCTCGAACTCCCGACCTCAGGTGATCCGCCCGCCTCGGCCTCTCAAAGTGCTGGGATTACAGGCGTGAGCCCCTGTGCCTGGCCACCACAATCAATTTTAGAATATTTTCATTTCTCTCAAAAAAAAATACCATACCTATGAGCAGTCACTCCCCATTTCCTCCATCCCTCAGTCCTAGGCAACCACTAATTTACTTTCTTTTAGGATAGGATTTGCCTATTTGGACATTTCATATAAATGGAACCATACAATTTGTGATCTTTTGTGACTGGCTTTTTTCAAGTAACCTAATGTTTTCAAGGTTCATTCATGTTATAGCATGTGTCAGTACTTATTTCCTTTTTTTTATGGCTCAGTAATATTCTGTTGTAGGAATATAACACATTTCATTTATCTGTTTATCACTTTTTTTTTTTTTTTTGAGATGGAGTCTCAGTCTGTCACTCAGGCTGGAGTACGGTGGTGTGATCTTGGCTCACTGCGGCCTCCGCCTCCTGGATTCAAGCCATTCACCTGCCTCAGCCTCCCAAGTAGCTGGGATTACAGGCACGTATACCATGTCCCGCTGATTTTTGTATTTTCAGTAGAGATCGGATTTCACTCTGTTGGCCAGGCTGGTCTCGAGCTCCTGAGCTCAAGCAATCCTCCCGCCTTGGCCTCCCAAAGTGTTGGGAGCCACCACACCCAGCTGTCTCTACTTTTTGACTATTATGAATAATGCTGCTATGAACATTCATGTATAAGTTTTTGTGTGGACATATGTTTTCCTTCCCCTTGGGAATACGATGAAGCCTGGCATTGCCAGGTCATATGATAACTCTATGTTTAAGCTTTGGAGGAACTGCCAGACTATTTCCAAAGCAGTTCCAACTTCATTGCAAAGCATTTTACATTCCCTCCAGCAACATATGAGTGTTTCAATTTTTCCACATTTTCTCCAACACTTGTTATTATGTGTCTGTTTATTATAGCCATTCTTGTGAGTGTGAAGTGGTATCTTAACATGGTTTGGATTTGCACTTCCCTGATGGCTAATGATGTTTCTATGGTTTGAATGTTGGAGTCCTCCAAAATTCATGTTATAACCTAAGACCTAATGTGACGATGTTAAGAAGTGAGGCCTTCAAGGTGGTGATTAGGTCATGAGGGCTCTGCCCTCGTGAATGAAATTAATCCCCTTATAAAAAGGCTTCACATAACATTTCTTCTTCTTTTTTCCTTTCTTCTCCTGCCATGTGAAGATGCCACTGCGAGAACGGGAACAATGGAACAGGCCCTCACCAAATGCCAAATGTGCTACCACCTTGATTTTGGATTTCCCAGCCTCCGGAACTGTGAGGAATAAATTTTTTTACTTATAAATTACTTAGTCTCAGGTATTTTGTTATAGCAGCACAAACAGACTAAGACAGAAATTGAGTGTATTTTCTTGTGCTTATTGGCCATTTATTTTCTTTCTTTTATTTTTATTTATTTATTTATTTTTAGGTGGGGTTTTGCTCTGTTGCCCAGGCTGGAGTGCAGTGGTGCAATCTTAGCTCATTGCAACCTCTGCCTCCCGGGTTCGAGTGATTCTTGTGCCTCATCTGCCTGAGTACCTGGGACTACAGGCATGCGCCACAACGCCTGGCTGATTTTTATATTTTTAGTAGAGATGGGTTTTCGCCATGTTGGCCAGACTGGTCTTGAACTCCTGGCCTCAAGTGATCCACCTGCCTTGGCCTCCCAAAGTGTTGGGATTATAGGCATAAGCCACCACCTGGCCCTTATTGGCCATTTGTATGTCTTCTTTGGAGAAATATCTGTTCAGATCTTTTGTCCATTTTAAAATTGGGTTATATCCTTTTTATTATCAAGTTGTAAGAGTTCTTTATGTATTCTAGATCCAAGTCCATTGTCAGATACTGTAGTCTCCCGTATGCTCTCTGCAGTTTCAGTTACCTGCGGGCAGCTGCAATCCCAAATATTACAGTATTTTGAGAGAGAGAAAACTATTCATGTAACTTATGTTAAAGTATATTCTAGCCGGGCACAGTGGCTCACACCTGTAATCCCAGCACTTTGGGAGGCCGAGGTGGGTGGATCACAAGGTCAGGAATTGGAGACCAGCCTGGCCAATATGGTGAAACCCTGCCTCTACTAAAGATACAAAAATTAGCCGGGCGTGGTGGCAGGTGCCTGTAGGCCCAGCTACTCGGGAGGCTGAGGCAGGAGAATCGCTTGAACCTGGGAGGTGGAAGTTGCAGTGAGCTGAGATGGCGCCATGGCACTCCAGCCTGGGTGACAGAGCAAGACTCCATCTCAAAAACAAAAAGTATATTCTAATTGTTCTCTTTTATTATTAGTTATTGTTGTTATTCTATTACAGTGCCTAATTTATAAATTAAACTTCATCATAGGTATGTATGTATGTATAGGAAAAAAACATAGTACATATAGAGTTTGGTACTATCTGCAGTTTCAGGTATACACTGGAGGTCTTGGAACATATTTTGTTACATATATATCTATATATTTATAAATATATATTTATATAGCTATATATTTATGTATCTATATATCTATAAATATATGTTTATATATCTATATTAATCTATATCTATATATGAATATATAGGTAGATAAATAAATATATACATATATATATATTTTTTTTTTGAGATAAGGTCTCGGTCTATCGCCCAGGCTGGGATACATTAATGTTATCTTGGCTCACTGCAGCCTCAACCTCCTGGGCTCACGTGATTCTCCCACCTCAACCTCCCAAGTAGCTGGGACCACAGGCACATGTCACCACATCTGGGTAATTTTATTTATTTATTGTAGAGATAGGGTATCCCTATGTTGCCCCGGTTAGTCTTGAGCTCCTGGGCTCAAGTGATCCTCCCACCTCAGCTTTCCAAAGTTCTGGGATTACAGGCATGAGCCACTGCGTCTGGCTACATATTTTCCACAAATAAAGTGAGCCTACTTTGTATATAATTTGCAAGTATTTTCTCCCATTCTGTGGGTTGTCTTTCACTTTTTTTTTCTGGAGTCCTCCAAAATTCATGTTATAACCTAAGACCTAATGTGATGATGTTAAGAAGTGAGGCTTTCAAGGTGGTGATTAGGTCATGAGTGCTCTGCCCTCGTGAATGAAATTAATGTGCTTATAAAAAGGCTTCACATAGCATTTCTTCTCCTTTTTTTGCCTCAGCCTCCTGAGTAGCTGTGATTACAGACGTGTACTACCATGCATGGCTAACTTTTGTATTTTTAGTAGAGACAGGGTTTCACCATGTTGGCCAGGCTGGTCTCAAACTCCTAACCTCAGGTGATCAGCCCGCCTCGGTCTCACAAAGTGCGGGGATTGCGGGCGTGAGCCACCATGCCCGGCACATGCATCAGTTTTTAATGCTTCCTTGGTTGGACTGATTAACCAGTCAACTACTGGTTCCAGTAAGGTTGGATGAGGTGGCGTATACTCTACTTATTTGCCGCCCCCGCTTCTTCCTTTTTTTTCAGACAGGGCCTTTGACGCGCTGGCTGGAGTGCCGTGGTGTGATCTTGGCTCACTGCAGCCTCAACTTCCTGGGCTCAAGCAGTCTTCCCACCTCAGCCTCTAAGTAGCTGGAACTACAGATGTGTGCCCCTATGCCTGGCTAATTTTTGTATTTTTGTCGAGACGGGGTCTCCCCATGTTGCCCAGGCTGGTCTCCAACTCCTGGGCTCAAGAGATCCGCCCACCTTGGCCTCCCAAAGCCCTGGGATTGCAGACATGAGCCACTCTGCCTGGCAACTTGTAACAGTTCTTTGTATGTTCTTGATACAAGTCAGTTGTCAGATACAGCGGTAGTACATAATTAAACATAATTATATAGAACTATATTTTATATAAGCGCAGCATTATATGAAATAGCAAAAATTTGGAAATAACCAAATGTCCAACAATAGGTAGTTAGCTAAGTAAATTGTGAAACATCCAAGTAATGAAAGCTATACAACTATAAAAAATGATCTAGATCTATTTATACTGACATCGACAGATGTCTAACATAAATTACATGAAAATAGGAAGTGACAGAGAAGAGAGTATGGTATAATCTCATTTACATTAAAGTAATCAAATTGATTCTCGGACTCGTGATTCTTGGACCTGTGAATCCTGGCTATAGGAGAAACAGTACCATATATTGGATGCTGATTCAGAGCATACATGGCCTTCTGGAGAACTTTGCCCCAGCCCTGCAAAGTATTGTCATAGTGACTCCAAAAGGCCATTCCACCATTCTATCAATCCAGCTGCTTCAGGATGATGGAGAACATGGTAAGACCAGTGAATTCCATGAGTATGAGCCCACTGCCACACTTCTTTAGCTGTAAAGTGAGTGCCTTGGTCAGAGGCAATGCTGTGTGGAATTCCATGCTGGTGGATAAGGCAATTTCATGAGTCCACAAATGGTAGTCTTGACAGAAGCATTGCATACAGGATAGGTAAACCCATATCAGGAGTAAGTGTCTATTCCAGTGAGGACAAACCTCTGCCCTTTCCATGATGGAAGAGGTCCAATATAATCAACCTGCCACCAGGTGGCTGGCTGATCACCCCGAGGAATAGTGTCATATTGAGGGCTCAATATTGGTCTCTTCTGTTGGCAAATTGGACACTCAGCAGTGGCCATAGCCAGGTCAGTCTTGGTGAGTGGAAGTCTATCTTGCTGAACCCATGTGTAGCCTCCATCCCTGCCACCATGGCCACTTTGTTCATGGGCCCATTGGGCGGTGACAGGGGTGGCTGGGGAAAGAGGCTGAGTAATGTCCACATTACGGCTCATCCTCTCCACTTGATTGTTAAACTCCCCCTCCACTGAGGTCACTCGAGCACTCACATGAGATACAAATATCTTCACAGTTTTTGACCATTCAGAGAGGTCCATGTACATACTTCTTCCCCAAATTTCTTTGTCACCAATTTTCCAATCATGCTTCTTCCAAGTCCCTGACCATCCAGCCAAGCCATTGGCTACAGCCCAGGAATCAGTGTATAATTGCACATTTGTCCATTTCTCCTTTCATGCAAAGTGCACAACCAGGTGCACTTTTCAAAATTCTGCCCACTGGGAACATTTCCCTTCACCGCTATACTTCAGGGATGTCCTAGAAAGAGGGTGTAGTGCTGCAGCTGTCCACTTTTGGGTGGTGCCTGTGTATTATGCAGAACCGTCTGTGAACCTGGCCCTAGTCTTCTGTTACTCTGTCAACTGATCATAGGGAACTCCCCATGAGGCCATCAGTGCAGGCTGGGGGAGAGAAGGCAGGTGGCAGGAGTGAAGACCCTGGGCATTTGAGCCATGTCCTCATGTAACTTACTTGGCCTTCAGGACCTGCTTGAGCCTGATCACATACATACCACTTCCACTTGATGATGGAATGCTGCTGTGCATGACCCACTTTATGGCTAGATAAGTCAGAAAACACCCAGTTCATGACAGGCAGTTCAGGTCACATGGTGACTTGATGACCCATAGTCAAACGTTCAGTTTCCACCAAAGCCCAGTAACAGGCTAAGAGCTGTCTCTCAAAAGGAGAGTAGTTATCTGAACTAGATGGCAGGGCCTTGCTCCAAAATCCTAGATGCCTCTGCTGTGATTCACCTATGGGAGCCTGCCAAAGGCTCCAAACAGCATCCCTATTTGCCACTGACACTTCAGGCACCACTGGATCTGCTGTGTCTTATGGTCCAAGTGGCAGAGCAGCTTGCACAGCAGCCTGGACCTATTGCAGAGCCTTCCCCTGTTCTGGACCCCACTCAGAACTGGCAGCCTTTCAGGTCACTAGATAAATGGGCCAGAGTAACACACCCAAATGAGGAATGTGTTGTCTCCAAAATCCAAATAGGCGCACTAGGCATTGTACCTCTTTCTTGGTTGTAGGAGGGGCCAAATGCAGCAAGTTATCCTTTGCTTTAGAAAGAATATCTCGGCAGGGCCCATACCACTGAATCCCTAGAAATTTTACTGAGGTAGAAGTTCCCTGAATTTTAGTCAGATTTATTTCCCATCCTCTGGCATGCAAATGTCTCACCAATAAGTCCAGTGTGTTTGCTACTTTTTGCTCACTGGATCCAATCATCATAATGTCATTGTAATGGACCAGTGTGATATCTTTCAGAAGCAAAAAGTGATCAAGGTCTCTCTGAATAAGATTATGACGCAAAGCTGGAGAGTTGATATACCCGTGAGGTAGGACAGTAAAGGTATATTGCTGACCTTGCCAGCTGAAGGCAAATTGCTTCTGGTGGGCCTTATGGACAGGAATGGAGAAAAAGGCATTTGCTAAGTCAATACCTGCATACCAGGTACCAGGAGACATGTTAATTTGCTCAAGCAATGAAATCACATCTGGTTTCATTGGAAACCAGCTGCAATTGGAGTCACAACTTGGTTAAGCTTATGATAATCCACTGTCATTCTCCAAGGTCCATCTGTCATCCACACAGGCCAAATGGGAGGCTTGAATGGAGAGGTGTTGGGAATCACCATCCCTGCATCCTTCAAGTCTTGATGGTGACACTAATTGCAGTCCCTCCAGGGATGTGATATTGTTTTTGATTTACTATTTTTCTAGGTAGAGGCAGCTCTAATGGCTTCCATTTGGCCTTTCCCACCATAATAGCTCTCACCCTACCAGTCAGGGAGCCAATGTAGGGGTTCTGCCAGCTGTTGAATATATCTATGCCAATTACACATTCTGTCATTGGGGAAATGACCACAGGATGAATCCAGGGACCCACTGGGCCCACTGTAAGTTGGACCTGAGCTAAAACTCCATTAATTACCTGACCTCCATAAGCCCCTAATTTAACTGGAGGAACACAGTGACATTTTGTGTCCCCTGGAATCAACGCCAAATCAGAGCCAGTGTCCAGAAGTCCCCAAAATATATGATCATTTCTCCTTCCCCAGTGCACAGTTACCCTGGTAAAAGGCTGGAGGTCTCCTTGGGGAAGGGTGGGAGAAAGATTCACTGCATAAATTGTCAGTAATGTAGTGGGGTCCTTCCTCAAGGGGACCCGGCCTCCGCTTCATTCAAGGGTTTTTGGGTCTCTAAACTGGCTCAATCCTGGAAATTGATTGAGGGGCCGTGATTCTCTGTTTTTATGATTCAAATTAGTCGTTTGTCCATTTGACCTGGAAGTTCTTTGTTTGTATAATTTAAGTAGGAATGCAGTAGGCTTCCTATCAATTTCACTTCTAGGAACACCATGATTAATTAGCCAATGCCAGAGCTCTACACGAGTCAGACTATTCTGATTGCCGCTTTGCCTCTGCTGTCCATTACAGTAGTTATGCCCACCTTGCCTTTCATGGTTGAGTGCTGCCACTTAGCCCCTGCTACCTTGGGATCCAATTATTCCCATTGTATTTAAATTTTGTAGTTGAGTGACTGCAGTTCCCACCGTTAGATCTGACATACAGAGAAGAGCAATCACAGGGCTCTTCAAAGATGCTGGTGCCATGCTTGCAAATCTGTTTCGCAAGCTATTGTTCAAGGGTATATCTTCGGGACCCTCCCCACTGGGATAAGTAGGTCTAAAGTGACTAATCCACTCCACCATCCCAATCTCCCTAAGCCTTCGGATCCCTTCCTCTACATTAAACCAAGAGAGATCAGGCATTTCCAGCTTGCTCACAGTGGGCCATCTTTTAATCCATATTTCAGCTATCCAAGCAAATAAACTATTAGAATCTTTTGTAACTCCCCAAGCTGCAACATTAAATGCAGAATCCCTACTTAGGGGCTCAAATCAATAAATTCAGCCTGATCCAACTCTATGTTCCTTCCACCATTATTCCATACCCTTAATATCAATTCCCATGCATGTTCTCCAGATTGCTGTTTTTATAAATTAGAGAACTCAAACAGTTCTTTTGAAGTGCCGTGCACCTCCTCATGGATCACACTCTCAACCTCACCTCCAGGGGCCCACTGGGACTTTAGTCTATTTACAGGTCTAGACTGTCATCAATGTAATGGACCAGACTTTAGTCTAGTTACAGGTCTAGACTGTCATCAATGTAGTGGACCACGAAACAGGGGTGTTGGGGTGGCTCCTGAGGAGAATCAACATTATTTTGCCTGGCAACTGCCTCAGAGGAGGCCATCACTGTTGCCTCAGGCAGCACAGGGTTTATCTCCTCAGACAAAGGTGGAAAGGCTGATGGCACCACGGGTCGGGAGTGGATGTTGCTACTACTGGGGATGGGGAAGCTGTTCCTTCTGGCAAAAAAGGTTCATCAGAGTTTACAAACTCAGTGTCCCCAGCTTCATCTGAGTGCTCCCACATTTCCCCATTCCAAGTTGCAGGGTCCTATTCTTTTCCAATCAATGCCCTCACTTTAACAGTAGACACCTAGTGAGTCTGTACATGCACCTTTTGTTGCAGGTCAGCCACTTGCATGATAAGAATTTGTGTTTGTTTTTTCACAATTTCAGCTCTTTCTCTACAGAAGATAAGGGTCTCACTCAGGGCAATCTTAGCAGATTTGAGGCTCAGTATCTGCTTCTGAAGCCAGGAGACATAATCCCTGAGCTCATCGTTTTCTTTCATCACTTTGTCTATTGAACTCAGGAGCAACCAACCAGCTTCATTATGTTCCTTGGTTCTCCACATATGGTCAAAGGTATTATGTATAGAGTCACTAAACTCCTTGCCTCTCATGAGCAGTGAATCAGGAGTGCCAAATGCATTTACTTTGCTTAACTCTCTAAACAGTTCACACCAAGGACTATCAGTGTTCTCCATACTATTAGACGTAGAGTCCTTAGCATTTTGGGGTCTAACCATATTAAGCAGCCAACTCTAGAAAACCCAAAACCAATGAAAGAACTCCACTCTTAATATTCCATTTCTCTAGAACCACTCCTGGTACCAAAATCTGGATTAGTCAGGGTCCTCTTAGAGGGACAGAACTAATAGGATATATAGATAGATAGATAGATAGATAGATAGATAGATATAGATATATATATACACACATATTAGGATATATATAAATATATAATATAAATATACAAATAAATCATATATGTGTAAGTTAACATTTAATATGTATATATTATATAACACATATTATATATATAACACATATATATACATATATATAAGTGTAAGTTAACACTTAATAAATCCCATATATATATGGGATTTATTAAGTGTTAACTTACAAGATCACAAGGAAACAACCAGCAGAGGAGAAAGATGTAGGCTGGGAGGCTAGGCCCTCTCTCCTTTTCCAAGTCCCTAGCAGAAAGACAAGAGGACCCCCTAAGCAAATGAATCAGGAGTCACTGTAAATAACAAATGTCTCCTTGAGGAGCCCAGGGACATAGGGTCCTGAGATTTAGAAGCAGCTAACACTGCCTGAAGAAATTATTTCCCTGCAGCTGTGCTGGTCTCCCAGTTGGGAATGTTTCCATAGAAGGGGAGAGTCTCCCAGACCATCCTCCATCAAGTCCCATCAAGCCCATCTTCCCTGAAAAAAATTAATTTTGATTTTCTCATTCCTTCTGAATATATATATTTTACACACTTATCATGTAGAGCCATCCCTTGGTATCCACAGGGGATTGGTTCTAGGAATTCTCATGGCTTCCAAAATCTACACATGCTCTAGTCTCTGATGTAGCATAGTATTTGCCCATAACCTATGAACATCCTCCCATATACTTTAATCTCTAGATTACTTAGAATACCTAAACAATGTAAATGCTATTCATAAATGTAAATGTAGATCATTGTTATACTGCATTGTTTTTTATTTGTTTTTCTTTTTTCTTTTTTAGTTTTTGAGACAGCATATTGCTCTAGCGCCCAGGCTGGAGTGCAGTCATGTCATCTCAGCTGTTTGTAACTTCCGCCTCCTGGGCTCAAGCGATCCTCTTGCCTCAGCCTCCCAAGTAGCTGGGACTACAAGCATGTGCCACCTCACCCAGCTAATTTTGGTACTTTTGTAGAGAAGGGGTCTTGTTATGTTGCCCAAGCTGGTCTAGAATGCCTAAGCTCAAATATTCCTCCCACCTTAGCCTCCCAAAGTGCTGGGATTACAGGTGTGAGCCACTAAACCTGGCCTATTGTGTTTTTTTCTTCCCCAAATATTTTCCATCCATCATCGGTTGAATCCACAGATTTGGATCCCACATATTCAAAATGTCGACTGTATCTAAAAATGAAACTATTTAAAAGGTAGAAAAATGCAGCCACAATTTTGTCTCTCAATTCTTTTCTTCTATTTTCCTGTATGCTAGACTCAGTTGGGAACCCAAGACAGAAGGAGTTTAGAAGGGAGAACAGGTAGAGATAAGTGGGAAAGAGAGGGTTTTAAGGCCCTCAAATCTGTAAAGGGTGAATGCAGACTGCAGTACAGGACTGCCAGCTGGTCTCTGGTCTCAGCCTCCAGGAAGAACTGTGGCTATGTCACCATCCTCAGCTCATCTTGCTCCCTTGATCCCTGCCTCTGCTTGCTCGGCTCCTGGCCTCCTTGGAGGAAAATGCCTGTGTCAATGGGAGCATGATGGAGGGTTCCAGGTTGAGGTGGGATGGGGGATAAAGACATGTTTGCATGAACATGTCCTAAAGGAACATGTACATAAGGAAATGGACTCCCATCTGGAGAGTGAGCTGGGGGAGGTGGGCACTGCAAGGAGTAGGAAAATAGGCCGGATGCCTAGAAGTTGCTCCATAATCCATAGTTCCTTTCGAGTGTCCTGCTTTGTCTGTTCTGGCTTTTGCCCCCACCCGGAAACCTGGAGAAACCTCAACTGGAACGTCAAGTAAGCAGATTCCAGCTCTCTGGGCCCAGGGTGAGAAAAGGAAGTTGTATGAAAAGAGGAGAAAGGAAAAAAACAGTCTCATATTGTGCAACAGGTGAAGTCCCACATTGCCCCTTCGAGGATTCCATTCTGCTGTTTGTAATTCCTGGTAAGCATTTCTTCATGAGGCTGCCCTGGCCTCCTGCAGCCTTCCCTGGTGGCCTTGCCTCTGTGGAGCTGAGCTCCTCCCTTTCCATTAGCTGAGGGGCAGGGAGGATTGGGAAAGGGACTCCATCATGAGGGAGGATACCGGGACTCTGGCCCTAACCCTGCCTGCTCACTAACAATGAACCAGAGACAGGTCATGGTTCTGCTCTGGGCTGCATCTGACAGATGAGAGGATGGACTCTTTCCCAGATAGGAATCCAGGACCCCTCAGAGCACCCTAGATGTCTCAAGAAGAGGCATGCTTCCTAAGGGTCTTGGACCCTGGATCAAGCCTCAGCCCCAGAACTCAGTTGCTGAAGCAGATCTCCTCTTGGAATGCCTCTCCTCATTATAGTTCATCTCCTTGAGGTGTGTCCCTCTCACCCTGGGTTCCTCCTGCAGGGAGATTTGGCTCACCCTCTAGAATGCTCCCTTTCCTGCCACACTGAGCTATTGGGGGTCACTATCAGTGACACATCAGTTGGTGGTTGTATTTGTTTCCTATTGCTGCTGCAAAAAATTACCACACACTTAGTGTCTTATGACCACATATTTATTCTCTAAAAGTTCTGGAGGTGAGAAGTCTGAAATTAGATTCACTGGGACACTCCCTTTGGAGGCTCTAGGGGAGGAACAATTTCCTTGCCATTTGCAGCTTCTAGAGCTGCATCCTAAAACCTCTTCACTCCTGGCCTCTTCTTCCATCTTCCAAGCTGGTAGCATAGCATCTTGCTTCTGCTGTCACATTGCTACCTTCTCCTCTATTACCAAATTTTTCTCTTCCTTCCTCTGGTAAGGACACTCACAACTACATTTAGGGCCTGACCAGATAATTCAAGGTAATCACTCCATCTCAAGATCCATAACTTGATCATATCTCCAAAGTCCCTTTTGCCATACAAATTGACATTCACAGGTTCTGGGGAATAGGATGTGGATGTCTTGGGGGCCATTATTCAGCTACCATAGTGATCTATACCTTGTCTCTGGCTTGGGGTCATCCATTCTCTCTCCCATCCCGTCCCCTCAGAATAGAATTGTGTATCTTTCTCCAAATCTGCACCCTAATCTTACAGACCATCCCAACTGCTCCTCCCTTCACTCTCTTTAGGCTCTGAGAACATTCTAGGAGACTGCTCTCCAACAGAACTTTCTGCAATGATGGACAGAAAGTCCATAATGCATGCTGTCTAACCTGGTAACTAGCCATGTTACCAAGGTCTACTGAGCACTTGAAATGTGACTAGTGTGACTCAGGAACTAAATTTTAAATTTTATTTCATTTTAATTAAATGTAATGAAAATGTAAATAGCCGCTTTGGCCAGTGGCTAACATATTAGATAGCTCGGATCTAGGCAAATGAAAGCAGAAACTATGGCCAGGCACATTCTTTGCTGCTAGCCTCTTCCCACACCTGTTTTGGATCAGCTCTGCCCCCTAACCTCCTTCTCTCAGTGCCCGCAGAATCTGAAGTAAGTTTCCACTGGGGCTCTGGAATGACGGAGGTGACTAAGGGCAGGACAAGGAAGGGAATTGTGTCTGTTGACCCCAGAGAAGTACAGGGCCCCAGTTCTGCTTTTGCACAGGACTAACAACACTCAAATGATTTTCAAGGTAGTCTCTGCCTTGTCCTTACTCAACCGGTCTCCCTTTTGAGGACCACAGAGGTGTGTCACTAGGGAATGTGTGCAGGAAAGGGCCTGAGCTTGGGAGCTGGCACTGGCCAGGCTCCTGCTCTGCTATGTACTCGTTGAGTGGCACGTGGCAAGTTACTTCCCAGGCCTTCTCCCTCAGTTTCCATAAAATGAGAGGGTTGGACCAGATGGTCTAAAGTTTCCTTTTAGCTTTAGTAGACCATGAGTCTATGTCCTGTGGATCAGGCTTTATTGTGCATGTAATTCAATTTCAGAGCCATGTAGTCTCTGACCCATGGAATGGGAGTACTGATTGAAGGATAATTAAGTAGAAGTGGCTTTAGGTTACTCCTGCAACACTTCCAAACAAAACCAGACCTCCATCCTTCTGTCATCATGACAACACTTCACAGTAACTTGGGCTTTAGAGTGCTGATCTGTCAACTAACTAATCTAATCCTCATGATGATCCTGACAATTGTTAGGTCCATTTTAAGTGAAAAGGCTGAGGCTCAGAGGGGGAAGGAGAGAATCTTCCAGGTGCCCAGTCCCATGATGGGTGCTTTACACATCACCTCGTAACAGCCCTTCATATGTAGATAAACAGCCCTTTATCTACATAAATCTACGTAACATTTATGTAGATAAATGTTAATATTATCTACATTTCACACTTGTGAACACTGAGGTCTAATAAAGCAAGATGACTTTCCCAATGTTATGCTGATAATAATATGATGAAGTCACTTTTCTCACTCTTCTTCCGCCTTTGCTGTGCTGCTTCCCCTCTTTACAACTCCCCCCACAAGATGTTGAAATGATAACCTCCTTTTTAAAGGCATTTTTTCATGACACTCCCCAAGCAGACCTACTAGCCTCAGCAAGTCACTTCACCTCTCTGTGCCTCTCTTTCCTTAACTGTGAAACTGGGGGCAACAGTCCCTACTTCATAAGGGTGTTAAAACCCTTGTTGAAAGTACGCAGTGAGATCATGTATTAAGAGTGTTCAGCCCAGAGCTCATATTAAGGACTCAGCAATTGCGCATTCTTACTGCTTTTGGAAACTGTAGCTTGCCCCACCGCCCAATGGTACCAGGCAATTCCTTTTACCCCCAAATCAAATTAAAATCACAAAGAAACTGTTTGCATTTTATTTTAAAGTTTTATTATGAAAACACATGGAATTAACGGTGTTATCCATGTATTTGCAACAGCAGAGAAAGAGTGAGAGTGGACCATCCCCATAGGGGACACTTATCCTTTGGCTAAACTAATATAAATAATGGAAATAACACCTAATACAATAATACAGCACATAAAAGAGATTACATTAAGAGAAGAGACAGGAACTGCGGAGAGGAGTCCTGAGTATGGAGGAGATGCGGCTCATGGAGAAGCATCCAGGCTCAGGTGACCTTCCCTGAAGACTTCCTGTCTCTGAGCAGCTCAGTTCAGTTCCAGGTCATACACGTACTCCTGGACCCAGGACTCACTGGGGTCAGCGCAGACTTGCTTGCCTCTTTTGGTTTGGAATCTGTAGAACAAGGAGCAGACAGATTAGAATCCCATGGGACCTTTGAGGTCATCTGGCTTTATCCCTTGCCTGTGGTAGGCATCTTCCTCTGCCTGACCATGGTCCATGTGGGGCAGCTCTGGTGGATGGGATCCTTCCTCGAGCAGCACTGGAAGCAGACTCCCTGTAACTTCCACTCACTGGATTTAGCTGTGGGCCCCAGGGGTTGCCCAGATTAGGAACCAGTGGGCATTGCAATCAGTATGAATAGATTGCCCCATTCCCTGCCAGCCTGGTAGTGACTTTTCCACATGTTTTTCTAGCATGGTTTAAGGAATTGGTCCATATCTCACGGGACCTGTCTGCCTTCCCCTGCTTCCCTGTCCTCTGAATAACTTCCTCCCCAGGAACCCCCTTCTGTCTCGGCTGCCACTCAGCCGCCTTCAGCACTTGAAAAGTGAGTTCATGACCTGTGACCTCACTGCTGTCAGGGAAGGCTTCAGCCCTGAGAGCTGCCTCCCCAGCGCTCATCACCCCCTCCCCAAAACAGGCCCCCTTTAAAAATCCAGCCCTCACCCTTGCCTCCCAGGGCAGCCAGGGGTTGATACTCACACCACAGCTGGCTGGGAGCAGAGGCTGCTGGTCTCATAGTAATCTACCACAAAGTTGCGAGGAAGCTTCCTCGCGGTGTAAGAAAAGCAGCAGGCGGTGGGAGGGTCTGAGCCCACTGAAAGGAAAGGCCAGGGTGAGATCAACACTGCCCATGGGAGCTGTTTATTTTGACTTCTAATTTTGCATCTTCATTGAGCATCCCTGTGGAGCTACCAGAACCCCAAATATGGTCCCTTGTATCCATTCCCACCTAACATGAGCAGGAGTCTTATTCTGAATAGTGGATCTTCAGAGAAGAACGAGAAAGAAATCTAGAAGATTGGAACTGGATTCAGTCTCAGAACACATCGCACTCCCTTCATATGACAGATGGGGAAACCAAGGCACAGAGAGGGACAGGGGCTTGCTTGAACAAATAATTAAAGGCAGAGCCAATTCAACAGTCTGACTTCCAGCCCATCGTTTTCCTCTGCTGGTTGCTAATTCTTAAGAAAATAGGAACTTGAATGTTACTGAATATCTACTAGACTCTACATTTAGCAGCAGACTACATGGCAATCTTCCTAGCTGCCTTTTGTCCCATCCCCAGATCCCACTGTTTGCCAGCCATGAATAGAAAAAAGGACTCTGCCTACACCTTGACTCGAAATAGCAGCTGCAAAAGTAGACTTACTTGGTGCTGAGAGTGCTAGAGAGCAGAAGGCAGCTACTAGCACGAGGAGAGACAGGACAGTCACGCAGAGCTTCATGGTATTGGTGGCAAAGAGGTTTTCTCAGAGGTGAGGCTGCAGAACTCAGAAGCTTCAGAACCTAGCTGTGTCCTGTGCTGATACTGAGTTGGGAATCTCTCTTTATAGGGACTCTGAGGCCTAGGACAAATGTGGGGGCACAGGAGAGTGAGTGGAATTTCCATGGTAGAGATGATGTCATGGCTCCTGAAGCTAGCTGAGTGAGGAGTTCCTCTCAGCTTCTCTTCCCCAGGGCGATGTCATCATAGAGGAAAGATGAGGGAGGTGCAGGCGAGAAGAAAAGGGAAGTGGTACAGCCAAAAGCAGTGACCGAGACTGGGGAGAGAGTTGCAAACCCCAGAGGAAAAGATGAAATGTTCACACCTGCTACAAGTGGCTTGTAGACAAGAACTGTGCTGCTCTTGGTGGTTGGCACCCCCAGATGCTGGAGGGTTCATGCCAGTCTTTCCAGGCTGGCCACTGTCCTGGCCCCAAGAACAAAGCGGGAACCAGGACTCCCCCATCCCCTTCCTGTGCCTTCTTCTGCTGAGCTCAGTGCCACTGACTTTTGTGCCCTATATGTTTCCTTGGGCATGAAGAGTCCAGCATTGGATGTGCGGAGGGACCCAGTAGGGTGGCTCAGGAACATTTGTAAGTTCTTATTGGACACTTACCTTGTACCAGGCACTGGGAAAGCTGTGTTACACATATTATATATAATCCTACCATAATCTTGAGCAGGGGTGTCTAATCTCATTTTACAGATAAGGCAATTGGGGATCAGAGAGTGGTCCACTGATGGCGCTCAATGCCACAGAACTGATGAATGGCACTGCCAAGATTTGAATCAAGATTCGAATCAAGATTCATCTGACTCCAAAGTCCATTTTCTTTCCATGCTGTAGTCTCCAGAATAAACATAGAGTGTGACCACAAAGAGAAACCATTGACTGATAGACTGCTAGGAGCTATTCCACACTCAAAGACCGATTATACTCAGACTTAATTCAGGGAAGGGATAGGGCTAGTCTGTCCTAGGACAAGGAGGGAACGGAGAAGAAATAAAGATTTCAAGATATTTTCTTGGACCAGCAAAAGACCAGGACAAATTAACCAGTAAGAATCAAGTCTGGAAGACCCAGATAGAGAATGTTCTTCTAGTATAAAAACAGAATTGAGCTGGGTACAGGGCCTCACACCTGAAATCCCAGCACTTTGGGAGGTCAAGGCAGGCAGATTGCTTGAGCCCAGAAGTTTGAGACCAGCCTGGGGAACATGGTGAAACACTGTCTCTATAAAAAACACACATACAAAAAAAAAACTTGACTGGGAGTGGTGATACACACCTGTAGTCCCAGCTGCTCAGTAGGCTCAGGTGGGAAGATCACCTGAGCCCAGGAAAGTCCAGGCTGCAGTGAGTGGTGATTGTGCCACTGCACTCCAGCTTGTTTGACAGAATGAGACCCTGTCCCAAAAACAAAGCAAAGCAAAACAAAACAAAGCAAAACAAACCAAAACAAAACAAAACAGAATTATATACCTAGTAATGAGTTTATCTATGTTACAGGCAAAATGTGTAATCTAAGGATGTGGGTGTGTCCCAGCCAGTCCATAGGGAATGCCCATGCTCATGTTAAGCCCTGGCTGGTTTGACAGTTGCTGGGCACCTGTACAGAAGGTGAAGCTTACAAAGGCCCTGCATACAGGAGTGTGCAAGGTTGGACAAATGAAGGGAATGAGGATAATTGGATCAAGACCTCTATCTGCCTTTAGCTCCACTACTCTAACCCACCTGCTCACCTTTAACCCCACATTGTTACCTGCTCTTCTCTGAGAAAGAAAAAAGAAGAGTAAAAAAAGGGAGCCATGACTTCAAACTATACCACAGGGCTGCAGTAACCAAAACAGCATGGCTTTGGTACAAAAACAGACTCATAGACCAATAGAACAAAATAGAGAGCTCAGAAATAATGCTGCATACCTGCAGCCATCCGAACTTTGACAAAGTTAACAAAAACAAGCAACAGGGAAAGGACTTCCCAGTCAATAAATGGTACTGGGATAACTGGCTAGCTGTATGCAAAAGATTGAAACTGGACCCCTTCCTTACACCATCTGTAAAAATCAACTCACAATGGGTTGAAGACTTAAATGTAAAACCTAAAATATAAAACTATAAAAATATGATACCTGTAAGATAACCTAGACAATATGATTCTGGGCATAGGATCTGGCAGATATTTCATGATGAAGATGCCAAAAACAAATCACAACAAAACCAAAAACTGACAAATGGGATCTAATTAAACTAAAGAGCTTCTGCACAGCAAAAGAAATTATCAGCAGAGTAAAGAGATAACCTACAGAATGGGAGAAAATATTTACAAACTATGTATCTCACAAAGGTCTAATATCCAGAATCTATAGGGAATTTAAACACATGTACAAGCAAAAAACAAACAACTCCGTTAAAACGTGGGCATTGAACATAAACAGACACATTTCAAAAGAAGACGTACACGCGGCCAAGAAACATACAAAAAATGCTCAGCACCACTAATCATTAGAGAAATGCAAATTAAAACCACAATGAGATACCATCTCAAACCAGTCAGGATGGCTATTTTTAAAAAGTCAAAAAATAACAGATGTTGGTGAGGCTGTGGAGAAAAGGAACACTTATACACTGCTGGTGGGAATGTAAATTAGTTCAGCCATTGTGGGAAGCAGTTTGGCGATTTCTCAAAGAACTTAAAACAGAATTACCATTCAACCCAGCAATCCCATTATTGGGTATATACCCAAAGGAATATAAATCATTCTACCATAAAGACATGTGCACATGTATGTTCATCGCAACAGTATTCACAATAGCAAAGACATGGAATCAACCTAAATGCCCACTGATGGTAGACTGGATAAAAAAAATTTGGTATATATATATATATATATATATATATATATATATATATATAATGGAATACTTCTCAGTCATAAAAAAAAGAACAAGATCATGCCCTTTGCAGCAACATGGATGGAGCTGGAGGCCATTATCTTAAGCGAACTAACACAGGAACAGAAAACCAAATACTGCATGTTCTCACTTATAAGTGGAAGCTAAACATTGAGTACACATGGACACAAAGAAGGGAACAGCAGGCACCAGGGCCTACTTAAGGGTGAAGGGTGGGAGGAGGGTGAGGATAAAAAAAACTACCTATTGGGTACTATGCTTATTACCTGGGTGATGAAATAATCTGTACACCAAACCCCCCGCAACACACAACTTACCTATATAACAAACCTGCACATGTACCCCTGAACCTAAAATACAAGTTAAGAAAAAAAGGGACCCACAGCATCTGGGAGCCACAGGAGAGGTTGGAGCAGCATCCTGGGGTACTTCAGGGTCATGAAATAAAGTACAAGGTCATCCTGCCTCAGCACTCTCCCTCCCTCCCCACCCGCACACACAAGCTGCACTTCTCTCATCTGTTCTCTCCCCCTTTTCTTTGTACAGCTCTTGCTTCAAATGTTCTGATCTTCTCCAAGACCCTCGCCCCCAGCTGTAATGTTCCGTGTTGCCTGATAGCAGATGTGTTAGTACCTCTCCTGACCTTTCCTAGTTGGTGCAGTTTCATCTTCATGCATCGAGGACCTCACTTTAAGGGAAGCAGTATGTGTTTCATGTTCTCTGGATTCACGCAGACTTCGTTATCTATGACATTTTTGTTCAGCCCAATGTACTAACCATCTGCTCTTTGCCAGGGCAGACAGAGCTGAATGAAGCCCCATCCCTGCCTTTGAAGAGTTCCATGTCTAGTGATGGCATTGACAGTGACAGAAATAACTATCCCAAGAGGTGGAATAAGCTAAGTGTCATGTCAGAGGAAGAAACAAAGTGTCAGGAAGCCTGAAGGATGGAGAAGGCTGTCTATCAGCTGTAGATGAGTAGTTTCAAGTTAAGTCTCAATTCCCACTAGAGTAGCTGTCTGAATGAGCAGGGTGGAGGGGTTAGGAGGAAGCCTGTTCTGGGGCTTCAGGAGAATAATGATTGATAAAATGGGTGATTAGCCATCACTGAGCCATACAATGAGTTTGTCTGTTGACTTTTGTTTCCTCGCCTTGATCTGATCTTTGGCTCATGGGGGTAAAACGTTTTGATGGATCTTCATGAAGATCCTAACAACAATACTATGTCTGCACCAGTGGAAGTCCACACTGAGAGTAAAAAGGACTTGTATCATTTTGTTCAGCAATATTAACTTACCCCCCACCCCCAACAAGATTTAGACACTGGTGCCATTTAGAACTCCTGGAGGGCAAACGTGGAGACCGGAAAGCCAAGAAGAGCCAATAAACAAATGATTCTCAAATACATGACAAAAAAGATGTTCATCTTCTCTAGAGAAACTTCCCTGATCTCTTTCCCAAGTAAACTCTGTATCCTTCACTGTGCTCCTACAGTCTCCTGAACTACTTCCTTCTTACCACCTATCACATATTTATCTATTCATGTGGTTTCCTCCCCGACTAGAAAGTGAGCTCCTTGATGCAGAAACTATGTTATGCTTATCTCCATGGAGGGGATGTGATGAGTAATATGGACTCAAGATGTGGACCCCTATATAGCCAAATGAGTAAACCAAGTATGAATGAACTGGGTGTTCTGACATGCCACCCAAAAGGTGATTCCTCAGCCCTGATAGTGTGGTACTTCCCCTTCTCCCCCACCCTCAACCCACGCATCCAGTAGTTTTATCATAATGGATACTATTCTTGGACTCAACTCTTTGTAGCTCAGGGTTGCAAGAAGTGACAGCAAGGGTCATCCATGGTTCCAGGGAGCTCCATTCAGAGGGCCACCCTCTCACCCCCGAGCAGGGAAGCCCTTCTTTCCCCCTCACTTGTGGTCATTTAGAGGTTCCCCCCCCCACATCCTTGACCACCACTATATTCATAACTCCATTCTGGGCATTTTTACATTTGTCTTGTCATGTTGTCCTCAACCTCCCAGGCTGCAGACAGGCCCAGCAGCCACAGCAGTAACATGACCTTGAAAATGCCCTGGTATTTTTCATTTTCCTCAGCATATCCGTGGCCTGTGGTTTTACCTGACCCTGATCTGTTTTGCCACGGTACAGATTAGGAAAGCAAAACCTAGAGAAGTGAAAAGACCTGATCAAGGTCACACAGGATGCATGTCAAGACCCAAGGCCTACAATTCCCAGTTCAGAGATGACCAGAGTCCCTCTACAGGTATGACCTTCTGAGATTACACATATAGGCAATCTCTGTTAATAACAGACTCTCAGAAGAGATTACCAAAGTGCTGAGGAGCAGGGTAGAGAGGCAGTCAATCTGGACATCCTGGCCTCTCCTAGAGTGTTGGGGAGACCTCTGAGTGTTGGGGCCAAGAGGTGGCCTCCAGGAGGTGGATGCCTAGAACTAGAGAACTCCTGGAGGGCAAATGTGGAGACTGGAAACCCAAGGGGAGCTGGAACATAGGGTCATTTTGCCAAGATAAGAAACCAAGACGAGGCAAATCCTGTGGTTTTGCCAGTATGGTATCCAAGTCACTTTGGGGGAAATGGGAGCAGAAGCTGAATTGTGGATTGAAGAAACAAGTACACAATTATCCAGAGTGCAGCATTCTTCAGGATGAAATCTGTAATGCTGTAGTAAACTGAGGAATGAAGAGACCAATATGGGAGAACAGGAGGATATTTATTTTAAGGTGTGCACTGGCTCAGTGAATTCATATCCAAAAAGCTGAGCATTTGGAGCATTTCAACAAAGACAGAGTGGGGTTTTACAAGCAGGCTTGCAGAAGCAAAACTAAAGCAGTTAATCATATAATGATAGGTCCCATAGTCTATAGCATAGCATAACTTGTGGCCTTGCTTAGCTGGTGGCCTTACAGCTGCACTGAAAGAAAAACAGAACTGGCTAAATACAGACATTTGTCCCTTTTTTTTTTCTTCAGACTTGTTATGGAGGTGGGGTGTCTGGAGCCCATTCCTTTGGCTTCGACTTCTCAAACAACGTTATCTTATAACTGTCCTTGAAGCGAGCTTGCTAGGCAGAGGAAAACTTCTCCTTTATTGCCTGTTATTTTCTTGGAATGAATGAGTGCATATTTATTTTTTAAATTTCTGCCTCCATAGGACAGTGAGCGGTTGGAGCAGCTCATCGGTGACTGCCACACTCTGACTACAGAGCTGGCCAGCCCCACTCTTCTTACCATGGAAATGGACCTTGGTCACCGCCACAGCCTGCTCTTAGTTGTGAAAGGCAGAGGTCAGGAACTTCAGGAGATGTTAAATTCCTGAGAGAGGGGTAAAGCCTCACCAGCATTCATGAGGTCAAGAAAACTTTCAGTATTCCTTGTGAAGCATCTTCCTTCAAATTGTTTCTGGCCTTTTTCCATGCAGGCGATAGGGAATACTCCAGCAAGAGATGAACATAATTCAGTAAAGCTGTATTGAGTACCTACTGTGTGACAGGCATTGTGTCCGAGGGCGAGGGTAAGCACTTTAGATGGTGGTAGTGAAGTGTTATGGAGGGCTTCCAAAAAATTTGAGATCTGTTTTTGTTTTTTTTTTGAAAAAAAATTTATGGCCAGGGGTGCTGGCTCATGCCTATAATCCCAGCACTTTCGGAGGCTGAGATGGGTGGATCATCTGAGTCAGGAGTTTGAGAATAGCCTGGCCAACATAGTGAAACCCCACGTCTATTAAAAATACAAAAACTTAGTTTGGTGTGGTGGCACATGCCTACAGTCCCAGCTACTCGGGAGGCTGAGGCATGAGAATCTCTCGAAACTGGAAGGTGGAGATGGCAGTGAGCCGAGATAGCTCCACTGCACTCCAGCCTGGGTGACAGAGCGAGACTCTGTCTCAAAATAAATAAATAAATAAATAAATAAATAAATAATATATATATATATAACTAATATATGTATTATATCTATATATTTATAACTAACATATATATCAGTTTGTTTTTCTTTTATAGAAAGTATACGTGGTCGTTTGCAAAACTGAAAAAATATAGGGAAGCATATATAAGAAAATTAAAATTGCCCTATCATTCTGTACCTAGCTTTATATTTTACTATTGGTACTTAATATTCTTTCATGACCTAGTATATCTTATTATTGCTACTTAGTCTTCTTCTGTGCCATTACAAACTTAAATATTACTCAAAAATGGCATGAATATACACATGATATTTTATTGCATAGATATACCAAAAGTTGTATTTAATCATTCACATCAGTCCATTTACATTGCTCTAACTTTTCTCTATTATAGGTTAAACTGAAATTAGCCAGGCAAAGACAGGGATAGGGGTATCCAGGCAAAGAACAAGAGACCTGCACTTGTTTCGGATATAAAATGGAGGTATTGAAATATTTCAATAATAATAAAATGGTAATAGTAATAATAGTAGATAGCACTTACTATGAACCAGTAATGTTCTCGGCCTTTCATAGGTATTAATGCATTTAATCCTCACAGTGGCCCTCTGAGTTAAGTGCTGTAACTATCCCCTTTCACACACGAAGAAACTGAAGCACAGAGAGGTACGTAACTTATGGAAAAACACACAGCTGACACACAGCAGATTTGAAACTGAAGCCAAGAAGTCTGGCTCTAGAGCATGAATAAATCAGAAAAGGGAAGTGTGCTGTATTATAAATTTATGTTAAAAGCATAACAACCAAAGTTTCTGTTATTCTGGTGTAAAATGTCTTTTCTGTTGTGCATTTTGCATGTCTTTGAACAGCAAGATCCATGGATTTCTCTCTTTTTCTTAGAAAATTTGGGGAATTACATGCTGGGTTTGCTGGCTCATGCCTATAATTGTAGCACTTTGGGAGGCTGAGGTGGGCAGATCACTTGAGGCCAGTTCGGGACCATCCTGGCCAACATGGTGAAACCCTGTCTCTACTAAAAATGCAAAAATTAGCCAGGCATGGTGGCACATGCCTGTAATCACAGCTACTCGGGAGGCTGAGGCAGGAGAATCACTTGAACCCAGGGGGAGGGGGAAGGGGAGGCAGAGGTTGCAGTGAGCTGAGATCGCCCCCACTGCACTCCAGCCTGGGCGACGGAGAGAGACTCTGTCAAAAAAAGACAAACAACAACAAGAAGAAGAAAAGAAAAGATGGGAAATTACATAATGTTTTTCCTTAATTGTTCTAAATATGAATCCCTGCAGCTGTCACGGGATGTGCCCACATTCATAGCATTTCACTCTGCCCTGTGGTTTACAAGAAGGTGAAATTGTGCTTTACCAAGTGGGCACCTCCTTCATTAAAAGCAAGGTAGAGAGCTGCACATTTAAGGAACCACAAGTAGTGCAAAAAGGCTGGGTCTTGGTTTTCAGGAAGTCTCAGCAGGCAAGTCACGAGGCCAGAGAGGTAGACAGGGGTCAGGTTACAGAGAAGCTTCCATTTCATGTCAGAAACGATGCAGAATGTTTGCAAGATTTTAAAAGGAGAGAAACAGAGACTGATTTGAGCTTTAGCAAAAGTATATTGGATGCTGTATGGTGAGATAGATTAAAAAGAGACAAAACTAGGCCGGGCGTGGTGACTCACTCCTGTAATCAATCGCAGCACTTTGGGAGGCCGAAGCAGGCAGATCACTTGAGGCCAGGAGTTCAAGACCAGCCTGGCCAACATGGTGAAACTCCGTCTCCACGAAAAATACAAAACATTAGCTGGGTGTGGTGCCACATGCCTGTAATCCCAGCTACTTGGGAGGCTGAGACACAAGAATTGCTTGACCTGGGAGACCAAGGTTGCAGTGAGCCAAGATCGAGCCATTGCACTCCAGCCTGGGCCACAGAGTGAGACCTTGTCTCAAAATAAATAAATAAATTAGAGACAAAAGTGGAAGAAAAAGCAGTTGCTAGGACCCTCTTCTAGTTGTCATGGTGAGAATCCATAAGAACCTGACCTAAGACAGAGGCAGTGGGAATGGTGAGAGGCAGATGCACGTAAAATTGAATGTAGACTAGAGTTGGTGATTGAATAGCTGTAGGAGATGACAGAGAAAGAGGAGACAAGGGTGACTCTCAGCTTTCTGGACTGGAAGACTGATAGGAAGAGGCACTTTTTATTGGGTAGAGAATATGGAAGAAGGGGCAAGGGACCAGGAGAGGGATCGGATCCAGTACCAAGACATACGCCCTGACCTACTGCACACATGCAAGAAATGGCTAGAGAAAATAACAAGGACTCAGGACGGGAAACAAGGGGCTGGCTGCAGAAAGAAGGGGCTGTGTCAATGAGACATTGTCTGTCTAAGATACTAGACAGGGGACTCCAGGCTGCTGCTTCTGCCTGCATGAAAAGTGGGGCCCACACCTGCTGCAACCTGACCACGCAGACCACATATGAGAAAAGGAGGCCAAAGCTGGGCCAAACAGGATGTCATCATCAGTGAACCCATCCCTGGGGCGCCTGCTGCCAAAGGAGATAGAGGAGGGTGACACTTGGGGAAGTGGAGCCTCGGGGCCAGAATCTGGAAGGAAAGCAATGCTCCGCACTGGAGAGCACAGGCAGCAGCACACAGTGGGGAGGCAAGCTGAGCAGCGCAAGGCAAAGACGCCGCAGAGGACAAACTGCCCAGCCATGATTCCCCGCACTGTGGACTGGGACGCTCTGCTGGACTGAGGTGGGGCCTCGCAGAGGCTGAAATGAGCCAGAACGCTGGGACACAAATCAAATCCCTCCATGCTGAAGGGTCCACGGTGTTGACTGCTGTCTACTTTCTGTCACCACCACCTAAGGAATCTTGGGTGGTCAGTTTCCCAAAGATCAAAACTGTGACACCATGGCCTTTTTCTCTTTTCTTTTCTTTTCTTTCTCTCTCTCCTTCCTTCTTTGCTTCTTTCTTTCGTCTTTCTTTCTTTTTTCTTTCTTCTTTCTCTTTCTTCTTTTTCTTCTTTCTTTCTTTCCTTTATCTTTAAAGCAAATCATAAACTTTTAGATCCAAGTTACTGAAAACTTCTTTATATAAGTTTAATTTACATTTCTCTTTCAAATTGTATCTTTATTGGGACCCTCAATTCTTTTTTTTTTTTTTTTTTTTGAGACGGAGTCTCGCTCTGTCGCCTAGGCTGGAGTGCAGTGGTGCGATCTCAGCTCACTGCAGCATCCTGGGTTCAGGTGATTCTCCTGCCTCAGCCTCCCGAGTAGCTGGGACTACAGGCATGTGCCACCACGCCTAGCTAATTTTTTGTATTTTTAGTAGAGACAGGGTTTCACCATGTTGACCAGGCTGGTCTCAAACTCCTGGCCTCAGGAGATCCGCCTGCCTCAGCCTCCCAAAGTGCTGGGATTACAGGCATGAGCCACCGTGCCTGGCTTCAATTCTCATTTTATTTAAAAATTCTTCCTTGGCTCTGGAGACCTGTCACGCTTCTGACTGTCTCTCCTGATTCTGTGTGTGTGTATGTGTGTGTTTGTTTTATTTTAAGTTCAGATATGCATGTGCAGGTTTGTTACATAGGTAAACTTGTGTCATGGGGGTTTGGTGTACAAATGATTTCATCACCCAGGTATTAAGTCTAGTACCCATTAGTTGTTTTTCCTGATCCTCTCCCCGTTCCCACTCACCATGGCCTTTCTTATCCTACCCTTCCCATTAGTATTTCAACTCCATAGTGAGAGTTCAGGCATAACACATATTGTTAGTCAAATCAGTGATTTATTTATTCATCAAATAGGTATTAAGCTTCACTATATGTCAGGCATTGTGGTTATCACTGGAGATACACTGGTAACTAACACAGACAGTGGAATATAAAACTGACCAATTCCACCTGCATGACCCTGGGTACGTCATTTCAACTGGGAACATCAATTTACCACCTAGGAAATGTCTAAGACCCTCCCAACTCAACCCCGTCCTACATCTCCCTTACATTATTCATTCAACGTATATAAATTAAGCAAATGCTATGCGTGCAACTATATTTTACTCCAAGCCAAAACACATGGCAAAGGGCTATTTCCTGGTTTGGGGATTGATAGAGAAAGTCTTACAAATATATAAACACTGAGATAGAATTATATATTCAATAAATCATCTTTATTATAAAGAACACAATAATAAGAGATAGAGACTAGGTCAGGAGGTTCATCATGTTATAATCATCATGTACTAGGATTTGGTTTAAATCAACCAACGAGACATGGTCTGGAGTTGGTTTACAATCTGAGAAGACACTCTAAAAAATCTACCATTATAGGATTGGTATGAGGATCAAATATAATAAGTTGTGGTACAGGATGTGTAGCATGTGGTACCTAGAGTCAGACTACCTGGATGTGAATCCCTGCTCTGCTAGTCATCAGCTTTACGGCCTTCGGAAAATTGCTTAACCTCTATTTACTTTGGTTTCTTCACCTGTTCAACTAAGAAAGTATACTGGTAACTAAATCATAGGGTTGTTTTGAAGACAGTTCAAACATGTAAATCCATATTATGGAAATCAGCACATGGTGATCACTCGATAAATATTACTTATTGTGAACTAAAATTTGTGTAGTTGCTAATCTATCATTAGTACAAAATCAAAGTTTGTTTCCACACTCCCACATTGCCTTTATTAAACTATAAATTTCTTGAGAAAAAGAAACTAAAATAAAATCAACAGGACATGGTCTAGGTTTTTGAAGAGCAAATTACATAGGTAACTAATTATAACACACTGTACTGTAATCACAGAGATAGAGGATGTCCCTTATCAGAACACTGACTGATTCAGCAGTTTCCATTTCCTTTTCTCACTCTCCACAACTCACAGAAGCCAGCTCCCAGAAAAGGAATCACGAGTATGGAGGGGGTTCCCCTAAGAAGTGAGTGACGGAACGCAATTCAGGGTATCAACGAGAGCTGAGAGGCAGAGGGTGGGGTGAGAAGGAGTCATTGCCTGTGATGTAGGTTTCTAATGAGACAAGTGGCAGAGATACCTTTATTTGGAATTGGTAGCAATAGGGGAAGATACGTGGATGCCAAAGCTCTGATGAAACCTACCACGGCCCCTGATCTTGCCTCTGCTTCTCCTCCCTCAAGACTGGCACTAGCCATCACTGGGGTGGAATGGAAACAGAGCCCATGTGTATTAAAAGACCTAAGTCTAAAGACACTCAGGAAGGACAGAATTTCAAAGGCGTGGTCCCACTTGGCTTCTGTCCTCCGTTGTTCTCCAGCATCAAGTGTGTCAACTCTAACCCCTTTGGGGGGAATTCAAGGCCTGTCCTGGTTTGGTCCCAATTTACCTTTATCATCCATATTCACCCCCACTGCTCTGCAGCTCCACTGAAGCACCCCCTCTTTCCTCTGAGCCACAATGTCACACCCAGGACTCTGCCTCAGCTGGGCCTCCACTGCCCACCCATCTATAGATGCCTAAATCCCGGGCAGTTATCCAGACACAACTAAAGTTCCATCCCTTCCATGAAGCCTTCCCCAACCCTCTGGTGGAAGGTCACTTCTTCCTCATGGGGTTCTGAGCTTTCATTTCTTTTTCTACTAAGAGTTTTACAATTACCTGTTCATACACTCTACCTGCCCCCATGAGACCAGGGGCATCTCAGAAACAAAGATCATTAAAACCAACTAAATCTATTTCTCATTATAAAATGAGATATGCTGATTGATTGCAAAATAATAAAATAACAAAGTATGGAAAAGAAAAAAAAAAGCATATAATCTGGCTGAGAAGGTAGAGACCCTTCCACACCACTGAAATTATGTGTTGAAAAGAATAAGGAAAAAACTGCTTCAGTTTGGCATTATTTATGTAAGTATAGTACAGGATCCTTAAAATGGTTCAAAGAAATGGGAAATCAAGACTTCATTTTGGCAAAGCCCATTGAACAGAAACTGTAGCATATTTATCAGTAATTTCTTTCAGATTAAACAACTGACAACAACCCACTTTTCAACCAGTGATGTTGGAAATGTTTTAAAACAAAATTAGTTCATAAATTTGTGGGCTGACCAAGAAGGTAATACAGTCTCACTAAATAAAATGAGGAAAATTCAGAAAAAGAAAAAAATAAGAAAATAAATCACCCATGGATCTAAGCACTATTCATTCTTTAAGGCATGTATTTCCAAGCCTTTTAATTTTTTCCATGCCTAGAGTTGGCATGGCATATATATATCTTTATACAATTCTTCAAATTTTATAGAATTTGTATAATGTTTTATCTTGCTTTTTTTTTAACCACTGATGTTATAAGCATATTTATGCCACTTCATTCACGTTAGAGACTTAATAATAAAGGATCTTGTGGATAATTTATCATTCCCTGATAGAGAAAAATTTAGCTTTGCTTATTTTAGAGTTATAAATGATGCTGGGTCAGGTATCTTTATGTTTGAAGATGGCTCCATATTTGGGTTGTTTCCACAGAACTCTTTCCCAGAAATGCTTTTTCTAGGTTAATGGCTACACATATTTCTAGGCACCTGACATACTGACACCCACCTCTAAAGTATTTTTATGATCCACAACTAGCGTTTAACACAGCGCCCCAGTCACTCCGAGACTAATAAATAGACAAATGACTGAAACGTGACCTCATGCTTTCTATTCCTCCAGCTTTCATTGAGTTCCTTTCCTCTGGGAGGACTGGGGGTTGTCTAGCCCTCCACAGCATCAGCCCATTGACCCTATCCTTGTGGTTATAGCAGCTGAGGAAGCAGAATTACAGCTCTGTGGGAAGGAATGGGGCTGGAGAGTTCATGCATAGACCAATTCTTTTTTTTTTTTTTTTTTTGAGATGGAGTTTCACTTTTGTTGCCCAGGCTGGAGTGCAATGGCATGATCTCAGCTCACCACAGCCCCCACCTCCTGGGTTCAAGCGATTCTCCTGCCCTCAGCCTCCCGAGTAGCTGGGATTACAGGCATGTGCCACCATGCCTGACTACTTTTGTATTTTTAGTAGAGATGGAGTTTCTCTTTCTTGGTCAGGTTGGTCTCAAACTGACCTCAGGTGATCCGCAGCCTCGGCCTCCCAAAGTGTTGGGATTACAGGTGTGAGCGACCATGCCTGGCTGCATAGACCAGTTCTTATGAGAAGGGATCAACTAAGAATAGCCTTGGGTTGACACACACCCCTCTTCACACTCACAGGAGAAACCCCATGAAGCTAGAACCAGTCATGAGTTGAGAGCTGAGAGTTAGAGAGTAGCTCAGAGATGCTATTCTTGGATATCCTGAGCCCCTGTGGTCACCAGGGACCCTGAGTTGTGCAACACTCAGCATGACAGCATCACTACACTTAAAAATTTCCCTCCTCACCCCCAGATTCCATTTCCCCATCCGCCAGGGCTGCCTATAAAGAGGAGAGATGGCTTCAGACATCAGAAGGACGCAGGCAGCAAAGAGTAGTCAGTCCCTTCTTGGCTCTGCTGACACTCGAGCCCACATTCCATCACCTGCTCCCAATCATGCAGGTCTCCACTGCTGCCCTTGCCGTCCTCCTCTGCACCATGGCTCTCTGCAACCAGGTCCTCTCTGCACCACGTGAGTCCATGTTGTTGTTGTGGGTATCACCACTCTCTGGCCATGGTTAGACCACATCAGTCTTTTTTTGCGGCCTGAGAGCCCCGAAGAGAAAAGAAGGAAGTTCTTAAAGCGCTGCCAAACACCTTGGTCTTTTTCTTCACAACTTTTATTTTTATCTCTAGAAGGGGTCTTAGCCCTCCTAGTCTCCAGGTATGAGAATCTAGGCAGGGGCAGGGGAGTTACAGTCCCTTGTACAGATAGAAAAACAGGGTTCAAAACGAATCAGTTTGCAAGAGGCAGAATCCAGGGCTGCTTACTTCCCAGTGGGGTCTGTTGTTCACTCTCCAGCTCACCCTAGGTCTCCCAGGAGCCCTGTCCCTTGGATGTCTTATGAGAGATGTCCAGGGCTTCTCTTGGGCTGGGGTATGACTTCTTGAACCGACAAAATTCCATGAAGAGAGCTAAGAGAACAGTCCATTCAGGTATCTGGATCACATAGAGAAACAGAGAACCCACTATGAAGAGTCAAGGGGAAAGAGGAATATAGACAGAAACAAAGAGACATTTCTCTGCAAAACCCCCCAAATGCCTTGCAGTCACTTGGTCTGAGCAAGCCTGCCCTCCTCAACCACTCAGGGATCAGAAGCTGCCTGGCCTTTTCTTCTGAGCTGTGACTCGGGCTTATTCTCTCCTTTCTCCGCAGTTGCTGCTGACACGCCGACCGCCTGCTGCTTCAGCTACACCTCCCGACAGATTCCACAGAATTTCATAGCTGACTACTTTGAGACGAGCAGCCAGTGCTCCAAGCCCAGTGTCATGTAAGTGCCAGTCTTCCTGCTCACCTCTAGGGAGGTAGGGAGTGTCAGGGTGGGGGCAGAAACAGGCCAGAAGGCCATCCTGGAAAGGCCCAGCCTTCAGGAGCCTATCGGGGATACAGGACGCAGGGCACTGAGGTGTGACCTGACTTGGGGCTGGAGTGAGGTGGGTGTTACAGAGTCAGGAAGGGCTGCCCCAGGCCAGAGGAAAGGAACAGGAAGAAGGAGGCAGCAGGACACTCTGAGGGCCCCCTTGCCTGGAGTCACTGAGAGAAGCTCTCTAGACGGAGATAGGCAGGGGGCCCCTGAGAGAGGAGCAGGCCTTGAGCTGCCCAGGACAGAGAGCAGGATGTCAGGGCCATGGTGGGCCCAGGATTCCCCGGCTGGATTCCCCAGTGCTTAACTCTTCCTCCCTTCTCCACAGCTTCCTAACCAAGAGAGGCCGGCAGGTCTGTGCTGACCCCAGTGAGGAGTGGGTCCAGAAATACGTCAGTGACCTGGAGCTGAGTGCCTGAGGGGTCCAGAAGCTTCGAGGCCCAGCGACCTCAGTGGGCCCAGTGGGGAGGAGCAGGAGCCTGAGCCTTGGGAACATGCGTGTGACCTCTACAGCTACCTCTTCTATGGACTGGTTATTGCCAAACAGCCACACTGTGGGACTCTTCTTAACTTAAATTTTAATTTATTTATACTATTTAGTTTTTATAATTTATTTTTGATTTCACAGTGTGTTTGTGATTGTTTGCTCTGAGAGTTCCCCCTGTCCCCTCCACCTTCCCTCACAGTGTGTCTGGTGACAACCGAGTGGCTGTCATCGGCCTGTGTAGGCAGTCATGGCACCAAAGCCACCAGACTGACAAATGTGTATCAGATGCTTTTGTTCAGGGCTGTGATCGGCCTGGGGAAATAATAAAGATGTTCTTTTAAACGGTAAACCAGTATTGAGTTTGGTTTTGTTTTTCTGGCAAATCAAAATCACTGGTTAAGAGGAATCATAGGCAAAGATTAGGAAGAGGTGAAATGGAGGGAAATTGGGAGAGATGGGGAGCGCTACGACAGAGTTATCCACTTCACAAAGTTCTGGAACATTGAAACTACGAATATGTTATAACTCAAATCGTAATATGCACGCTCTAGGAGAATTAACTACTTGAATGGACACCATTAAGCAGAGTATTCTGTAGGGCATATTCATGATGAATCAAGCTCTTAATAGCAATTACTTACATTGTTGAGGCTTACTCCTACTGAGTGCTTTTTATACATTGTTCATTTAATCTTACCAATGCAATAGTACAGCTTAGGTACTATTAATACCTCCACTTGACAGAAAAGTAACCCAGGGCTCAGAAAGGTTAGACAACTTGGCTGAGGTTACACAGCATGTAAAAGGTCAATTGTGTTCCCAAACTGGACTTTTATTGAACTACAGACTATGCTGTTAACCATTGACCAAGTTATTTCCCAAAGTATGACCCGCCTATACTCAAATCTTACCCCATTCTTTAACAGATGATACTTTATCCATTGCAACCACTTCCTGTCAGGATTCTGAGTTGACATAGAGTGTTTCAGCAGTGATTATTTAAGCCAATTACATCAGGATCTTTAGGTGTAGACCTGGGAACTGATATTTTTATCAAGCTCATGAGGTGTTCCATAGCATGTTAATGACTGAGAGCCACTGTCAATAGAATTCACCACTGTTTTCTAAATGTGGTAAGTCTCTGCATATGGCAACAGGTGTATTATACATTATTTCTCTAGAATCTACACTCTACAAAATAAATAGCTAATGTTAGAGAATGAAAAGACAACCAGCTTCTGTGTGGAGCAGGATGCTGTCTATAGGTTTGAAAGGTAAGTTATTTAATAGATGGATTGCTTGCATTATATGTACAAGAAATGCATACTAAGCTAGGGTCCTTTTTGCAGAAGAAAGGGAAATTCAAAATATTTGTGTGAAAACCAAACGTGTTAATTTTTATGAGCTATGCTTATTTCATTTTGTTTAAAATAATCTAATTTCTGTGTCCAAACATGTTTAGAACTGTAGGGCTCAAACTCTTTAAAGCATAATTAAACACTACTACTTAGCAAATATTAAAATGCACATACTATGTGACCTACATCCCATTTGACCTGATCCCATTTCTAGGAATCTGCTTCATAGAAACACTGCCAAAAGATAAGAATATGTAGACATGAGGATATTCTTTCAAGTATGGTTGGTAAAGAGCAAAGAAATGCAAACAGTCATCAGTAGGGGATTAATAAGTAGAGGATTAAGATGTCCATCAATGGAATATTCTGCAGTCAGTAAACAAAAGCAGCACACATCTATAACTGTGGAAAGTGTCCGTAATATTCTAGGTAAAATGCATATCTATTTACATTCAGTATATGCATATATATTCTCTACATATGCTACAAAACTGTCTGTAAAGGATATTATTTTGTTTTTATTTTTAAAAGCCATATACACACATATATTTACATAGGCAAATATTTGGAAAGACACACATCAAATAGCTAACTGTCGTTTCTTTGAGGAAATGAGGCTTTTTTTAAATTTTTTTAGGAATGAGGGTTTTTCCTTTTTATATTCTGCACTTTTAAAACTTTGAGTTATTTTCTGATTAGCTTGCATAGCTTACCTCTCTGGTCTCATCTTACCCTGTTCTTTGATGGGTGATATTCCATCCATCACAACCACTTTCTGGTAGGGATTCTGAGTTGATGCAGAGAGAATAGAGCTCAGCCTGGCTTACAGCATTTTGATGCCATGATGGCTTTCGTATAATGAGGGTACAGCAACAAACACATCCTTTTGACAAGGCTGTTCTCTGTCTCTCTCTTTCACACACACACACACACACACACACACACACACACACACACACACGAGCAGCTTTTGTCCCCATAGATGCAGTGAAGGTGTCATCATTCCTTCTTTATTGACTTTCAGGAAAAAAATATAGGGGCATACAATATTTGCCTGCACTGAATTGTTTCACAAGGTCCAGAAACCCAAAGCTAAACAAAGTTTAATCATGCCCAATATTCCCTAAATACAAGTGTTATGAACAAACAGAGTAAGTTAAACACAGACTCCTGTTAGGGAACTGGAGAATGGGAATTGCATTTTTAAGCAGTTCAGCTGATCTGGCAGTCCCTAGCTCTCCTCCCTGGGGGAATGTCCTCCACGGACAATCTGAGATGTGCAATGTGGAGGATCTGCTTTCTGGAGGCTGCTGACTTCCTGTCTGTGTGAGTTAGCCTGAGGTTGCCTTAGGTATTGTGTAATCAGCGACTGTTTGGAACCAGTCTTGTGGTTTCTTTGGCAATGTGACTCCCTTCTAATGTCCATAGGCTACTATTTGCTTCTGATCAATTCCATGGGCCAGGTAGCCAGAAGCAGAGATGTTTTCAGTTACAAAGCTCGAATTTGCATTTTAAATGGGGTTGGGGATAGGCACTTTCTTTTTTCTTTTCTTTTTTTTTTTTTTTTTTTTTGAGATGGAGTCTTGTACTGTCTCCTGGGCTGGAGTGCAATGGTGTGATCTTGGCTCACTGCAACCTCAGCCTCCTGGGTTCAAGAGATTCTCCTGCCTCAGCTTCCCAAGTAGCTGAGATTACAGGTGCCTGCCACCAAATCTGGCTAAATTTTTGGATTTTTAGTAGAGACGGGGTTTCACTATGTTGGCCAGGCTGGTCTTGAACTCATGACCTCGTGATCCACCTGCCTCAGCCTCCCAAAGTGCTGGGATTACAGGTGTGAGCCACCGCGCCCAGCCAGGGATGTGCACTTTCTAGCACAGACCTCACTACCAGTGTCACCTCTACCACCAAGTCCCTGGTGAGAGACCTCTGCCTGCATCTTGGCCCATGTGGAGGTGATGAATATTTGACCCTTGGCCTCATTAGGTCTCTCATCTTCCTGTCTCTGCTCATGCTAACTTTATCTTAGAGTAGAAAATTCTGCCATTACAGCCCTTCAAGTCTCCAGATTACTGGGTTCTCAGTCAATAAGTTGGAAGGGCCTTTTTTAGCAAGTTCAATTTCTTCCTTTTTCAATTTCAGATGAGCCCATTTCAAAGCAGCCTAAACTCTTTCTTAAAGGACCTTACTGATGTAATACATAGCTACTAAGTTCCAATATTCAGAATCTTCTTTTTTTTTTTTCTTTTTTGAGACGAAGTCTTGCTCTGTCGCCCAGGCTGGAGTGGAGTGCAGTAGCGCGATCTCAGCCCAGTGCAAGTTCCGCCTCCCAGGTTCACGCCATTCTCCTGCCTCAGCCTCCCAAGTAGCTGGGACTACAGGTGCCCACCACTACGCCCGGCTAATTTTTTGTATTTTTAGTAGAGACGGGGTTTCACCATGTTAGCCAGGATGGTCTTGATCTCCTGACCTCGTGATCTGCCTGCCTCGGCCTCCCAAAGTGCTGGGATTACAGGCGTGAGCCACTGCGCCTGGCCTATATTCAGAATCTTTTCTATCACATTCCTTAATGCTGCAGCGTTGGTATTTGGCACAGGCTTTTAGCACCAAAATAAGACAGACCATAGTTCAACCAGCACGTGCAATACCTTGTAATGGGTATGGCAAAAGGTAGTGCCCAGACAGGACAGCATGGTGAATATCACCTGGGAACATGGGAGAAATGAACATTCTAAGCCCCACTTCCTTTCTTAATGGACTAGGGCCCAGCAACCTGTGTTTTCACAAGGCTCCAGGTAATTCTGATGCATGTAAGGTTTAAAACTCCTTCCATTTCACAAGGTCCTCCCCAAATTACCACTTTCTCATTTCAGCCAGTTCCACACTTCAGTCAGGGCCTGTGACTTTTAACAAACCCTGTGTCTCTGCACAGATGCAGATCTCGTATCTCTCAGGATGCTGGCAGTTTCCAGGCAGAAAGCAAACAAGCAAACCAAACTCAAAGAGGCTTTGAGTAAATGCACGTTGTGGCTCCAAGACTATAGGGCATCGAGGTGGCCCTAGCTCCAGGCAAGGCTGGACGCAGCAGCCCTATGGTATCTCATGAGTCCTCTTTGCTTCTCTTTCTGATCTCCCTTTCCTGTGAGAGGCCCTGGGTGGCTGCCAGTACCTGCCAGTGTTACATGAATCCTTTGTTCATTTTCTGCAAGGAAGAGTGAGTCTGTGATCCCACTGGAAAAAAACATCACTAGGCCCTTTCGGATGTGACTGACTTAGGAACCGAATTTCCTAACCTGTCGCTGTGGTTATGGGGATGGGTTTCATTGATTTGCTTAAGTTAATCAAGGCACATAACTTGAATCTTTGGGTTTACTGAATTTTACATAAACTTAAAGCCTGAGAATGGTGCAGAAGGGAGATTTTCCTGAGGAAATGTGAGTTTCGGGCATCAGGAAACATGCAGAATAGATGCTGGTTAGGAAAAACAAGTTTTCACTATAATGTGTTTGTCTTTTTCCTGTTATTTTTGTCTTCGTGATATAAAAGGCACTAATACTTTGTGTGTGGTAAACATTTCTTCTCCTATGCTCTCTAGATTAGAAACTATTAGTCGTCCACTTTCCTGAATGACTTTATTTTTAATAAGATGCTGACTCGTGTATTTCCTGTTGCACAGTGAATGACTATTGCCCAAACCTAGGGCAAAAGAGACATAAACTCTTCATGATGTCAAGGTAACCACTAGAAAATGGGGCTACATACCCACGCCAGAACATACTGAGAAAGGTAGAACTGGACCTGCCATAGGCACTGCCCACCTTCCTTCATAGAAGCCAAAGATCGGGCACTGAGGATGCAGGAGGAGATGAGACAATTCTTAGAACAATGAGTCCTCAATAGAAATTGTCCATATTAAGGAACAGAAGGGAGTCCTTTCATAGTGGATGGACAAAGGGGTAGACAAGGAGACTGCAAGCGAAGGAGACACTTCATACTTGCCGTTTTTATTCCTCTTCTTTCCTGGGAACTGCACCCACAAAAATACATTATGTGGGATTGACCACATCCCAAATGCTAGGTGGCTCCTGATTAAAATAAGCTGATTTGCATCTTGAGTTTTTTAAACTTACCATAACATAAGCATTTCTCATGTCACTGCATTGTTTGTAAAGGCTGCCTAATAGCCAATTAAGGGAAGAGCCCATAATTTTCTCAGCAATTTCCATATCATAGGCATTTAAATTGGGTCCAATTTTAAGTTGCTATAAATATGCTGGGGACCAAATACACTTATGCATTGTTCATTTTTTCCATATTTGAATTTATTTCTATGGAGAATAGATTCCTAGACATGGACCCTCTTGGCCAAAGGCTAAGAACATTTATTTCAAGGTTCCTTATGCATATTAGCACCCACATTAAACACATCTTTAGGTCCTTGGCTTAGCGCATATCTCTCTTGAATGAACAGATGTCTGAAAGCCTGGCTGTACTCTCATCGCTCAGTAGCTCAGGCTTTGCTAATACAGCTCTGTCCATCTGTGTGTGATTGAAGTTGGGCTGTGCTGCTCAGGACTCCTGGCATCATTGCATAAGTCAAGTCTACGCCGTTAGAACAGCTGTGGGATAACATAGAAGTTTCTGCTCTGCCAGGGAAAATATGACTACAGAGCTTTAGTGAGAAGGAACTAGCTAAGTGTGGTCCGGGGTGACAACAATATCTCACGTCCTCTCACTGTGGAAACCACTTCCCCATAAACAGCCCCAAGACAAGTGAGCACTTGAACTGTTCCTGCAAATACCCTGAGCCCTGTGGTTACCCAAGACCCCCGTGCATGTGCAAGTCAACAAGATACCACGGTGCTTAAAAAACATCCTGTCTCATCAGCCCCGGTTTCCATCTTCCCATGACTCAGGGCTTACCTCTTTAGAGAAGGGGACACAGCTTGGACCCCAGAAGGGGGCTGGTGACTGAGTGCGCAAGAGCTCACTTTCTTGGGCCCCCACGTCCTCCTCATTCACGATGCCCCCCTGTTCCTGGGCCTCCTCTCACGAGTCAGTCTTTGTCCTGCCTTTTGCTGTTGTTCCCTGCACTCTCTGGCTGGGGTCAAACCACATCACCAAAGTCCAAGGACAAAGGTACCCAAGTGAAACAGAGAACTTCCTAAGGGATTTTCAAAATGCCCTGGGCTATCTGTTCGGGAAGATTTTCTTCCCCAAAGAGTTTTCAGTTTTTATTCTATAAATCTTAAAGGCAGGATACGGTCTTGTCCTACTTAGGGAAGGAGAACACTGAGTAGGTTTCAACAAGCGGCAGAACCCAGCTACAATCCCGGTGGCCAGCTGAGTCATAAAATTGCCCCAGGTCTGCCTCACAGGTGATTTGCAGAGATGGCCTCTTGCTGGAAAAATCTCTTCTTAGACCATATTATGTTCCCCCAGTAAAGCTGGAATAAGAGGCAGAATATTTAATTAGCTGCAATTCCTACAGAGGGAGACGGAGGCCAAACCTAAGGCTCAAACAGAAATGGAAGGGAAAAGTGGGGAAACAAGAAATCCCCAACTTCCTGCTGGTTCTTCTCACCCCCACATCCCCAACTTCCTGCCAGTTCTTCTCATCCCCAAATCATCCCCTGAACAGTGCTGTCTCCATCTGCTTCCTTCTGATTTTATCACTGGGTAGAAGGAGTTGGCTCACTTGTCCCCAGTGAAAAATGACTCAGGGTCACGCTGCTCCTTCCCTCAGAATGCCCAGGTCCCCAAGCACCCAGGCATCTGCTGCTTTTCCTAGGATCCCCAGAAGCCCCCTAGCAAAATGGTAGATGGCAATTATGAGACTCACTGCTGGTGCCAGGTGAGGGCTGGTGCTCCTGCCCATCTCTAGAGAGAAGCAGGACTTGGAGGGTGGCAGCCTGCAAGGGCACCAGTCGGTTTGAGGGCCATCCTGGGGACCCCAGGCCTTTGAGGTCCTATCTGGTGGTGGGACACAGGGAAGGGCCATAGAGGTGTTTTCTGGCCTGACCTGGGGTCTGCAAGGAACCACGGAAGAGCTGCCCCTGACAGAGGGAAGACAGGAGGAAGTGTTAGCCGGAAGAGGCTGCCTGAAGAGACCCCCTGAGCCACTGATGAAAGGTCTAGGGAGCTGAGGTTGGACAAAGAGTCCTGAGCAAGTGGACAGGCCCGACACTTGCCAAGACAGAGAGAAGAAGGTAGCACGGAACCAGGAATTCTCTTGCTGATTCCTCAATTTTTATAACTGTCTCTTTTAACAGCTTCCAGAATGAAAGTGGCTGAGGCTGGCAGGTCTGTGCCAACCCCATCGAGTTCTGGTGCCAAGTGCATCACTGACCTCAGAGTCGAATCCCTGAGTGACCTGGAAGCAACAAGACACTGTTACATTTGTGGCAAATTAGGAGGCAGGGACCCAGGCCCTAGGGACGTCCCTTCAATTCCTGAACCTACCCCTACCCAAGCAACCACACTCTGGGGCTCTTCTTAACATGCATTTCAACTTATCTATTTAATTTTTGTAATGTATTTCTATGCGTTCTTGACTGCTTGTCGGAAGGGACCTCACAACACCCTCTACGCCCCTTCCTCAGCCCCTCCAGTCACACAGCGGCTGACACATATTCAGGCACATGGCTATTCTTTGCGGCTCTCGTACAAGGTGGGTGGCTACGTTCAGCTTTTTCTAGAGGACATTGTTCCAAAGCTGTCAACCAACAAATATTTATAGAACATTATTTATCATTTCTGTGTTCAGCTATGTAAAACAATGAATTCGTTTTGAGTAAACCAGTCTTAAACTGTTGGTGATCCTATTGGCTTTGTTTTGTGACAAAGCAAGGTGGTGGGATGGGAGGGGAAGAGCAGAAAACTCTGAAGAGGGGAAGTCAGCAGAAAGGAAATGACGGTAATGCCTCTCCCCAAATAATGAAACTCTATTTTTTAAAACAATGATTATTTTATAAAGTATTATGCACCCAGTGTATAATGCATATGCACTAGGTAAATTCATGCTTGATATATATATTCATGCATTTAAGCTTATTTTTCTCATGAGTCAAGCTCTCTTAAAAATTATTCATTGTGCTTCAAATTCTAACAGTGTCTCCAAGGGCTAAGTATTATTAATATTCCCATTTAACAGAAGAGGAAATGTTGGCTCAGAGAGTTAAAACAACTTGTCCATGGCCATGCAGCGAATAAATAGTGTAACTAATATGCAATCCTATGAGCATTCCAGAACCACCTGGGATGGTCATTTAAAATGCTCACAAGAGAACTGGGTTTGGATGCGGGAATCTAGATTTTTACCAAACCCCCAAGTGATACACATGCAGACTAAAGACAAGAAACTACTGAACTTGTCAATAAGACTTTTTTTTTTTTTTTTTTTTGAGACTGAGTCTTGCTCTGTCGCCCAGGCTGGAGTGCAGTGGCATAATCTTGGCTCACTGCAATCTCTGCCTCCCAGGTTCAAGCAATTCTTCTGCCTCAGCCTCCCAAGTAGCTGGGAGAACAGGTGCCTGCCACCACACCCGGCTAATTTTTGTATTTTTAGTAGAGACGGGTTTTCACCATATTGGCCAGGCTGGTCTCAATCTTCTGACTTTGTGATCTGACCACCTCGGTCTCCCAGTTTTTTGTTTGTGTGTTTGTTTTGTTTTGTTTTGACTTGTTCTGAGATGGAGTCTTGCTCTGTTGCCCAGGCTGGAGTGTAGTGGTGCCATGCCGGCTCACTGTAACTTCTGCCTCCCGGGTTCCAGTGATCTTCCTGCCTCAGCCTCCCAAGTAGCTGGGATTACAGGTGCATGCCACCACACCCAGCTAATTTTTGTATTTTTAGTAGAGACGGGGCTTCACCATGTTGGCCAGGCTGGTCTTGAACTCCTGAACTTGAGAGAGCTGCCTGCCTCGACCTCTCAAAGTGCTGGGATTACAGGCATAAGCCACTGCACCCGGCCTCAATAAGAATTTAACCACTCTTTCAAAAATAAGACACACATGGTAATAGACATCTTACCTGGGTATTATTTCCCTAGAATCCATGCTCCACAAAATCAGTGGTTAACATTAGAGAAAGGAAAGACAGTCAGCCAATATATACAATAAGACTTCTATCGTGAATGCAGAATTACTTGATGGATTGCCTAGACTGAGGTTAAGAAACTATGGTCCTCAGAACAAATCTAGTATGACCCCTGTTTTGTAAACAAAGTTTTGTTGAAACACAGCCACTCCCACTCTTTTATATATTATCTATCCCAGCTTTCCAAGACAAAGGTGGAGTCACATTGTTGCAACAGAGATTATATAGCCCACAAAGAACAATATTTACTATCTGGTCTTTTATAGAAAACGTTTGCTAACTCCTGGCCTATGTTTTAGTATATACTTTTTTAAGTATAAGAAAGTTAGACTGAGTCAGGATTCCTGCTGTACAATGCAAGGGGGAGAAATTCAACACACTTGTGAGAAATGCAAAATATATTAACTTTTTGATAAGCCCTACTTACTTTGTGTGTTTAAAACAATCTATTTTTTAGTATCAAAAAGTGACATTTTGGTAATCAGCATTTTTAAAAAGCAATGACACAGTCTGTAAAAAAATTTAAAATTTACATACTCTTCAGTCTATCTTATTTCTAGGAATCTATTTCAAGAAACACTATCTAAGGAAACAAAGGAGGGCCAAGCACGGTGGCTCACCCCTGTAATCCCTGCACTTTGGGAGGCCAAGGCAGGTGGATAGCTTGAGGTCAGGAGTTCGAGACCAGCCTGGCCAACACGGGAAAATCTCATCTCTACTAAAATACAAAAATTAGCCGGGCATGGTGGCAGGCGCCTATAATCCCAGCTACCTGGGAGGCTGAGGCAAGAGAATTGCTTGAACCTGGGAGGCAGAGGTCGCAGTGAGCCGAGATCTTGCCACTGCACTCCAGCCTGGGCGACAGAGTGAGACTCTGTCTCAAAAACAAAAACAAAAACAAAAAAGAACCCCCCCCACACACACACAAAAATTGTTGGCACACCGCTGTTGTTTGCAGCTCTGTTTGTAAAAACAACCAATATAAATCAACTCTTTAAAATATGGATAGTTTAAACCATGATGGTACAGCCACATAATAAACATGAAATTACTGAAAAGAATAAAGTAGATATACATACTGAAAACAAAGCTATCTATGATCTTAATGTAAAACTAGGTATATAGAATATATTCCATATGTGGAGAAAGAAGCAGAATGGCAGTTGCCAGGGGCCGGGGGAGGAGGAATGGGGAGGTGTTGTTTAATGGGTCCAGTTTCAATTTTGCAGGATGAAGAGGCTTCTGGAGATGGGTTGCACACAGCGTGAAGGTAGAAGGTACTGAGCACGACTGAACTATACGGTAAAAATGGGTGGGTGGGTGGGGAGTGAAGGAGCAAAAAGAAATGGTTGAAATGGGAAATTTATATTTGTGTATTTTAGCACAATAAAAAACACCAAGAGTCTCCCAGGACTGGTAGTGCTCATTGAATGCTCACAACAGCCACGTAGGGCAGGGACAATCAACCCTATTTACAGATGGGCAAACTGAGACTGACCCTTAGAAGAGTGCACAAGCAAGGGTGCACCCCGGGGCGTCCAGCCTCCCCCAGGCCCTCCAGAGGCCTGTGCCAGTCCTGCTTCAGCTTGCTCACCCTGGGCCCCTCCCCACACCCCAGTCCCAGCTCCCCACGACCCAGCCCCAGCTCCCCACGCCCCAGGACCCCGGCTCTTCCGGGAAATGCACCACATCCCCGTCCCTGCAAAGCTGGATTTACACAGAGAAAGAACTGGGGACTGGGGGAGCCACCATGGCTCAGGGCCTCCCATCTGCACTTCCAATGCCTGAGGGATACACCCCTAAGTGGACCCCTAAGCAGACCCCCAATCCTGGAGAGATGGGGGGTCTTCGCTCCGGGGGGCACTGGTCATCCCCACCTTCAGCTTCCGGTGGCACATTTGATGCTAGGGAAACTCCAGACTGGCAGCCTGCAGGCCCTGGTGAGTGCCCAGGCCCAGCGCAGACACCCCTGTTGCTCAGGGGAGAGGCCCTGGAAAAGCCTGAACGGGACTCTCCCCAGGCAAGGTCCACATCCCAGGCAGGGCTGGGGTTTGACGCTGGTTTTCTGAGTGACACGGCGGGGGCCACAGCTGGGCTGGGGCTGGTGGGGTTGGGGAGGGGTCTCCCATCCCACCCCCACCCCACACAAACCGATTCCTTGCTGGACTGCGACCTCTTCCGGCCTCGGTTTCCCAGCCAGTCCCGGCCGGGCCGGACAGGCACCCTCGGGGGCGGGAAAAGGTGCCAGAGCGCCCGCCGGCCGGGCCTTAGCCTCGGGACTCCGGCGCTTGCCTGCTCCATGGGGCTCGGGGCTCGGGGCTCAGTCCGGGAGGAGGGGGGTCCTTTCTGCTCCAGGACAGCTGGCGCGACCGGTGGGCAAAGGTCCGCGGCCCTGGAGAACGCCACGGCGGGGTCCACGGACACCAGAGGAGGAACCGCCAAGGTTTTTCCAAAGGACAAGCGGCCCGGCCCGGCGGTCCTCCTAGTTCTTCGGCCCGCGCGCCACCCGGGAGGCCGAACCGGCCCCAGCCCGGGGCCCCCTCTCCAGCCCGCCCCAGCCCCGACCCTCCGCTGCGGGGCCCTCACGGAGCGGCCGGCCAGCGGGGAGCGACTAGGCTGCCGGCTGCAAGGCGTGTCTCCCCGGGACGCAGCTCCGCCCTTCCCAGGAACACAAGCGGCTGCCCGCGCCTGAGCTCCCAAAGGGCTGGCGGGCAGGGAGCGGGCGCCGCGCCGGCTCCCCGGAGCCCAGCCCCGGAAACGGGACACCCACAGCGGGTGCCCCCAAACTTCCCACCTCTCTGGTCCGGTCTGGGGAGGGGTCGGGGCCGGGGCCGGTGGGCAGGGCGCGGAGAGCTCATGGAGCTCTTAGGGTCTGCGGCCCCGCGGCTGGGGGTTATGCCAAGGGAGAAAGCGACGACGCGATGGGGAGGGACCGAGAGCACCCCGAAGCCGGGATCATCAAGCCGGAGCCAGTGGAGGGGCGCGAAGTCGGCGAGTTGGAAACTAACTGCAATCGTCCACTCGTAGCCTTCGGCGTCCGGCTCGTCCTCTGGCGGCTTGGCGGGCGGCTGCACAGGGCTGGACCTGTGTTGGATCCTCAGGCTCCGAAGATATGGTCCCCATCCTCGTCGTCGTGACACTCGGGACAAGTGGAGAGCCATCAGGACAGGGACCCACAGAACGCACACTCACATGTTCCTGCAGGTGCCAGCACATGCTGGGCTCCGCTCTCACGGGACACACGCAGGTGTGCAAGGACAATGCAAGTGCACACACACATGTGCAGACACGTAGTGGAAGCATCCACTCGCTCACACCTGTAGGACACACACACACAAACATATGCACACATACAGAGTTGGGCTTATTCTCTCCTTTCTCCGCAGTTGCTGCTGACACGCCGACCGCCTGCTGCTTCAGCTACACCTCCCGGCAGATTCCACAGAATTTCATAGCTGACTACTTTGAGACGAGCAGCCAGTGCTCCAAGCCCAGTGTCATGTAAGTGCCAGTCTTCCTGCTCACCTCTAGGGAGGTAGGGAGTGTCAGGGTGGGGGCAGAAACAGGCCAGAAGGCCATCCTGGAAAGGCCCAGCCTTCAGGAGCCTATCGGGGATACAGGACGCAGGGCACTGAGGTGTGACCTGACTTGGGGCTGGAGTGAGGTGGGTGTTACAGAGTCAGGAAGGGCTGCCCCAGGCCAGAGGAAAGGAACAGGAAGAAGGAGGCAGCAGGACACTCTGAGGGCCCCCTTGCCTGGAGTCACTGAGAGAAGCTCTCTAGACGGAGATAGGCAGGGGGCCCCTGAGAGAGGAGCAGGCCTTGAGCTGCCCAGGACAGAGAGCAGGATGTCAGGGCCATGGTGGGCCCAGGATTCCCCGGCTGGATTCCCCAGTGCTTAACTCTTCCTCCCTTCTCCACAGCCTCCTAACCAAGAGAGGCCGGCAGGTCTGTGCTGACCCCAGTGAGGAGTGGGTCCAGAAATACGTCAGTGACCTGGAGCCGAGTGCCTGAGGGGTCCAGAAGCTTCGAGGCCCAGCGACCTCAGTGGGCCCAGTGCGGAGGAGCAGGAGCCTGAGCCTTGGGAACATGCGTGTGACCTCCACAGCTACCTCTTCTATGGACTGGTTATTGCCAAACAGCCACACTGTGGGACTCTTCTTAACTTAAATTTTAATTTATTTATACTATTTAGTTTTTATAATTTATTTTTGATTTCACAGTGTGTTTGTGATTGTTTGCTCTGAGAGTTCCCCCTGTCCCCTCCACCTTCCCTCACAGTGTGTCTGGTGACAACCGAGTGGCTGTCATCGGCCTGTGTAGGCAGTCATGGCACCAAAGCCACCAGACTGACAAATGTGTATCAGATGCTTTTGTTCAGGGCTGTGATCGGCCTGGGGAAATAATAAAGATGTTCTTTTAAACGGTAAACCAGTATTGAGTTTGGTTTTGTTTTTCTGGCAAATCAAAATCACTGGTTAAGAGGAATCATAGGCAAAGATTAGGAAGAGGTGAAATGGAGGGAAATTGGGAGAGATGGGGAGCGCTACGACAGAGTTATCCACTTCACAAAGTTCTGGAACATTGAAACTACGAATATGTTATAACTCAAATCGTAATATGCACGCTCTAGGAGAATTAACTACTTGAATGGACACCATTAAGCAGAGTATTCTGTAGGGCATATTCATGATGAATCAAGCTCTTAATAGCAATTACTTACATTGTTGAGGCTTACTCCTACTGAGTGCTTTTTATACATTGTTCATTTAATCTTACCAATGCAATAGTACAGCTTAGGTACTATTAATACCTCCACTTGACAGAAAAGTAACCCAGGGCTCAGAAAGGTTAGACAACTTGGCTGAGGTTACACAGCATGTAAAAGGTCAATTGTGTTCCAAAACTGGACTTTTATTGAACTACAGACTATGCTGTTAACCATTGACCAAGTTATTTCCCAAAGTATGACCCGCCTATACTCAAATCTTACCCCATTCTTTAACAGATGATACTTTATCCATTGCAACCACTTCCTGTCAGGATTCTGAGTTGACATAGAGTGTTTCAGCAGTGATTATTTAAGCCAATTACATCAGGATCTTTAGGTGTAGACCTGGGAACTGATATTTTTATCAAGCTCATGAGGTGTTCCATAGCATGTTAATGACTGAGAGCCACTGTCAATAGAATTCACCACTGTTTTCTAAATGTGGTAAGTCTCTGCATATGGCAACAGGTGTATTATACATTATTTCTCTAGAATCTACACTCTACAAAATAAATAGCTAATGTTAGAGAATGAAAAGACAACCAGCTTCTGTGTGGAGCAGGATGCTGTCTATAGGTTTGAAAGGTAAGTTATTTAATAGATGGATTGCTTGCATTATATGTACAAGAAATGCATACTAAGCTAGGGTCCTTTTTGCAGAAGAAAGGGAAATTCAAAATATTTGTGTGAAAACCAAACGTGTTAATTTTTATGAGCTATGCTTATTTCATTTTGTTTAAAATAATCTAATTTCTGTGTCCAAACATGTTTAGAATTGTAGGGCTCAAACTCTTTAAAGCATAATTAAACACTACTACTTAGCAGATATTAAAATGCACATACTATGTGACCTACATCCCATTTGACCTGATCCCATTTCTAGGAATCTGCTTCATAGAAACACTGCCAAAAGATAAGAATATGTAGACATGAGGATATTCTTTCAAGTATGGTTGGTAAAGAGCAAAGAAATGCAAACAGTCATCAGTAGGGGATTAATAAGTAGAGGATTAAGATGTCCATCAATGGAATATTCTGCAGTCAGTAAACAAAAGCAGCACACATCTATAACTGTGGAAAGTGTCCGTAATATTCTAGGTAAAATGCATATCTATTTACATTCAGTATATGCATATATATTCTCTACATATGCTACAAAACTGTCTGTAAAGGATATTATTTTGTTTTTATTTTTAAAAGCCATATACACACATATATTTACATAGGCAAATATTTGGAAAGACACACATCAAATAGCTAACTGTCGTTTCTTTGAGGAAATGAGGCTTTTTTTAAATTTTTTTAGGAATGAGGGTTTTTCCTTTTTATATTCTGCACTTTTAAAACTTTGAGTTATTTTCTGATTAGCTTGCATAGCTTACCTCTCTGGTCTCATCTTACCCTGTTCTTTGATGGGTGATATTCCATCCATCACAACCACTTTCTGGTAGGGATTCTGAGTTGATGCAGAGAGAATAGAGCTCAGCCTGGCTTACAGCATTTTGATGCCATGATGGCTTTCGTATAATGAGGGTACAGCAACAAACACATCCTTTTGACAAGGCTGTTCTCTGTCTCTCTCTTTCACACACACACACACACACACACACACACACACGAGCAGCTTTTGTCCCCATAGATGCAGTGAAGGTGTCATCATTCCTTCTTTATTGACTTTCAGGAAAAAAATATAGGGGCATACAATATTTGCCTGCACTGAATTGTTTCACAAGGTCCAGAAACCCAAAGCTAAACAAAGTTTAATCATGCCCAATATTCCCTAAATACAAGTGTTATGAACAAACAGAGTAAGTTAAACACAGACTCCTGTTAGGGAACTGGAGAATGGGAATTGCATTTTTAAGCAGTTCAGCTGATCTGGCAGTCCCTAGCTCTCCTCCCTGGGGGAATGTCCTCCACGGACAATCTGAGATGTGCAATGTGGAGGATCTGCTTTCTGGAGGCTGCTGACTTCCTGTCTGTGTGAGTTAGCCTGAGGTTGCCTTAGGTATTGTGTAATCAGCGACTGTTTGGAACCAGTCTTGTGGTTTCTTTGGCAATGTGACTCCCTTCTAATGTCCATAGGCTACTATTTGCTTCTGATCAATTCCATGGGCCAGGTAGCCAGAAGCAGAGATGTTTTCAGTTACAAAGCTCGAATTTGCATTTTAAATGGGGTTGGGGATAGGCACTTTCTTTTTTCTTTTCTTTTTTTTTTTTTTTTTTTGAGATGGAGTCTTGTACTGTCTCCTGGGCTGGAGTGCAATGGTGTGATCTTGGCTCACTGCAACCTCAGCCTCCTGGGTTCAAGAGATTCTCCTGCCTCAGCTTCCCAAGTAGCTGAGATTACAGGTGCCTGCCACCAAATCTGGCTAAATTTTTGGATTTTTAGTAGAGACGGGGTTTCACTATGTTGGCCAGGCTGGTCTTGAACTCATGACCTCGTGATCCACCTGCCTCAGCCTCCCAAAGTGCTGGGATTACAGGTGTGAGCCACCGCGCCCAGCCAGGGATGTGCACTTTCTAGCACAGACCTCACTACCAGTGTCACCTCTACCACCAAGTCCCTGGTGAGAGACCTCTGCCTGCATCTTGGCCCATGTGGAGGTGATGAATGTTTGACCCTTGGCCTCATTAGGTCTCTCATCTTCCTGTCTCTGCTCATGCTAACTTTATCTTAGAGTAGAAAATTCTGCCATTACAGCCCTTCAAGTCTCCAGATTACTGGGTTCTCAGTCAATAAGTTGGAAGGGCCTTTTTTAGCAAGTTCAATTTCTTCCTTTTTCAATTTCAGATGAGCCCATTTCAAAGCAGCCTAAACTCTTTCTTAAAGGACCTTACTGATGTAATACATAGCTACTAAGTTCCAATATTCAGAATCTTCTTTTTTTTTTTTCTTTTTTGAGACGAAGTCTTGCTCTGTCGCCCAGGCTGGAGTGGAGTGCAGTAGCGCGATCTCAGCCCAGTGCAAGTTCCGCCTCCCAGGTTCACGCCATTCTCCTGCCTCAGCCTCCCAAGTAGCTGGGACTACAGGTGCCCACCACTACGCCCGGCTAATTTTTTGTATTTTTAGTAGAGACGGGGTTTCACCATGTTAGCCAGGATGGTCTTGATCTCCTGACCTCGTGATCTGCCTGCCTCGGCCTCCCAAAGTGCTGGGATTACAGGCGTGAGCCACTGCGCCTGGCCTATATTCAGAATCTTTTCTATCACATTCCTTAATGCTGCAGCGTTGGTATTTGGCACAGGCTTTTAGCACCAAAATAAGACAGACCATAGTTCAACCAGCACGTGCAATACCTTGTAATGGGTATGGCAAAAGGTAGTGTCCAGACAGGACAGCATGGTGAATATCACCTGGGAACATGGGAGAAATGAACATTCTAAGCCCCACTTCCTTTCTTAATGGACTAGGGCCCAGCAACCTGTGTTTTCACAAGGCTCCAGGTAATTCTGATGCATGTAAGGTTTAAAACTCCTTCCATTTCACAAGGTCCTCCCCAAATTACCACTTTCTCATTTCAGCCAGTTCCACACTTCAGTCAGGGCCTGTGACTTTTAACAAACCCTGTGTCTCTGCACAGATGCAGATCTCGTATCTCTCAGGATGCTGGCAGTTTCCAGGCAGAAAGCAAACAAGCAAACCAAACTCAAAGAGGCTTTGAGTAAATGCACGTTGTGGCTCCAAGACTATAGGGCATCGAGGTGGCCCTAGCTCCAGGCAAGGCTGGACGCAGCAGCCCTATGGTATCTCATGAGTCCTCTTTGCTTCTCTTTCTGATCTCCCTTTCCTGTGAGAGGCCCTGGGTGGCTGCCAGTACCTGCCAGTGTTACATGAATCCTTTGTTCATTTTCTGCAAGGAAGAGTGAGTCTGTGATCCCACTGGAAAAAAACATCACTAGGCCCTTTCGGATGTGACTGACTTAGGAACCGAATTTCCTAACCTGTCGCTGTGGTTATGGGGATGGGTTTCATTGATTTGCTTAAGTTAATCAAGGCACATAACTTGAATCTTTGGGTTTACTGAATTTTACATAAACTTAAAGCCTGAGAATGGTGCAGAAGGGAGATTTTCCTGAGGAAATGTGAGTTTCGGGCATCAGGAAACATGCAGAATAGATGCTGGTTAGGAAAAACAAGTTTTCACTATAATGTGTTTGTCTTTTTCCTGTTATTTTTGTCTTCGTGATATAAAAGGCACTAATACTTTGTGTGTGGTAAACATTTCTTCTCCTATGCTCTCTAGATTAGAAACTGTCGTCCACTTTCCTGAATGACTTTATTTTTAATAAGATGCTGACTCGTGTATTTCCTGTTGCACAGTGAATGACTATTGCCCAAACCTAGGGCAAAAGAGACATAAACTCTTCATGATGTCAAGGTAACCACTAGAAAATGGGGCTACATACCCACGCCAGAACATACTAAGAAAGGTAGAACTGGACCTGCCATACGCACTACCCACCTTCCTTCATAGAAGCCAAAGATCGGGCACTGAGGATGCAGGAGGAGATGAGACAATTCTTAGAACAATGAGTCCTCAATAGAAATTGTCCATATTAAGGAACAGAAGGGAGTCCTTTCATAGTGGATGGACAAAGGGGTAGACAAGGAGACTGCAAGCGAAGGAGACACTTCATACTTGCCGTTTTTATTCCTCTTCTTTCCTGGGAACTGCACCCACAAAAATACATTATGTGGGATTGACCACATCCCAAATGCTAGGTGGCTCCTGATTAAAATAAGCTGATTTGCATCTTGAGTTTTTTAAGCTTACCATAACATAAGCATTTCTCATGTCACTGCATTGTTTGTAAAGGCTGCCTAATAGCCAATCAAGGGAAGATCCCATAATTTTCTTAGCCATTTCCATATCATAGGCATTTAAATTGGGTCCAATTTTAAGTTGCTATAAATATGCTGGGGACCAAATACACTTATGCATTGTTCATTTTTTCCATATTTGAATTTATTTCTATGGAGAATAGATTCCTAGACATGGACCCTCTTGGCCAAAGGCTAAGAACATTTATTTCAAGGTTCCTTATGCATATTAGCACCCATATTAAACACATCTTTAGGTCCTTGGCTTAGCGCATATCTCTCTTGAATGAACAGATGTCTGAAAGCCTGGCTGTACTCTCATCGCTCAGTAGCTCAGGCTTTGCTAATACAGCTCTGTCCATCTGTGTGTGATTGAAGTTGGGCTGTGCTGCTCAGGACTCCTGGCATCATTGCGTAAGTCAAGTCTACACCGTTAGAACAGCTGTGGGATAACATAGAAGTTTCTGCTCTGCCAGGGAAAATATGACTACAGAGCTTTAGTGAGAAGGAAGTAGCTAAGTGTGGTCCGGGGTGACAACAATATCTCACGTCCTCTCACTGTGGAAACCACTTCCCCATAAACAGCCCCAAGACAAGTGAGCACTTGAACTGTTCCTGCAAATACCCTGAGCCCTGTGGTTACCCAAGACCCCCGTGCATGTGCAAGTCAACAAGACACCACGGTGCTTAAAAAACATCCTGTCTCATGAGCCCCGGTTTCCATCTTCCCATGACTCAGGGCTTACCTCTTTAGAGAAGGGGACACAGCTTGGACCCCAGAAGGGGGCTGGTGACTGAGTGCGCAAGCCCTGTCCTCTTTTGCTCACTTTCTTGGGCCCCCACGTCCTCCTCATTCACAATGGCCCCCTGTTCCTGGGCCTCCTCTCACGAGTCAGTCTTTGTCCTGCCTTTTGCTGTTGTTCCCCTCACTCTCTAGCTGGGGTCAAACCACATCACCAAAGTCCAAGGACAAAGGTACCCAAGTGAAACAGAGAACTTCCTAAGGGATTTTCAAAATGCCCTGGGCTATCTGTTCAGGAAGATTTTCTTCCCCAAAGAGTTTTCAGTTTTTATTCTATAAACCTTAAAGGCAGGATACGGTCTTGTCCTACTTAGGGAAGGAGAACATTGAGTAGGTTTCAACAAGCGGCAGAACCCAGCTACAATCCCGGTGGCCAGCTGAGTCATAAAATTGCCACAGGTCTGCCTCACAGGTGATTTGCAGAGATGGCCTCTTGCTGGAAAAATCTCTTCTTAGACCATATTATGTTCCCCCAGTAAAGCTGGAATAAGAGGCAGAATATTTAATTAGCTGCAATTCCTACAGAGGGAGACGGAGGCCAAACCTAAGGCTCAAACAGAAATGGAAGGGAAAAGTGGGGAAACAAGAAATCCCCAACTTCCTGCTGGTTCTTCTCACCCCCACATCCCCAACTTCCTGCCAGTTCTTCTCATCCCCAAATCATCCCCTGAACAGTGCTGTCTCCATCTGCTTCCTTCTGATTTTATCACTGGGTAGAAGGAGTTGGCTCATTTGTCCCCAGTGAAAAATGACTCAGGGTCACGCTGCTCCTTCCCTCAGAATGCCCAGGTCCCCAAGCACCCAGGCATCTGCTGCTTTTCCTAGGATCCCCAGAAGCCCCCTAGCAAAATGGTAGATGGCAATTATGAGACTCACTGCTGGTGCCAGGTGAGGGCTGGTGCTCCTGCCCATCTCTAGAGAGAAGCAGGACTTGGAGGGTGGCAGCCTGCAAGGGCACCAGTCGGTTTGAGGGCCATCCTGGGGACCCCAGGCCTTTGAGGTCCTATCTGGTGGTGGGACACAGGGAAGGGCCATAGAGGTGTTTTCTGGCCTGACCTGGGGTCTGCAAGGAACCACGGAAGAGCTGCCCCTGACAGAGGGAAGACAGGAGGAAGTGTTAGCCGGAAGAGGCTGCCTGAAGAGACCCCCTGAGCCACTGATGAAAGGTCTAGGGAGCTGAGGTTGGACAAAGAGTCCTGAGCAAGTGGACAGGCCCGACACTTGCCAAGACAGAGAGAAGAAGGTAGCACGGAACCAGGAATTCTCTTGCTGATTCCTCAATTTTTATAACTGTCTCTTTTAACAGCTTCCAGAATGAAAGTGGCTGAGGCTGGCAGGTCTGTGCCAACCCCATCGAGTTCTGGTGCCAAGTGCATCACTGACCTCAGAGTCGAATCCCTGAGTGACCTGGAAGCAACAAGACACTGTTACATTTGTGGCAAATTAGGAGGCAGGGACCCAGGCCCTAGGGACGTCCCTTCAATTCCTGAACCTACCCCTACCCAAGCAACCACACTCTGGGGCTCTTCTTAACATGCATTTCAACTTATCTATTTAATTTTTGTAATGTATTTCTATGCGTTCTTGACTGCTTGTCGGAAGGGACCTCACAACACCCTCTACGCCCCTTCCTCAGCCCCTCCAGTCACACAGCGGCTGACACATATTCAGGCACATGGCTATTCTTTGCGGCTCTCGTACAAGGTGGGTGGCTACGTTCAGCTTTTTCTAGAGGACATTGTTCCAAAGCTGTCAACCAACAAATATTTATAGAACATTATTTATCATTTCTGTGTTCAGCTATGTAAAACAATGAATTCGTTTTGAGTAAACCAGTCTTAAACTGTTGGTGATCCTATTGGCTTTGTTTTGTGACAAAGCAAGGTGGTGGGATGGGAGGGGAAGAGCAGAAAACTCTGAAGAGGGGAAGTCAGCAGAAAGGAAATGACGGTAATGCCTCTCCCCAAATAATGAAACTCTATTTTTTAAAACAATGATTATTTTATAAAGTATTATGCACCCAGTGTATAATGCATATGCACTAGGTAAATTCATGCTTGATATATATATTCATGCATTTAAGCTTATTTTTCTCATGAGTCAAGCTCTCTTAAAAATTATTCATTGTGCTTCAAATTCTAACAGTGTCTCCAAGGGCTAAGTATTATTAATATTCCCATTTAACAGAAGAGGAAATGTTGGCTCAGAGAGTTAAAACAACTTGTCCATGGCCATGCAGCGAATAAATAGTGTAACTAATATGCAATCCTATGAGCATTCCAGAACCACCTGGGATGGTCATTTAAAATGCTCACAAGAGAACTGGGTTTGGATGCGGGAATCTAGATTTTTACCAAACCCCCAAGTGATACACATGCAGACTAAAGACAAGAAACTACTGAACTTGTCAATAAGACTTTTTTTTTTTTTTTTTTTTTGAGACTGAGTCTTGCTCTGTCGCCCAGGCTGGAGTGCAGTGGCATAATCTTGGCTCACTGCAATCTCTGCCTCCCAGGTTCAAGCAATTCTTCTGCCTCAGCCTCCCAAGTAGCTGGGAGAACAGGTGCCTGCCACCACACCCGGCTAATTTTTGTATTTTTAGTAGAGACGGGTTTTCACCATATTGGCCAGGCTGGTCTCAATCTTCTGACTTTGTGATCTGACCACCTCGGTCTCCCAGTTTTTTGTTTGTGTGTTTGTTTTGTTTTGTTTTGACTTGTTCTGAGATGGAGTCTTGCTCTGTTGCCCAGGCTGGAGTGTAGTGGTGCCATGCCGGCTCACTGTAACTTCTGCCTCCCGGGTTCCAGTGATCTTCCTGCCTCAGCCTCCCAAGTAGCTGGGATTACAGGTGCATGCCACCACACCCAGCTAATTTTTGTATTTTTAGTAGAGACGGGGCTTCACCATGTTGGCCAGGCTGGTCTTGAACTCCTGAACTTGAGAGAGCTGCCTGCCTCGACCTCTCAAAGTGCTGGGATTACAGGCATAAGCCACTGCACCCGGCCTCAATAAGAATTTAACCACTCTTTCAAAAATAAGACACACATGGTAATAGACATCTTACCTGGGTATTATTTCCCTAGAATCCATGCTCCACAAAATCAGTGGTTAACATTAGAGAAAGGAAAGACAGTCAGCCAATATATACAATAAGAATTCTATCGTGAATGCAGAATTACTTGATGGATTGCCTAGACTGAGGTTAAGAAACTATGGTCCTCAGAACAAATCTAGTATGACCCCTGTTTTGTAAACAAAGTTTTGTTGAAACACAGCCACTCCCACTCTTTTATATATTATCTATCCCAGCTTTCCAAGACAAAGGTGGAGTCACATTGTTGCAACAGAGATTATATAGCCCACAAAGAACAATATTTACTATCTGGTCTTTTATAGAAAACGTTTGCTAACTCCTGGCCTATGTTTTAGTATATACTTTTTTAAGTATAAGAAAGTTAGACTGAGTCAGGATTCCTGCTGTACAATGCAAGGGGGAGAAATTCAACACACTTGTGAGAAATGCAAAATATATTAACTTTTTGATAAGCCCTACTTACTTTGTGTGTTTAAAACAATCTATTTTTTAGTATCAAAAAGTGACATTTTGGTAATCAGCATTTTTAAAAAGCAATGACACAGTCTGTAAAAAAATTTAAAATTTACATACTCTTCAGTCTATCTTATTTCTAGGAATCTATTTCAAGAAACACTATCTAAGGAAACAAAGGAGGGCCAAGCACGGTGGCTCACCCCTGTAATCCCTGCACTTTGGGAGGCCAAGGCAGGTGGATAGCTTGAGGTCAGGAGTTCGAGACCAGCCTGGCCAACACGGGAAAATCTCATCTCTACTAAAATACAAAAATTAGCCGGGCATGGTGGCAGGCGCCTATAATCCCAGCTACCTGGGAGGCTGAGGCAAGAGAATTGCTTGAACCTGGGAGGCAGAGGTTGCAGTGAGCCGAGATCTTGCCACTGCACTCCAGCCTGGGCGACAGAGTGAGACTCTGTCTCAAAAACAAAAACAAAAACAAAAAAGAACCCCCCCCACACACACACAAAAATTGTTGGCACACCGCTGTTGTTTGCAGCTCTGTTTGTAAAAACAACCAATATAAATCAACTCTTTAAAATATGGATAGTTTAAACCATGATGGTACAGCCACATAATAAACATGAAATTACTGAAAAGAATAAAGTAGATATACATACTGAAAACAAAGCTATCTATGATATTAATGTAAAACTAGGTATATAGAATATATTCCATATGTGGAGAAAGAAGCAGAATGGCAGTTGCCAGGGGCCGGGGGAGGAGGAATGGGGAGGTGTTGTTTAATGGGTCCAGTTTCAATTTTGCAGGATGAAGAGGCTTCTGGAGATGGGTTGCACACAGCGTGAAGGTAGAAGGTACTGAGCACGACTGAACTATACGGTAAAAATGGGTGGGTGGGTGGGTGGGGAGTGAAGGAGCAAAAAGAAATGGTTGAAATGGGAAATTTATATTTGTGTATTTTAGCACAATAAAAAACACCAAGAGTCTCCCAGGACTGGTAGTGCTCATTGAATGCTCACAACAGCCACGTAGGGCAGGGACAATCAACCCTATTTACAGATGGGCAAACTGAGACTGACCCTTAGAAGAGTGCACAAGCAAGGGTGCACCCCGGGGCGTCCAGCCTCCCCCAGGCCCTCCAGAGGCCTGTGCCAGTCCTGCTTCAGCTTGCTCACCCTGGGCCCCTCCCCACACCCCAGTCCCAGCTCCCCACGACCCAGCCCCAGCTCCCCACGCCCCAGGACCCCGGCTCTTCCGGGAAAGGCACCACATCCCCGTCCCTGCAAAGCTGGATTTACACAGAGAAAGAACTGGGGACTGGGGGAGCCACCATGGCTCAGGGCCTCCCATCTGCACTTCCAATGCCTGAGGGATACACCCCTAAGTGGACCCCTAAGCAGACCCCCAATCCTGGAGAGATGGGGGGGTCTTCGCTCCGGGGGGCACTGGTCATCCCCACCTTCAGCTTCCGGTGGCACATTTGATGCTAGGGAAACTCCAGACTGGCAGCCTGCAGGCCCTGGTGAGTGCCCAGGCCCAGCGCAGACACCCCTGTTGCTCAGGGGAGAGGCCCTGGAAAAGCCTGAACGGGACTCTCCCCAGGCAAGGTCCACATCCCAGGCAGGGCTGGGGTTTGACGCTGGTTTTCTGAGTGACACGGCGGGGGCCACAGCTGGGCTGGGGCTGGTGGGGTTGGGGAGGGGTCTCCCATCCCACCCCCACCCCACACAAACCGATTCCTTGCTGGACTGCGACCTCTTCCGGCCTCGGTTTCCCAGCCAGTCCCGGCCGGGCCGGACAGGCACCCTCGGGGGCGGGAAAAGGTGCCAGAGCGCCCGCCGGCCGGGCCTTAGCCTCGGGACTCCGGCGCTTGCCTGCTCCATGGGGCTCGGGGCTCGGGGCTCGGTCCGGGAGGAGGGGGGTCCTTTCTGCTCCAGGACAGCTGGCGCGACCGGTGGGCAAAGGTCCGCGGCCCTGGAGAACGCCACGGCGGGGTCCACGGACACCAGAGGAGGAACCGCCAAGGTTTTTCCAAAGGACAAGCGGCCCGGCCCGGCGGTCCTCCTAGTTCTTCGGCCCGCGCGCCACCCGGGAGGCCGAACCGGCCCCAGCCCGGGGCCCCCTCTCCAGCCCGCCCCAGCCCCGACCCTCCGCTGCGGGGCCCTCACGGAGCGGCCGGCCAGCGGGGAGCGACTAGGCTGCCGGCTGCAAGGCGTGTCTCCCCGGGACGCAGCTCCGCCCTTCCCAGGAACACAAGCGGCTGCCCGCGCCTGAGCTCCCAAAGGGCTGGCGGGCAGGGAGCGGGCGCCGCGCCGGCTCCCCGGAGCCCAGCCCCGGAAACGGGACACCCACAGCGGGTGCCCCCAAACTTCCCACCTCTCTGGTCCGGTCTGGGGAGGGGTCGGGGCCGGGGCCGGTGGGCAGGGCGCGGAGAGCTCATGGAGCTCTTAGGGTCTGCGGCCCCGCGGCTGGGGGTTATGCCAAGGGAGAAAGCGACGACGCGATGGGGAGGGACCGAGAGCACCCCGAAGCCGGGATCATCAAGCCGGAGCCAGTGGAGGGGCGCGAAGTCGGCGAGTTGGAAACTAACTGCAATCGTCCACTCGTAGCCTTCGGCGTCCGGCTCGTCCTCTGGCGGCTTGGCGGGCGGCTGCACAGGGCTGGACCTGTGTTGGATCCTCAGGCTCCGAAGATATGGTCCCCATCCTCGTCGTCGTGACACTCGGGACAAGTGGAGAGCCATCAGGACAGGGACCCACAGAACGCACACTCACATGTTCCTGCAGGTGCCAGCACATGCTGGGCTCCGCTCTCACGGGACACACGCAGGTGTGCAAGGACAATGCAAGTGCACACACACATGTGCAGACACGTAGTGGAAGCATCCACTCGCTCACACCTGTAGGACACACACACACAAACATATGCACACATACAGAGTTGGTTGAGGATGCTGTAACACAGTACACCCCCTAATGCACGTGCGCGTCCCCGCGTGCACACACACACACACACACAGGTGATCCAGGGCACCCAGGGCAGAATCTTCCCCAAGCACCCCTAACAAGAAGCACAAACATGCACCCATAGAAGTAATCGGGGGACCCTGGGCACAACTCCCTCTCTCCTTCCCCATCTACCAGGACATGGAGTCACACTCCTAGGCATGTGTGGACAGGCTGCCTACACACTGGCAGGACATGTACATGCTCAACTTTACAAGGACACTGTGGGAACACTCTGCGCACACGTATTCTCAGGTCACATAAACACAGCACTTTGTAACCTGGAGTCAGTCCCTCACTTGGTCAGTGAGTGGGCTGAAGCACCCACTGGGACAAGGTGGCTGAGAACCAGGACAGGGCCTGGTCAGGAGGGGTTGAGGGCAGGGCCTGGGAAGTGAGTGATGCAATGAGGTTGGGCATGATGGCATTGGTACCACCCCCCACCCAACCACCCACTGCAGGCCTCCCACATAATCGGGTCACTAAACAAATCCCAGAGGGCCCAGCCCCACCTGTTGCCTGGCTTTCCAGAAACAGAACTCGGTTGGGAATGGTTGCTGCTTGGACAGGTCTGTCCCCAGAAAGCCCTGGGCATGGATGGAGTCCTGTCTACCCTCTGGTTTCCACTGACACATTTATCTACCAACATTCTGTCCAAGTCTCCTCTTTGGAGCCCTCACCAGAATCACCCTTAATGAAGAGTCACAGGGAGAAGATGTCCACCCACGCATGAGGAGACAGGCCTGGAACAGAGCCTTCCTGCACAGCCTCAGAAGGGACCCACCCTGCTGACACCTTGATCTTGGACTCATGGCCTCCAGTACTGCGAGACAGTAACATTCTGTTGTTGAAGGTGCCCAGTCTGTGGTACTGTAAAACAGCCCTAGGAAACTAACACAGCCTGTTAGCCCACAGATGGTGGAGAGATGGAATGCTCTATGGAGCTCCAGGTTTACTGTCTGCAGCTCCCAAAGTGTGCTACGGGACCCTTGGGTGGGTGAGGTATGCAAGGTAATTTTGGGTGGTTCAAGGTGAATAATTTAAATTGACATAATAATATATTTATCTTGCTGGGTAAATCGGATCCCCACCTGTTAGGAACCAGGCAACACAGCAGGAGGTGAGCAGCCAGCCAGTGAGCAAAGCTTCATCTGTAGAAACAGCCACTTCCCATCCCTCACATTACTGCATGAGCCCTGACACCTGTCAGATGAGTGGTGCCATTAGATTCTCATAGGAGCATGAACCCTACTGTGAACTGCGCATGCCAGGGATCTAGATTGCGTGCTCCTAATGAGAACCTAATGCCTGATGATCTCTGACTGTCTCCCATCACCCCCAAGTGGGACCACGTAATTACAGGAAAACAAGCTCAGGGCTCCCACTGATTCTATGTTATGGTGAGTTGTGTAATTATTTCATTATATATTACAGTGAAATAATCATAGAAATAAAGCACACAATAAATGTAATGGGCTCGAATGATCTCTGCACCATCCCTTCCCCTTCTCCCAGGTCCGTGGAAGAGTTGTCTTCAAGAAAACTGCTCTCTGGTGCCAAAAAGTTTGGGGACCGCTGGTGTAAATGTTTCTAAGAATAGTTAAGCAACTTAAGCTTCACGTGCTACGAAGAATACAGCTTTAAATGCTAATAAAAATAGGTGCAAATGAAAACACTCTTTCTGTGGTCCAGGGAATCTTAACCATTCTATCAGAAAGACTTGCAGCTTGGAGCTGCAGCTGCCCTCCCACATCCTGTCCACTGTAAAGCCCTGCAACACACACATACACGCGCACACACACACACACACACACGCACACATGCAGATACATACACATGCATATACTTGCACACACACATGCACACACATGCACACAGATGCACATACATAAATACATTCACATGTATATACCTGCACACACACACATGCACACACACATGCATATTCCTGCAAACACACACAGACACACACACACACACACACACGCTGTGCTTCATGCCCTCACTAGGGTGGCCTGGGAGGAAATGCGTGTTTTTAGGAGAAATGAAGACAACTCAGGCCCCTCATTCTCCTGGTGTTTGCACAAGTGCCTTCTCTGCAGACCATGCTTCAGCCTCTTTCTTGGTTCTCCCTCTTACTGAAAGAGAGAAGCAGAGGCCCGGCACATACTCGGCTGCTTAGGGCTCAAGCCAAGTTCGCAAGCTTCCTGGGGAGCCTAGTGAGATGAAGGCACTGCAGAGCCTCCCCAAAAGAGTCGTCGGCTTTTCATGGATCCTTGAGCCCAGGAAGGCGATAGGTGAGACATCACAGTTCATCAGAAGACACGAGCAAACTCCGGCGAGAAAGGGCAACGGTCAAAGATTTTGTTCTCTCGGAAAAGGGCTCTCGGGCTGTAAGCAGCAGGCAGAAGACTTTATTGCACGCGTAGTTAGGTGATGGCGACCTACGGTTTTCACTGGGGACTGGGATCGAGAGTGACCCGACCTCCTACTCATGCTCGTCTCTCCCTGTCTCTCTCTTTGCCTTTTGTGTCTCTCTGCCTGTCTCTCTCGCTCCTTTTCCTCTCAGCCTCCTCTGTCTCTCTCCTTATCTCTCATCCTCTCTCTATCTCACTCCCTTCTCCCCATCTCTCTTTCTCTCTCCTTCTTTTCCACTTCTCTCACCCTCCTCATCTCTCTGCCTGCCACTGTTCAGGCTCCTGGGGCCCCACGTGGATGGGCGGACACAGGACTCCTAGGCTACCTTTCATAGCGCAAGCAGAGGGCTGCAGGACCTTGGTCCCCACCTCCCAGCATCCTCAAAATGAGGGGTGTGGGGTGTGCCGTGCTCTCCTGAGTGGGCGCCCCACACTCCAGGAAGCAGAAACTGCAGGTCACAGCTGGCTCGAGTGGTGCCCACGGGGCTGCCAGCTTCCATCGTGTGATCTGCTGAGGCCAAAGCAGAGGACAGCAGCCCAGGCCCATCTCTGCAGCAGGGTGGGGGTAGGGGTGGGCTTGGGGGTGGGGATGGGGATGGGAGCCGCCAATGCAAACTGGCCCCTGGCTGGTTTCCTACCCTGCACCCTGCCATGCAAGTCCTCCTCTCCTACCCCTACCCCTACCCCTGTCTGCCCCACCTCCACCCCTAGGCTGCCCCACACCCAGGCTCCAGAAGTCTCCCAGGATCCAGGAACTAAGGGCAGCCTCTGGGTTCCATAGCCCCTAGTCCATGAGTCAGCCACCCCTCTGCGTGCTGACAAACCTTGGCTCTCATGCCCCACCCCAAGCCAAGCACACAGCCCTGTCCCCCCACCAGCATTATCACCGCCTCCTGATTTTGGCCCTGACAGCCCTGCTTCCTGGTAACCTTGCCCCCTCCCACCCTGCTCCAGGCAAGCCCAAAGGCCAGGCCCTCCACCCACCCTTCCTGGGGGCCACTCTACTATCTCCTTGCCCAGATGTCTTAACCTGGCTTTACCAAGATAGAATAAATAACAGGGATGACGCCCCGGACCCCGCCAGGAAGATGTGCCAAAATACCCTCCATTTAGAAGCGGGAACAGTGATGGGGCCTATGGATGACCCCAGGATTGTCACCCAAGCAGCAAGAAGGGCAAGGAGCCCGGTTTCCTGCCCTTACCCGGGGAGGACGTGGCCAGGGCTCCAAAAGGCCCTGGAGAGGGGTGGGCAGGAGAGCAGATCCACCCTCCTCTTGAGGAAGCAGCCACCATCCCCAGGAAGAGCAGATGGGGGCACACAGGCAGAGTCCCCACGTGCTGTAGAGCAGGGCCAGCAGAACTGTACTCAGCCTCAGCCCCAGGGGAGCTGCAAGATAGACTGAGACCCTCACAGGTTGGGCTCTGTGTCCCCACCGAAATCTCATCTGGAATTGTAATCCTCCTGTGTCAAGGGAGAAACCTGGTGGGAGGGGATGGGATCTGGGGACAGTTTCCCCCCTGCTGCTCCCCTGATAGTGAGGGAGTTCTCAGGAGAGCTGATGGTTTGAAAGTGTGGCACTTCCTGCTTCTCCGCTCACTCCCTCCTGCCGCCTTGTGGAGAAGGTGCCTGCTTCCCCTTCGCCTTCTGCCATGACTGTAAGTTCCCTGAACTGGGAGTCGATTAAACCTCTTTCCTTTATAAATTACCTAGGCTCAAGTATTTCTTTATAGCAGTGTGAAAACAAACTAATACCCCTTCCCTGAGGCGCCTTCTCCTTAGGCAACCCGCTGCCCCCATGCTCCTCCTCTGCCCCCTGTCCTTTCTTTTCCCCTCATGAGGCCCAAGTGATAAACGGGGCCAGCCCCAGTCCCAGCCCCAGCCCCAGCCCCAGCCCCATCCTACTGCAGGCCTGTGTGGCTGCTGGAGAGGCCGTGTTCCTTTCCTCTCCCCGAGCCTGCCTGATATGCTTTCTGGATCCTGGAGGAAACTGACCCCCTATTCTCATACTGGTGCAACATCTTCCAAGACCTCAAAGCTGTACCATTTGAGCCAGTCTTTTTTCTTATCTCCACTTGCTAGGGCTGTCATTGGGACAGTCCTAGAGGGTGGTGCCAATGGATGAATGGATGGATGGACAGTAGTCCAGGGATGATGTCCCTGTCTGTCCTGAACCGGGCCCTTCCTCCAATGAGAAGCCTTCCTGAGTGAGTATATACAGTCATCCCTTGGTATCCATGGAGGATTAGTTCTAGGGTCCCCGGGAATGCCAAAATCCATGGATGCTCAAGTCTCTGATAGAACATGGCCTAGTATTTACGTATAAGCTATGCGCATCCTCCCGTATACGTTAGACCGTTACTAGATTATGATGTGTAATACAATGCAGATGCTACATAAATGGTCGTGATACTGTATTCTTTAGGGAATGATGACAAGAACAAAGTCTGCACATGTTCAATAGAAACATAACCATCCAATTTATTTTCTGAATATTTTCCATCTGCTGTTGCTGAATCTATAGATGCAGAGCTCCTGGATACGAGAGCCAAGTGTGCTTTGAGAGTAGGGTGGGTGAGGTTGCTAATGAGTACAGGGGAGCAGGTGTTGATCAGGAGGGCCCTGCACTGGGGCATCTGGACGTCCTGCCTCAGGACTTGAGACTCCAGTTGGATGGCACAGACAGACTCAGCCCAGGTCAAAGCCGTCCCCTTGAAGTTTCATTTTATCCCAAGCTCTTTCTGGACCCTGGAATTTGGCATCCCCTAGGCCCTGCGTGGAAGGACAGATGAACCAGGTTTTAGATAACATGTCTAGAAGAGTGAGCCCCTACTGTGTGCTCGGCACTTTCCCCACAGGATCCTCTAGCTAGAATATCCAAGGGTCATGGAGAGAAATACCCAGTTAAAATATCAGAAATGAAAAAGCGATACCATTAGAGACACTAAAAAGACCATTAGGTAATAGTATTAGCTTTTGTATTCTGAGATCCAACAGCAGCAGTCACTTCCCTCCACCCCTATGTGTATCCCAGGACCACCCTGGGCGGGGAGGGCTGAGGTTAGGGAGCAGCCATGGATGCTCTGATGCTGGCCCTGGGCCTCGGGGGTGACAGTGATGAGGAACTGGGTGCACACATGAGTGGGGCAGCCGGGCCTGGCCAGAGAAGCAACACACATGTGCACAGACATGTTTACCCACATACACGTGTGCACGCACGTGCACAAACACGTTGCAGGCAGGCATGTTGACGCCTCAGGCAGCGGAGGACCCTGACTCTGGGTGCTGCTGACCCGGGCAAGGCCCCACTGTGATTCGTGCCATGACCTCAGAATGTCACTGCTGCTTAGCACCTATCTGCTCTCTGGCCTGCCTCAGTGGTCTACAGCAGTTACACACAGGCAGTGGTATCTGTGAGCAGCTCTGTGGACTCAAAGGTTTTCTCCCTGAGAGGCATGACCCAGGCCAGCTGATTCATCAGAATCAGGTGAGCGTGACCTGCTCTCTTCCCTCCAGGCGGACTTGGGGACAGTGGCTACGGTGCGGGCGGTGTTGGCCTCTGTGGGGCAGCTACCGAGGAGGGTCATCCCTGAGCACTCACCAGGCGCCCGTTCTACACTGCCCGTGTAGACGATTGGCTCTTTCGTCTCCATGGTGGCTTCGTAGAGTGGGTGCTGTTCCCAAATGTCCCCATTCGACAGATGAGACGTCTGGGGTCAGAGAGGCAGTAACCGGCCTGGGAATCCGGACATGACCCTGAGTTTTGCTCTCAGCCCTGCCGTGTGCTGTGCTGGAATTCAGGCCTGAACCCTGTGACCTCCCTGCCCTAGATCCCAAATCTGCCCAGGTTTCCCATCCCGATGGGGCAGAGCCTGGTCCTGGCAGAGCCACTGGTATAGAGCCACTGGTACAGATCCACTGACGGTCCTCAGAACACCTCTGTGCCCTAAGCTGGGTCCTGATGGTCGCTGTGGGCCCCACTGAACACACATGGTCCCTTGTCCGGGGGAGCCTGCTGCCCTTGGGCAGCTGTGGAAAATGAAGGAGCCCTGGAGGGCTGGCTGAGGGGAGACTATCTTCCCTTGTGTTCAAAGGGGTCCGGGCACTAGGGTTCTCCCCAGGTATTTCTTGCTCTGCGTGGTCCTCTTGAGGCCTCGCCCTCCTTTTGCCTCGAGTATTCCCAGGAGGGACGGTCCATCCAGCTGTTCTCCAGGACCAAGGACCCACTGTTCTTCCTCAGTGACCCAGGAAAATGAAGCCTCCTCCTGTTGGGACGGCTCAGAATGGTGGACTCCACAGTCCCTCCGCGAGAGACGTGGTTTCCATGCGTACAATAGATCTTCCTCATCCCCCAAACCCAACACCCTCCTGCTCAACAGGCGTTATTCCTAAAGTGGCTTCACTGTTCAGACTGAAGAGCCACGGTAGCCAAAGTGATGAGCGGAGTAGAACCGAGCAGTCGGGAGAGATCTTGTTCCCTGTAGGAAACTGGGCATCTCTGAGGCCCTGAGCATCCCAGGAGGCCGATTGCACAGAGACCTCTGGTCGCTGACCCCAGTCTGCCTCCACATCCCTGGAATAGCCCATCATGGGCCCTTCACCCTTGGCAGGTGGAAACCATTCAACCTGCTGGGGCCGGTGTGTCCCCATTTCATGGCATTGGGGGACAACAGGATTCTCTGTCTAGGTCCCACTGTACTCAAGTCCTTGGGAAGATGCCCACCCCTGCTTGGGACTTGAGACTCCAGAGACTGGAGCAGCTGTGGGCCACTGGGTCTGGCCCCTTTTTCCCTGGGGGCGGCGGTGGAATGGGGGTTACGCAGCCAGCCAGCATCTGGGAGCCCGGCGAGAGCGGTTCAGGTGTTCTCCGAAGCCGCCGCGTACAGTGTGACCTTTAGACAATTTTGTCTCACAGGATGGACGTGGTAGAGGTCGCGGGTAGTTGGTGGGCACAAGAGCGAGAGGACATCATTATGAAATACGAAAAGGTACAAGTCGGTCTGCTTCTTGGAGGGAGGCCTCTTCCAGTGTGCCCTGGTCAAAGGGTCCTGGGCTCCCTAGGAGCACAGGGCAGGGACGGGTGGCCAATGCCCCCAGGCCCTTGCACCCTTTACCTTGGACCCCTCACCAAGGCTCCCTCTGGGCTACAGGGACACCGAGCTGGGCTGCCAGAGGACAAGGGGCCTAAGCCTTTTCGAAGCTACAACAACAACGTCGATCATTTGGGGATTGTACAGTGAGTCCTCTGCACTCCCCTCACCCCTAAAGCACCTGTCTCAGCTCAGGGATGGGTTTGCTTTTAGAAAGGCCTTTCTGACGCAGGACATGTCTCACCAGGTCGGGTCAACCTCCTTTCCAGGGACAGAACTCCTCCCTGACTCCCCTGCAGGTCCAGCCCGAGGTTGTTAGGCCAGAGGTGTGGGGCCCATCTAGGGAGCCGGTGGGAATGGAGACTGGGCTAGGTCAGGCCCCTGGGCGCTCAGCAGTTCTGTCGGCAAGTGAGCACAAGAGGAGCGGGGCAGCCTGAGGGTCTGGCCCTGTCTACCTGGAGACAACCCCGGTGAGATGCAAGGGTTATGGCCACAGGGTGAGGGGACGCCTGGCCCAGCCTCAGGGCTGTTGTCCAGCAGGTCTCTGAGGGCCCACCTGCCCCTGTTCTCCCCCATTCCCCTAGAGCTACAGCCCTCACTGTCCCGTGAGGGGAAAAGGCATGGTGACAATGGGGGCTGTAGCCCTAGGAGAACGGGGGAGAAGATGGGCAGGGCCCCGTTCTGGGCATCTCACGGTGAGGCCAGGGAGGCAGCAGGGCTCGCGGCTAAAGACCTGGGTCTGGTGCTGGGAAGGGATCTGGGGCCGGGTAAGAGGAGCCCAGCCAGGAGCCCATCCCTCAGGGATCACAGGATGGAGAGACAGAGGATCCCTGGGGAGGTAGGGCGGGAGGGAGCTGACGAGCCGTGCCACTTCTGAAACGCAGGGTGTGTGGCTCGGGTGCAGGGAGAGGCAGGTGGATGCTGGGAGGTCAGAACCTGCAAGGGCCTTGGGGCTGTCAAGTGGGGTGGGCCCCTGGTGCAGCCAGAGTACACCGGGCAGGTCTCAGGGCAGGCTCCCTTGACCCTGGCGGGGGGATGTGGTCACTCCCTGAGGGACTCCTGTCAGGGCCCGGTCGCCCACCCTGGGCGGCCCCCATCCCATCTCAGGGCTAACCTTTCTCAGCTCCAGCAGAAAGCACCACCTCGAGTCCAGGACGGGCAGCCCCACTGGGCAGCCTGACCGCCCCCCACGCCAGGGGCCCCAGTAACCCCGGCCAGGCTGTCCCTACACTCCTTCTTCTCCCAGGTCCTGCCCCTCCTGGGAGTCAGCCCCACAGGAAGGCCCTTGTCCTCCCTTCCCTGTGCCTTCTCCTGGGCTGAGCCCTGAGCTGGAAAGGGACAGAGCCAGTCCTTTCTGGGGGTCGGCACCCAGGCTGGGGCCGCTCCAGGCCCCGTGCAGTTCCTCAGCTCTGCCTGGGTTGCCTTACAGTGAGACGGAGCTGCCTCCTCTGACTGCGCGGGAGGCGAAGGTAAGAGCCTGATGCGTGGAGGGGCTGGTCCAGGGACGTAGGGACTGGGCGGGTGGTCAGTGAGGCAGAGGAAGCAGCTGGCCTGAGCGGTGGCGGGTGAGGGCAACACGCTGTCACTGGGAGGGGCAGCAGTCCCTGCTGGACCTGACCCCAGGTTGCTGTTCACTTTGGCAGTTTGATAAAATTCCAAAAGGAGAACCACAGTCCTGGCTTGGGGGTGGCTGCGCGCTTGTGTCAGGACCCCACCTAGAGGCTGGGACCTAAGACTGGTGTGTCTGTGGCCTGAGGATGGTACATCCCGGGGTCCCAAAGCCAGCCCACTGGTGCTCATTTGCTCAAAGGCTCTCAGCCCTTGAGGTCTGCCCTTCCCTGGCTCCTTCCAGCTGGCTCCCACCAGGGCTCCAGAGCCCAAGACCCAGCATCCGCGGGCGGCTCTGGGAAGCCTGGCAGCTCCGCTAACTCCAACATGCCTCATTTGACAGCAAATTCGGCGGGAGATCAGCCGAAAGAGCAAGTGGGTGGATATGCTGGGAGACTGGGAGAAATACAAAAGCAGCAGAAAGGTAACGTGTGGAGGGAGGAAGCACTCTCTGCAGAGACAGGGGACAGGCACCCATGGCTTGTGGCCTGGCACCATCAGCCTCTCAGAGGGTGGGCGGCACACTGTCCTCGCCCAGAGGACTGCAGGCCTGGTCGCCAGATTTCCTGCCTATTCGTGCAAGCGTCACCTTGCAGGGAGGGAATCTGAATCTAGGGCTGGGACTACCCGGAGCTCAAGGCTAGGGATGCCCTGGTGACCTGAAGGAAGGAAAAGGTTCAGATCAGAGTTTTGACTCTGAGTGTCCATCCACTCTTTCAGTCCTGGGAAGGGAGACCCTGTCCCAGCTTGATCTCACCTCTACTGAGGAATCATGGGGCCAAAACCAACAATTTCCAGAATCCCCGGGCTCTGGTCCTCACTGGGGTCACCCCGTGGCCTGTGACACCAGATTGTTTTCTGCCCACAGCTCATAGATCGAGCGTACAAGGGAATGCCCATGAACATCCGGGGCCCGATGTGGTCAGTCCTCCTGAACATTGAGGAAATGAAGTTGAAAAACCCCGGAAGATACCAGGTACGCTCAGCCAGAGCACAACAAACAGGACAGGCCGTGTCGGGGCCCAGGTCTCCAGCTGGAGGGAACGTCAAGACCACCCTGGGGAGCTGGGGGTGAAGGTCAGATGAACACCCTGGGCACAGATGGTGACACAGTCACCACAGACAAACTCAGCTCTGGTGACCCTCCCTGGCTTCAGTAACAAGCCAAAATGCAGCTTTCTGCAGAAGGAAACCTTCCTTCTGTCCTTCCTTCCCGAAGTGCTGACTGTGGGCTGACTGCCACTGGGGGCAGGGAGTCTTCCATCTGTTCTGAGACTGCTTCCTCCGCTTGGCCCTGCCCTACAGATCATGAAGGAGAAGGGCAAGAGGTCATCTGAGCACATCCAGCGCATCGACCGGGACATAAGCGGGACATTAAGGAAGCATATGTTCTTCAGGGATCGATACGGAACCAAGTAAGCCTAAGGGAGCCACAGGGTCCCAGCAGAGATGGGGTGAATGAGAGGGATGGGGGCTTCCCCGGAGCAGAAGCCAGGGTCACCCAGGAGGGATGACACAGCTGCCAAGAGCTCTCCCGGCCCAGGGAGCAGCCGGCACCATGAACCGAGCACCTCCCTGGTTCCAAGCCCTGGGCCAGACTGGAACATGTGGGGCCAGAACCCAGGAGGATCCTGAGGAGATGGAAGGCAGCAAACAAAATCATGCACAATGGTGAAGGGTGCTCTCCCTGACCCATGGGGACCCATGGTAGGACCCACGGGAGGGTGGCAGGATAGAGGGCCCATGAGCCCCCCCAGGCAACAGTGACAGCACCAAATGCTGGGAGAATTAGGGGTCCTGGAAACTCTCATCCAGGTCCGCTGGGAACATGACATGGCACAGCCACGTTGGCAGCCAGTTGGGCAGTGGCTCACAAAGCTCGATGGACTTGAACCACACATCCCCAAAGTGTCACAGATATTGAACCCACTGATTTGGAAACTGACATCCACATGAAACCAGCATGCCAGGTTCACTGCTTGACTCCTCGTCACTCACACACGGAGCCTTCGGGGACGGCCTTCAACACGGGAATGGGGAGAGCAAGGCTGGTCCTCCCTTCAAACGGAAGACCCAGTGAGAAAAGGGAACGAGCCGGTGATGCCCGCACGAACGTGGGTGGATCCTAGATGCATTTTGCTGAGGGACAGAAGCCAGACCCAATAAGCTACCACAGTAGGATTCCCATTCCTAGGCCATTCTGGAAAAGGCCAAACCACAGGGACTGAGAAGCAGTCTGGGTGGCCAGGGGCTGACGGATCGGGGAGAGGCTGGGTGCATAGGGGCCACCCTGGAGACTTGGAGGATGAAGGAGTCGCCCCAGGAGGGGCTGGAGCGGTGGCCGGGAGACTCTGCACATTGGTTTGGAACCGTGGAGGAACTGTACACACACAGACTGAACTGGCGTGTGTGCAAACTGAAAAAAAAAAAAAAATCATTCAGAGTGAAAAGGATCAGGCAAGTCACTGTACAACTGGGCTATTTGCATGTCACAGATGTGGATTTTACTGAAACATTTCTTCAAGAGTCTCAGGCCCTGAAGAGCTCACTGCTTATCTGGTGAAACATCTGAACCTGAAATGGGATTTGCTGTTAGGCTTTGTAGACAAAGTGAAATTAACAACATCTGCACAAAACAAACCAAAGCCCCCTTTCTCTGTTTCCTAGGCAGCGGGAACTACTCCACATCCTCCTGGCATATGAGGAGTATAACCCGGTGAGTATTCCCGGCAGTGAGGTTCCCGGGCCATATTTCCATATTGACAGGAGTGGGTGTCTGGTGGGGGTGTCGTTGCTTCTTTTAAAGTTAGTATTTGTGACCCACCAGGATATAGGAGGTAGGATGTCAGCTCACCGCTGGCATAAACCTCCAAGGAAGGGGGTGGTCTCAAGGGGTCAAGCTGAGACACAAAGGAGTCAGGGCCCGGACTCCTGGTGTCACCTGGGCCTGACCACCACTTCTCAGAACAAGAAATGACGCCCTCCTCCTGGGGCTGCCCCAAAGCCCAGGAGCTTGGCAGCATCGCACACAGGATGGTGCTATCAGCAGACATTTTGGACAAGGTGCTGAAGTGCCTGATGGACTTGGCTCTTGTCATGAAATGAATGTGCATCCTGAGGAAGCCTCTTTTTCAGAGGAAGCCTCTCCTTCAGAGGAAGCCTCTCCAGTCACCTCTGCCCTCTCCAATGACATGAGTCCTCCCAGGTGACCTCAGCCCTCCCAGGTGATGTCCTTCCATGGTGACTCTGGCTCTTGCAGGAGGTGGGCTACTGCAGGGACCTGAGCCACATCGCCGCCTTGTTCCTCCTCTATCTTCCTGAGGAGGATGCATTCTGGGCACTGGTGCAGCTGCTGGCCAGTGAGAGGCACTCCCTGCAGGGTAAGTGAACAGCTGCCCCGGGGACCTCCTGCAGCCAGACCTGGGGATGGCCACCCTGGCCGGGTGATCACAGCTTTCAGCCAAGGCACCCTCCTTGTGTCGCCAGCTTGTTGGGAGACTTTAGGATGTCTCTGCTGAGGGTCCCACAGGAGTCCACGGCTGACCCCCAAAGCCCAAATCAGACGCCTGTCATCCCCATCAGCAGAGGGCATCTCATCCTCCCCGTGGCCACCCTCTGTGTCCTGGAGCCACGCCCTCCGGCTCTGATTCTGTGCAGCTGACTCTCCCCTCCCTGAGAGTCCTCCTGCCCTCCAGCTGCCCGGGCTCCTGCTGCCATCGGTGCCCACGAATGGGCCGACCAAGCCCAGGTGGCAGCATCTCCCCATCCCCTGTTCCCCTGGCCCGACCCCACTACCAGGAGATGACCGGGAAGCCCAGCGCCCACCCAGTTCCGGCCACCCTGTCGTGGCCTGAAAGTCAGGCTTGCCCTTTTTGCACCCTGGCCCAGGAGGCCTCCAGGGGAACCTCCAGCCAGGCTCCAGGGAATGTTCCCGCCCCACCTCCCCAGGGTAAAGGCCGCATGTTGGGGTCACCAGATGGGAGGGTGGGAGTAGCCTTGGGGTTTGGGGGCCTCTCCAGCTGCCCAGCTCTTGCAGCTGATGGCTCCACATCTTGGGGGAAGGCTCTGATTTCATGATGGGCTGGGGGCTTCTCAGGATTTCACAGCCCAAATGGCGGGACCGTCCAGGGGCTCCAAGACCAACAGGAGCATGTGGTAGCCACGTCACAATCCAAGACCATGGGGCATCAGGTGAGTTTATGGTCCCCTCAGCTCTTCCCAGAGGCCCTGCCTCCCGTGGGGCTGTAGGAGCAGGGGGGCTGGGGCCCCTCGTGGGGCTGGTGACTGGCTGAGTCCCAGCCAGGGCCTGACCTGGGACGTCGGGTTCTCCATGGGCTGGGAGTTGGTTTCCTTTCCTGCCCTGGAGGAGACAGAGGCACAGGGATGGGGGCCCAGCTCCCGCAGAGCAGGGCAAAGGGCAGTGTGTCCACCGGGAGTGTGGGAAGGTGACAGTGTTGTGGGGAGCTCTGGACACCGCCCAGTGTTCTGCACTAGGGGAAGGGTCTTCAGAGGCCCTGGAAGAGGGAGGTTTTTAGGGCAGCCCAGTGGCCTGAGCACCTCTGTTGCTTCCATCAGGACAAGAAAGATCTATGTGGGCAGTGTTCCCCGTTAGGCTGCCTCATCCGGATATTGATTGACGGGGTAAGGAGGCATAGGGAGACCCTGGCTCAGGGACCTTCCTTGCCCTGCAGTGCCCTGCTTCCCCAGCCCGGGGGTCTGGCTCACTCCCAGCCCACAGAAGGCTCAGGCGGGTCCCCAAAGGACACACAAGCAAAACCCTCTGCCCAAGAGGGGTCATCCCAGGGCAATGGCTGGGGCTCAGGCCCAGCCTCATGGGCAGACTGGGCCAGGACCCGACTTGAGAGGGCTCAGGGAAGCCTCAAGCCCTGGGCAAGCCCCTCTCTCCAGGAGCCACATCCCCACTCAAATGAGTGCCCCCCATGAGGAGCTTCAAGACCTTGTCTGACCCAGCGTCCTGGAGGGCTCAGGCGACCCTCATGGGGAAGGTCACTGACTCTGGAGACTGAAGCCCCAGTGTGCGCAGCTCGAGCCACCAGCCCCAGCCTGGAAGGACCAGGTTCTTTCACACCTGCTGTCCCCACAGATCTCTCTCGGGCTCACCCTGCGCCTGTGGGACGTGTATCTGGTAGAAGGCGAACAGGCGTTGATGCCGATAACAAGAATCGCCTTTAAGGTTCAGCAGAGTAAGTCTACGTGTGCCCAGCGGGGCCTGGGGAGCCCTGGGGTCAGACCCCGACTGGCCCGAGGGCAGCTTCCTCACACTGTCCTCATGATCCGCTGTTCTGGCCCAGAGGGAGGTCCGGCCAGGTGGGCTGGGCAGGACACTGTGACACCGAGCCCATCCCTCACATGATCCGGACAGGGAAGTGCTCACCACACTCTCGACTTTCATCTGGGTCCCCAGCCACAGTCTCCTGTGTATATCTGGACACCTGGGGTGGCCACAAAAGGATCCGGCACCGACCAGTAGGAGACTGAAGTGGCCACGGGGTATGAGCTGTGACCATTCCCAGGTAACTCCCCTGGCCTGATATCCACCCTGTCCCTAGAGCGCCTCACGAAGACGTCCAGGTGTGGCCCGTGGGCACGTTTTTGCAACCGGTTCGTTGATACCTGGGCCAGGGATGAGGACACTGTGCTCAAGCATCTTAGGGCCTCTATGAAGAAACTAACAAGAAAGCAGGGGGACCTGCCACCCCCAGGTGGGCTCCAGTGCCATGTCCCCTCCCATGTCACCCTCTGGGGTAGTCAGTAGTAGGGGAGTGCCCGGGACCCGCAACCCTACTACCTGGGCCTTCCTCTTCACCTTTTCTTCCTCCTCTTCCTCCTGGACTCTAAGAAAGTACAGGAGGCCCACCGGTCCTCAGGGCAGGCGCTCAGTGCGTGTATACTGGACATGCTGTGCACGCAGGAGGGGGATGTGGGCAAGACCCTCCAACAAGCCCCCTCCCACTTTCCACGGTGTCTCCCTCTCCCCCTCGCAGGGCCCTCCAAGTTACTAGACGAGCCCAGACCCATTTGTGGGAGACCCCGCCCCTCCCTGCAAGCACCCACAGCCTCAGAGAGCAGCAGAGGCCCCTCACTCCTGCACGCTCCTCCAAGGTTGCCAGGACAAGAAGCCTGGAGCCAGGGAGACAAGGGAATCCGTGTCCCTGACCCACAGAGCATTCAGGGAGAGGGCACAGGCGGGACCCCGGGCCCAGAGCCAGAGCCAAGAGTTCAGCCAGAAGTGGGAACGGTCAGTCCTGGCATGGACTGGGCAGCCCAGGAGGGCAGAGGGTGACCCACGTCCGGGCCCAATCACCCACTGCGGAGACGGGTCCCCACGTGAGGTGACAAGGGGCTGGGTGACATCCAAGGCCCCTCCCACCTGAGTTCTGACTGGGGGCCGTATCCCAGGCCCAACAGCCCTGGGACGAAGGTGTGTGGCAGGAAGCCCCCAGCCAGTCTGAACCCTGGGGGCAGTCCCAGGAGCCACCCGCCATGCCACGACAGCTTCCCCACGCCAGGCAGCATGCACCCCTCCCTCTGGGATCAGCAGACTACAGGCGTGTCCTCGGTGTCAGGCCACGGGGGCCACACAGAGACCCCGAGGACTCCAGAGACGCAGGCAGGTGGGGCCCAGCCCGGAAAGGCCTGCGTGGGCTCACTGGAGATGCTGACCGCGTCTGTTTTCCTTTCAGCCAAACCCGAGCAAGGGTCGTCGGCATCCAGGCCTGTGCCGGCTTCACGTGGCGGGAAGACCCTCTGCAAGGGGGACAGGCAGGCCCCTCCAGGCCCACCAGCCTGGTTCCCGCGGCCCATTTGGTCAGCTTCCCCGCCACGGGCACCTCGTTCTTCCACACCCTGTCCTGGTGGGGCTGTCCGGGAAGACACCTACCCTGTGGGCACTCAGGGTGTGCCCAGCCCGGCCCTGGCTCAGGGAGGACCTCAGGGTTCCTGGAGATTCCTGCAGTGGAACTCCATGCCCCGCCTCCCAACGGACCTGGACGTAGAGGGCCCTTGGTTCCGCCATTATGATTTCAGACAGAGCTGCTGGGTCCGTGCCATATCCCAGGAGGACCAGCTGGCCCCCTGCTGGCAGGCTGAACACCCTGCGGAGCGGGTGAGATCGGCTTTCGCTGCACCCAGCACTGATTCCGACCAGGGCACCCCCTTCAGAGCTAGGGACGAACAGCAGTGTGCTCCCACCTCAGGGCCTTGCCTCTGCGGCCTCCACTTGGAAAGTTCTCAGTTCCCTCCAGGCTTCTAGAAGCATCTGGGCCAGGGCTCATGGCTGGATAATTTCCCTAGGCTTAACAACCCAAGCAAGCTTCGCATCCTCGTTTTATTTTTGGTTAAACTTATGAAAATGTATTAAGAAAGAGTGCAGCTCGAGAGAGATTCAGAGATGGAACACACCAGACCCCAGATCACAAAGCCAACCATGCCCAGCCCCTCCCAGCACCCCCAGCCCCACGACCATCGTTCTGAATTCTGACGACACCGTGAGCCTGCCTTTGTACTTCAAACTCATGGAAGGATAACCACCTTCATGTTTTGAAATAAATGTTTCCTGTTGAAATGATTTTAGATTTTAGACAGAAATATTGAAAAGGCACTATAGTATCCTCCTATACCTTCCATCCAGCTGCCCCTAATAATGATGTTTTGCAGTCCCATGGCACATAAGAAATTTAGGCCGGGTGTGGTGGCTCACACCTGTAATCCCAGCAATTTGAGAGGTCGAGGCGGGAGGTTCAGGTTCACTTGAGTCTAGAAGTCTGAGACCAGCCTGGGAAACCTAGGTGGACCCGGTCTCTAGAGAAAAGTCAAAGAAATTAGCCAGGCATGGTGGCGTGTGCCTATAGTCCCACCTAGTCAGGAGGCTGAGGCAGGAGGATTGCTGGAGCCCACGAGTTCCAGGAAGCAGTGAGCCATGATTGCACCACTGCACTCCAGCCTGGGTGACAGAGTGAGACTTTATCTCTTAAAAAAATTTAAGAAATTTAATGTGGGTACAGTTCTATTAACTAAATAATAATGTGAACTATTATCTAAGGTTATGAAGGCTAGAATTATCCCATTTTTGCCTAACTTCTCGTACCTGTCCCAAGATCCCACCTTGGACTCACCCTCTGCCTTCAGCTCACGTCTCTTCAGCTTCCTCCACATGGTCCAGCAAACACACACCTGGGCTGAATGGTAGAGCTGATTGCTCATACACAAAGGTAGACCGGTGGGCAGGGATTTTCAGACTTACACAGTCAATGAGTTTTCCTTGGTGTTCTGGAGAGCACCGTTTGAGAAACACTTTGACAGTGAATCTAGGCCTCAAGATCCATCAGCTGCTCTAGCTTGAATTTTGCTCAAGCTCAGTGAACACCTGCTCTGCCGGGTGCACGTGAAAGGGGCAAGGATGAGAAAGCTGTAGATAAAGAAGACAGGACGCAGGGGGTCTGTCTAAGCTCTATCCCCTGCCTTCAGCACTGAGGGATGAAATCCAACTCTTAGGGAACGGTGGCCACGTGCTGGGCCAGCCCCAGGCTCTCAGGATCTGACAGTGGGTGACGCAGAGCCAGGCCTTGCCCCTGGGGAGCTCTCCAGCATACACCTCCCTCTCCCCTCCCAGCGTCCCGCAAAGCAGGCGTCAACGCCATTGTTAATGCACGGAGGAGGAACCTGACTGTTAGACCTGGGTTTTCCAGGGTTGCACGGCTTCTGGGAGACGGATGTGACCCTGAGGACAGGGCACAGGCCAGTGTAATGCCAGGATGGAATGAGCTGTGATCTGTGCTGTATAGAGGCCTAGGCCAAGGTGGGACTGACGGATGACCAGGTCAGCCGGGTCACTGAAAACACTCTTGGGTCCTCACCTGCCGGTTCCCAGGAGTCCGGAACTGCCAGGAGAGTGGTGGCAGGTCCCCCATCCTCAGCTGGGTGGGCCTGGATAGAACAGCAAGGCGAGGGCACATTTCCCTGGCCATTCCCTCCAGGCACAGCTGTGACCTGTTCATTCCAAATTTGTGGAAGTATTTCCACACACACAGAACTGCAAATAGCAGTGGACGTGGTGAGAGGCGTTTGCACATGGGATAGGCAGGATTTTGGAGGCAGAGCCTCCAGGGCTTGCCGATGGGTTAGCTGCAGGGCTTGAGAGGGAACGGAGAATCCAGGATGATGTGTTCAAATCGGTCCATTCACCTCTTCCGTTCCACGCCTGTGCTGGGCACTGGGAGAGACAGATGCACACAGGAGCCCCGGCCGAGGGGAGGTGTGGGGGGAAGCCCAGAGTGTCTGGGCAGGGTAGGAAACCCAGAGCGTCTACTGGGAGCTGAAGGCTTAGGTCCACCTGGGTGCCGTCCAGGTTCTCTGCATGTAGAAGTATAGGCTGAGCTTCCCGGAGGAGGAGCAGCTGCTGTTGCTGGTGACCAGCACATTCAGGAACGGAGACTACTCTGTCAACAGACAGGGGGATGACCTGAGGTCTGGATGGTCTAGGGGGTGGTAGGGCCCAGGAGGACCCAGGAAAGGGTCTCGGGGATGCAGAACATCCTATGGAGGGCATTTGGGAGTCAGTGCTCAGGTCACTCCGGGTCACTCAGGTCATTTGCCGGCCCCTGTCATAATTATTGCCATATGAGAGTGCCACCCGTCCTATGACATATTTTATATATTTCTGTGAATGGCCTACTTGTTTGTATTTATGAATTTATGTTTAAAGGATGGGCAGGGGTGCTCGAGAGGTCCCCAGGAGTTTCCCTCTGGGGAGAGAGGGGCCCACCCCTTCCCAGCAGCCCTCTGAGCCCCCCGATCGCTTGGCCACAGCCTCTGCCTGGAGAAAGCATCCCCCTCGGAGATATATGGACATCAGAAGAAACCTTTCTCTGTCACCAGGACAAATCCTGTTCTTATTTGAACCAAGGCCAGTTTTCCTAATGAATGCAGGGAGGACAGCACAGATCAATGAAACCAGCAGATAATCCACAAGACTGTTTCCCAGAGCTGGGAGATTTCCTTCCCTGCCAACACTTTTCCTGAAAGGTCTTAAGAATGAGGCAAACAGTTTAAGTCTCTCTTGCACTGTTCTTTTAGTGAAAGAGTTCAATGAGGAAGGAGAGGAAGTGGAGCATATGCTTAGTTTCCAAGCTGGAAAAGTGGCCCATGGTTAACCAAGACTAGATGTAAAAGCACAGGTGGCCGCGGGTCCAGGTGAGTCGGTCCTACGATGGCACGGCTGCTAATGCCAGCAGATGCTCCTGTCCTCTCCTTTCAAGACTGACTTCTTCTGGTCTTTCATTCGTTAAAATAAAATTGACAGGGCATCATCCAAGAAGCTCTACACTTTCCCTTACTTGGATTTCAGACTCTAGATTCTGCTGAGATTTGAGCTTCATGGTGAACACATTCTTGTTGTGCTTGCTGCTGAGGGGTGTGGAGGACAGAGAGATGGTGAAATGGCAAAGTGGCTCTTGAGCATGGGTGGGGGAAGCCCCCACATATCTGAGTCAGTGCCACCTGGACACTACCCTTGGAGCATCCTGCTGAGGTGGCCATTCAGGTTTTCTTTCCTTTCCTTTTATTCCACTGTTTCTGAATCACAAATAAAGATCCAAGGCAAACAGCACATTCAGATCCCCAAGCTCTCCACCTCCAATGTGACCAGGGACGTGCACCACTTCAGGCTCATGCAGGACCCACAGCCTTTGGACCTCAGCTAAGGGACCTGCTTCTCTTCAGCACACGGGGCTTGTTTGTGTTGGGGTCTGAGCCCTGAGCGCATGGTCAAGGAGACCCCCAGGTCTTTCTGAACAGAGACAGCTGGCCTGGCGGCCTCCCTCTCACTGCATGCAAGAGTCTGTTAGGGCGGCTGTCTTGCTTCTGTGTGTTGGGAAATTCAATTTAGGTACCTAAAAATGAAAAGTCCCAGGACATCTCCATGGCTTGGGATCCACAGGAGAGCATCATTGATGCTGGGGACAATTTAAACATATAGAAACCCACAGGGCTACCTTAGACAGGGCACAGGGCACAGCACCCGGGGATGCAGAGTGGAAAGTTCACCACTACAGCCTGGAATTGCCTCTGTGATGCCTTCTTCATGACACTTGGCTGCCTTCGTGGCTGGAAGGCTGAGGCCCAGATCCCAACATGGCCACAGGCTAGCAGCTTGCTTCACCTTCCTGAACTGCAATTTCTCCATCTGAGCCTCTCTCCTAAGAGGAGTGTGCAGGGTCACTTAGCCCATATGGGCCAGAAACCCCACACGGTGCCAGGCACACAGTAGGGCCTCGGCAGATGCTGCCCCCTTCTGTCTCCACCACCCTCCTGGGGCTCCCTCCTGAAACAGCCTCCCTCAGCGCCTTGAGTCTTGCACCCTAACAGCCTCTTGCACGCAGTGAGAGGGAGGCCCCCAGGCCAGCTGTCTCTGTTCAGAAAGACCTGGGGGTCTCCTTGACCATGGGCTCAGGGCTCAGACCCCAACACAAACAAGCCCCGTGTGCTGAAGAGAAGCAAGTCCTTTAGCTGAGGTCCAAAGGCTGTGAGTCCTGCATGAGCCTGAAGTGGTGCAGGTGCCTGGTCACACTGGAGGTGTAGAGCTTGGGGATCTGAATGTGCTGTTTGCCTCGGACATCAAACATCTCACAGACTGCCTGGAAGAAGGTGGAGCAGACTGGGGTTAATGGTCAGCAGCAGCAGCATCCCCACCACTGGGGCTATCCCTTTTTAGGCCCTTACCGTGGGCCAAACACTGAGCCGTGTGCTTCGTGTAACTTCTAAGCACGCTTACCTGATAGGGTGACAGCAAAGACTCGAAGAGGTGCCTGGGCTTGGCACATAGTAGCTATTGCTACTATTATGAATGTTGTTTTGTCTTTGTTTTTGTTTTGAGACAGGGCCTCACTCTGTTGCCCAGGTTGGAGTACAGCAGTGCCATCATAGCTCACTGAAGCCTCAACCTCCCTGGGTTTGAGCAATCCTCCCACCTCAGCCTCCCAAGTAGCTGAGACTACAGGTGTGCGCCACCAAGCCCAGCCAATTGTTTGTATTTTCAGTAGAGACTGGTTTTGCCAAGTCGCCCAGGCTGGTTTCGAACTCTGGGGTTCAAGCAATCTGCCCACCTCAGCCTCCCAAAGTGCTGGCATTACAGGCGTGTGCCACTGCGCCCAGCCATTATGAATGTCAATATTGACATGATCTTGTATCCTTATGCCCACACTGGGAGAGGTCTGATTGTCCCCATGTTCCTGGTGTGGAACCACATGGAAGAGGCCTATGTTATCCCAACAGTGCAGAAGCACAGCCTGAGTCTCTTCTTTGGCTGAGCCAAGGGCGTGCTGGAGAGGCCTGACAGAAGAAGGAGCGGCCCTTGTGACCAGTGCCCTTTTGGTTCACAAGGAACTTCTCCTCTTGTTGAAGTGACTTGGCTGAGCTTGCTACTTCTGCTTTGAGAGTCAAATATCAGGATCAAGACTTTAATTATCCCCAATTTACAGATGATGAAACCATATTGGGCAGGAAAGAAAGTCACCCCAGGAGAGCAAGTTGGACCTGAGCACTGGCTGAGGACAAAGGGGAATGATAATTTGGGATGTAACTTGTTAAGGGGTCTCACAAGTGTTCTTGTGATCCAGGTGTCGAGAGGATACAGCAGAAAGGTTGCCAGGGAGATGAGGGTAGGGTACACCGCAAGAGTGGGAGAAATTAAAGAGAACACGCAACAAAGCCTTGGGACACTGGGAGGGGGATGGACCACCCAGTTTTGTGCTATGGGAGAAGAGAGCAAGAAAAGGAATCTGTGTTAAATCCCGACAGCCTGCATGAGAAGCAAATGCCCTTCATTTTCTTCATCAGCGGCGAGACTGGCATCCCTGCAGCTTTGGGAGACCATGCTAGTGTAGATGCCAGCTCACGCCAGCGGGCCTGACTGGGAGACCTTGGGCTGGGGTTCTGGTCTGGGGCTCCTAGGCCTGATGGGAGGAGAGTTCAGCCCCAGGTTTCCTGTACTTCAGCTCATATCCACACAATGGTAATTATTGAAATGAGAGACTCAAAAGAAGATGGAACGTGAACTTTTTTGTTGTCCCATGTGGACACCTGTGTTCGGTTTCCAGTTCTACCTTTGCTGTCTGTGTGTTCTTAAGTAACTCACTTAAACCTTTCTGAGTCTCATTTTCTTCATTTATAAAATAAAAGACGTAACATTTATGTCAGATATTGTCCTGAGGATTAAATGGGAGAATGAACAAGCCTCTTCTGCATTCCCCTGGCATCCAGTGGGTGGAGGCCAGAGAAGCTGCTAAACATCCTGCCAGGTGCAGGACAGCCCCCATCACAAAGAATTGACCGGATCCTGATGTCAGTAAGGCAGAATTGAGGATCCTTGGTGTGGGGGAAAAAGAATAAACTCAGAAGCTTGGCAGATCTCAGTTCAAACCCTGGTTGTATCACCTCTAGCTGAGTGACCTTAGGCAGGTCTGTGAACTCTCTGAGACTCGGCCTCCTCATCGGTAGAATGAGGTAGATAAAAATGCCAAGCTCGGCCGGGCGCGGTGGCTCACGCCTGTAATCCCAGCACTTTGGGAGGCCGAGGCGGGTGGATCATGAGGTCAGGAGATCGAGACCATCCTGGCTAACAAGGTGAAACCCCGTCTCTACTAAAAATACAAAAAATTAGCCGGGCGCGGTGGCGGGCGCCTGTGGTCCCAGCTACTCGGGAGGCTGAGGCAGGAGAATGGCGTGAACCCGGGAAGCGGAGCTTGCAGTGAGCCGAGATTGCGCCACTGCAGTCCGCAGTCTGGCCTGGGCGACAGAGCGAGACTCTGTCTCAAAAAAAAAAAAAAAAAAAAAAAATGCCAAGCTCACCCAGAAATAACCCCGTGCATATATGGTCAACAGATCTTTGACAAGGCCATCAAGGATATACAATGTAGATTCTTTTATTCCTTTACTTTCTTAATAGACTTGCTTTCACTGTACTGTAAAAAAAAAAAAAGGCACAATGTAGAAAGGAAACTCTCTTCAATGAATGGTGTTGGGGAAAGTGCATGAAAAAGAATGAAATTGCACACTTGTTTTACATCATATACAGAAAATTAGCTCAAAGTGGATTAAAGATTTAAATGTAATATCTGAAACCATGTAAATCCTGGAAGTAAACATAGGGAAAAATCTCCTCGACATTGGTCATAATTGGCAATATTTTTTTTGATGTAACACCAAAGCACAGGCAACAAAAGTGAAAATAAATAAATGGGACTACATCAATCTTAAAAGGTTTTACACAGCAAAGGAAACCATGACAAAATGAAAAGGCAACCTACGGGATGGAAGAAAATATTTGCGACCCATATATTTGATAAGGGGTTATTTGAAAAAATATAAGGAATTCACACAATTCAATAGCAAAAATTAATAAATACATGAATAACGCAATTAAAAATAGGCAAAGGACCCCAATGGACTTTTTTCCCCAAGGAAGATATACAAATGGCCAGCCAGCATATGAAAAGGTGCTCAACACCACTAATCATCAGAGAAATGCAAATCAAAACCACAGTGAGATATTGCCTCATAGGATAGGATGGCTCTTATAAAAAAACGACAAGAGATAACAAGTGTTGGCGAAAGCATAGAGGAAAGAGAACCCTTGTACACTGTTGGTTGGAATGTAAAGTGGTATAACCTTTACAGAAAACAGTATGGAGGTTCCTCAAAAAATTAGAAGCAGAACTACCATACGATTCAGCAATCAGGTTAGAACCTTGAAGAGAGATCTGCGCCCCATGTTTATTACAACACTATTCACAATACCCAAGATATGGAAACAGCCTAAGTGTCCAGCAACAGATGAATGGATAAATAAAATACATATAAACAATGGACTATTAGCCATTCAAAAGAAGAAACTCCTGTCCTGGATAAACCTGGAGGACATTACGCTAAGTGAAATAAGCCAGACACCGAAAGACAAGTTTTGTATGATCTCACTTATATGTGGGATCTAAGAGAGTCAAACTCATAAAAACAGATAGTAGAATGGTGGTTGCCAAGGGCTGGAGGTGGGGAAAATGGGAAGCTATTAATCAAAGGGTGTAAACTTTCAGTTATAAGATGAACAAATTCTGGAGATTTAATGTACAGCATAGGTGGTAATGGATGTAATAAATTTGATTGTGATAATTAGTACACAATATATACATATATGAAATCATCACATTGTATGCATTAAATATACACAATCCTTGTCAACTCAATATTTTTAAAAAAATTTTTAAAATGCCTAGGTCATAAGAATTCTGAGAATGAAATACAACAACATACATGAATGGACCTGCTACACAGAAGGTGCTAAATAGGTTTGTTTTGTTTTATTTTATTTCAACTCTGGCAGATGTAGACCTATTGGGAAAGAATATAGAATGCACTTGTGCACAAGGATTATCTATACGATGGTTAAATATCCTGCATACATGCCATGTCATTTCTACTCCTCAGTCAATGGATAATAAAAGCAGAACCAGCCTTCTGGTGGTCACAAAACATTTTGACATGAGAAAGGCTGATCATGAGCAATCTGGCAATGTACATCCCAGAGCGTGCATGCCCTTTGACCCACAGCTACCATGATGTCATGTCTAGCAATTAGTCCTAAGGAGATGATCAGAGATGTGTAAAGAGATTTCATTCTAACAGCATCCTCTGTAGTGGTATATGTCAGGGGCTGGTAAGCCATGTCCAGAGGAGCAGGCTGCATCTAGTCCACCACCTGTTTTTGTAAAGTTTATCAGAACACAGTCATGCCCATTCATTTACAAATTGTGTATGGCTTCTTTCCCTGCAACAGCAGAGTTGAGTGTTGCAACAGAAACCTATGGCCTGCAGAGTTTAAAATATCTACCCTTTGGCCTTTTATAAAAAAAGTTTACTGATTCCTGGTGAGTATATTAAAAAGTTAGGAAAACCTAAATCTTCCAGAGTGGAGAATTAGAAAGTAAGACGTGTTGTATATAAGACAGACAGTTTGTGTGTGCGTTTATTTATAAATATATTATTCTGAAATAATGTTGTCGACATATGTTGCAGGTCTTAAAAATTGGTCAATATATAGTGTTAATCAAAAAATGGCAAATTGTAAAATGTAGACAGAATGTGATTGTGTATTTTGTGCATACACCAACAGAAAAGGGTGCTAGGAAACCTGTGGACCAACATACTAAGTGTGGCTCTTTTGATGGTGGTATCATGGATTTTTAAAAATCTTCTTGGTTTTCTGTAGATTCTGACTTTCCTGTCATGAGTATGAATAAGTATGTATTTCTTGAGAAATGTGAAAATAACTTTATCTTCCCAGATTTCTCATAATTGAAAATGTTGGAATAAATGGTCCTGGGACAGATCTTTCCATTGAGAAGGGCAGAAGGGAAACCCTGGGGATTCAGCTGGGTTTCTGTTGCATTTCTGGTAACACACAGTTGTGAAAAGCCAGTGTTGGCCGTTCCCCAGGACAGTCTGGGGTAGAGGAGGTCAGGATTTAACTACCTGAGGGTCCGGGGAACAGATGTGGCCACAGTCCTTCCTGACTCACTGTTTTCCCTTCCACAGTCCCCGTCTTCTCTTCACTGATGCACATAGATGCCTGACCAGAGGAGAGATTTAGTTTTCGTCCAAGGATTATCTGTTATGTTGCAGTTCTGAAATTCCCATAACGTTTAGGCTAGAACACAAGTGATTTCATTATCTCCAATGTGTATGGCTTGATAGAAATAGATTCCATTATGTAGCACCTTAAATCCAGATAAAACATAAGGAATTTCTATTCCATGTTTGTATGATCAATGTTAATAATCTAAGAAAATCTAAAAAGAAGCTACTTCCTATATTACAGTATGAAATAAATATGCTGAATGATTTGTTTTGGGGGGTGGAATGGAAAGGTATAAGACTGAGGAGGGTGCCTGTGGGAACAGTGATAGGAATCCTTTCTTAAGGGTTGGGTTTTACATACGTCTTTTAAAATAGATGATATCATTAATAAATTATCTGTGGGCATCATGAAAAAAGTGTATAACGTACAACTTTATGAGCTTGACAGTTGGTGAAAACTTTTCTGTTTAAAATTTTATTTGGCCCTCCCCAAAAGAAATGTTTATTTATGAGTATTAGGATAGTTCCAGCAGTAATGCCTCAAAAGAACCAGGAGGTATAGTGTTGTCTAAAATGTGGACTCAGGAGCCAGACTGCCTGGCTGTGCAACTAGCCTTGTCACTTCCTAGATATGTGGCAAGTTAATTAACTTCTCAGTGTTCTTATCTGTAGAATGGGGATAATCCTAATATACATCTCAGGGTTATATTACAAATTAAAAAAGTTAATTTTGTAAAGGACTTAGAATGATATCTGGCAAATAAAAGTGTTCATAAAAGTAAACCCTATAAAAGTGTTTACTCATTAAATACAATAATCTGAAACCATTAGTAATTTAAACATTTGTGGCTGACTTGGTAATATTTATGAAAATAAATACTGTATTTATAATCTTTGACCTTATTTGACTCCTAGGAATTTATTGTCCAGCAAACATTTTCACAGGCAGACAAAAATATTACTATAAAATCACGTTTATTACACCAATCTGTGCAAAAGGAAAAAATAGACAATTAAAATGGCCATCAAAAGGAGTATTGATTAAGTGAATGATAGTAAATCCATTCAATAGTAATCATATTATCCAAAAAGAATGAGGCATAGTCATGTGATGTGGGAAGATCCACGGCTAATGTTAAACGGTAAATGATACAAACTGTTATGCCCAATAAAATACTTTCTGTGAGAGAATATATGTTAATTTATGCGAGTGGCGCCAATGTGGAGGGTTTATGCTAATTTCATTATACCTCACAGACAGACCTGGGCTCTCCCACTCATTTTCTATGTGGCCTGGGGTAAGTCATTTATCTGCTGGAAGCCTCAGCTTCTTCATCTGTCAGGCAGTGATACCCTGACTACTCTGCAGGGTAACTCTGAGATTTCAACGTGATCATCTCAGAATATGCCTGGCAAACAGTAGGAGCTCAGAACTTGATGTTTTTTTCCTACAGCAACTGCTGTAGGGGATAGCAGCTAATGCAAGAGGTTGGTAAATCCTTATATATATCAAATATTGTAGAAACATAACTACATGCTACTATTTTTTCAAACCCTCCCCTCACCCTTTTTTTTCCCCTGAGACAGAGTCTCACTCTGCTGCCCAGGCTGGAGTGCAGTGGCGCCATCTCGGCTTGGCTCACTGCAACCTCTGACTCCCGGGTTCAAGCGATTCTTGTGCCTCAGTCTCCCAAGTAGCTGGGATTACAGGCATGTGCCACCATGCCCAGCTAATTTTTTTGGTATTTTTAATAGAGATGGGGTTTCTCCATGTTGGCCAGGCAGGTCTCCAGCTCCTGGCCTCAAGTGATCTGCCTGTCTCGGCCCCCCAAAATGCCGGGTCAAACCTCTTATATCCAGTAAAACAGCCTCACTGGGTCAATGGATATCATGTGGCTGCCTAACATTTTTACTTTATAAAAGGTCTTCCTGAGGCCATTTGAAAGTATGGATCAAAACACTTTATGAACAGGGCCACAGGTTTGCATGAGGCTTGTCAGTGGACCTCCAGGATGAAGACCAAAGTGACTGTGCAATTTCTAGTGGAATAATTTACACTTAAGATCTTATTTATTTATCAAAAGACTGCTGTGAGGTAGGAATTCTTAACCCCCATTTGCAGAAACAGACTTTGCCTGACACCACAGAGCTAGGAAAAAGTGGGCATAAGATCCTCATCAAGTCTGACTTCCAAAAGAAGATTCAAAAAGAAACCTCCTTGCTACCCGCCAAATCTCTGTAGAGCCAGCCATGTTCACACATGAAACAGGACAATGACAATAGCACCAGGAATAGCTACTCCTGGTCAGATGCCCTCATGAGCTCAACTCCGCGGGATGGGGACACCGGGCCCTGCTTAGGGGAAAGGAAGGGGGTTTGTAGAGGAAGCCCAGCCAGCCAAGCAACCAGAGATGGGAAAAACCTATTGGGAAGAACTTGCTTGCTCTAGCTGGGCTTTGCAAAGAACAGGAAAAGATGAGTCTGCACAGACAGAAATGGTCTAGAATGGCTGAATGTTTCATGTAGAAATTTTATTTTATGATTAATACACTCGTGCCATTTCTTGGAACCACTTGCTTGTTTAATTCTAGTCTATCAAGTGATAACTTTGTTGATATTTAGAGGCTCCTCAGTTAATTTCTGTGGGATTTTTGGTTATATTTAATAAGGAAAATAATATGAAATGTCTAAGAAAAAAAGAAACAAAGTCAACTATTCCTGAGAATGTTTAAATTTATTGAAGTACACTTGTTAATTGTTAGTATAGAACCTACATTTCATGATAGAAAACCTTGGACTTGCCAGTTGTAGCTGCTGGAATGAGGTGTTTGTCCAGTACATCCAGAACGTCGCCACAGATTAACTTTAGCTCAGTCTCAACCTGAAAAAATAAAAAGAAATTAAAAAAATCAGATCGTTGAAGTCTAGAAATTCTGTAAATTATTACACATTCTATCTACCTCTGGTTTTGAGGAAGAGAGCTTAGTGTTACAGAGAATTCATTTCCCTCTCCAAACTCCCTTCCTCCCTTTTGACATAAAAGCAGAGAAAAGCTGCCTGTCGGTTATCAAAAGTATCTTTTCCTTCCTGCCTGCAATTAAGTGCTACACACACACCACCCCCCACCCCAATACCCCCTCACAGTCCAACTGCAGAATCACCAATGACTGAAACTAAACACTGATGCTACTTGGTAAATGCTGGTCAATTACATGAATCTTTCACAAAGTAGCAACTATTGTGTCCATTTACTGGGGAAAACAGAAGCTAAGACATTTGCTCAAAGGTCATCCCCTTAAAAGAACGTAATAAGCAGAGCTAGGATTTGAAACGAGGCAGGGTGCAAGGGACAGAACAAAATTCAAACCCAGGCAGTTTGCCTTCAGTACTTACATTCCTAACAAGGTTCAACAGGCAATGCCTTTAGTGGAAGAGACCAAAAACTAGTTAAGATACCAAAAATCTGTGGACCAAAGTAACAGTTGCCACTCATTTATATTCATTTATAATGCTAAAAATGTGCACCACCTCTAAAGGCACATACCCAGTTTACGTCTTTTTTTTTTTTTTTTTGAGAGGGAGTCTGGCTTTGTCACGCAGGCTGGAGTGCAGTGGCGTAATCTCAGCTCACTGCAACCTCCACCTCCCGGGTTCATGTCATTCTCCTGCCTCAGCCTCCGGAGGAGCTGGGACCACAGGTGCCTGCCACCACGCCCAGCTAATTTTTTGTATTTTTAGTAGAGATGGGGTTTCACCGTGTTAGCCAGGATGGTCTCGATCTCCTGACCTCGTGATCCGCCTGCCTCGGCCTCCCAAAGTGCTGGGATTACAGGCATGAGCCACCACGCCAGGCCTGTTTTTTGTTTTTTAGACAGAGTCTTCCCCTGTCACTCAGGCTGAAGTGCAGTGGCCCTATCTCAGCTCACTGCAGCCTCTGCCTTCCAGGTTCAAGCAGTTCTCATGCCTCAGGCCCCTGAGTAGCTGGGGTTACAGGGGTGCGCCACTGTCTCGGGTTAATTTTTGTATTTTTAGTAGAGATGGGGTTTCACCATGTTGGCTAGGCTGGTCTTGAATTCCTGGCCTCAAGAGGTCCACCTACCTCGGCCTCCCAAACTGCTGGATTATAGATGTGGGCCACGCGTGGCCCAACTCTACTATTTCAATGCAGCTCCTGTACCCTAGGTCATCACTGACTTCCCAGTTGCTGAATCCAGTTGTCTTTACTGAGTTGGTCCTTAATTTAACTTTCTTTTGCATTGAAGCTACTGACTGACCACAGCATTTTGAAACTCTGTTCCTCTTATTACTGTGATTCTACTTTCCTTATTTTTCATCTTATCTCTTAAGTCTGTGGCTTCTCAGACTTCCTCACAATTGATTGCTTATTTTAAAAATTCAAAAATTTAAACCTCCCGAGCAGTTCAAAAACAATATACCTTTGAAATTTTTTAAACTTTTCAGAGTTGCAAGAATAGTTCAGTGATCACCAGGTGTTACCATTTTGCCATATTTTCTTTGTCTCTGTGTCCCTCCCTTTCTACCTGCCCCCACATATATGTGTATCTATGAATATTGACATTTTTTAACATTAATAAATTTTCTTTCTGTACAATTTGAGAGTTAACTGCAGATTTCATAGCACTTCACCCCTAATTTCTTCTATACATCTCCTAAGAATAAGGGCATTTTTTTTTTTTTTTGAGAAGGAGTCTCACTCTGTCACCCAGGCTGGAGTGCAATGGTGCAATCTTGGCTGACTGCAACCTCCACCTCCTGGGTTCAAGTGATTCTCGTGCCTCAGCCCCCCAAGTAGCTGGGATTACAGGTGCCTGCTACCATGCCTGCCTAAGTTTTGTAATTATAGTAGAGATGGGGTTTTGCCATGTTGGCCAGTCTGGTCTCAAACTCCTTACCTAAGGTGATCCGCCCTCCTTGGCCTCCCAAAGTGTTGGGATTACAGACGTGAGACTCCATTCTCAGCCTCTTTTTCCTTTTGTAATTAACAAGTGATCTATGGCATGATAGAAACAGTGTGAATATTCTGTCCCATAATAATCTTTACTTAATGGTTTCATCTGGATGGCTTCTTGCCCAAATCAAATATTACTATAGTGATTAGAAAATGGAGACTTTTCTACTTTTTCTGTATTTTTCCTATATTGTCATTCTTCTGTAAAGATTTTTTTAAACTCTTTTTTTTTTTTTTTTTTTTTGAGACGAAGTCTCGCTTTGTCACCAGGCCGGAGTGCAGTGGTATGGTCTCAGCTCACTGCAACTTCCACCTCCGAGGTTCAGGCGATCCTCCTGTCTCAGCCTCCAGATTAGCTGGGACTACAGTCATTCGCCACTGTGTCCAGCTAATTTTTTGTATTTTTATTAGAGATGGGGTCTCACCATGTTGGGCAGGATGGTCTTGATCTCTTGACCCCATGATCCAGCCACCTCAGCCTCCCAAAGTGCTAGGATTACAGGCGTGAGCCACCGCGGCTGGCCCTATACTCCCTTTTTAAATTTTTTTTTTTTTTTTTTTTGAGATGGAGGTTCACTCTGTTGCCCAGGCTGGAGTGCAATGATGTGGTCTTGGCTCACTGCAACCTCCGCCTCCCAGGTTCAAGCAATTCTTCTGCCTCAACCTCCTGAGTAGCTGGGATTACAGGTACATGCCACCACACTCGGCTGATTTTTGTATTTTTAGTAGGGATGGGGTTTCACTATGTTGGCCAGGCTGGTCTTCAACTCCTGACCTCATGATCTGCCCGCCTCAGCCTCCTAAAATGCTGGGATTACAGGTGTGAGCCACTGCACCTGGCCCTTTTTTTTTTTTTTTTTTTTTTTTTTGAGACAGGGACTTCCTCTGTTGCCCAGACTTGAGTGCAGTGGTATGGTCATGGCTCACCACAGCTTGGACACCAGGCTGCCTCAGCTCACTGCAACCTCTGCTTCCCGGGTTCCAGTGATTCTCGTGCCTCAGCCTCTGGAGTAACTGGGAGTACAGGTGCTCACCACCATACCTGGCTAATTCTTGTATTTTTAGTAAAGATGAGGTTTCACCATGTTGGCCAGGCTGGTCTCAATCTCCTGGCCGACATGGTGATCCACCTGCCTTGGCTTCCCAAAGTGCTTCATATTGTTAGCCCTAATTCTAGTCAAATTCCATAGCGTTTTTCTTCTTTATTTTTATTTTTTTATTTTTGAGATGGAGTCTTGATCTGTCCCCCAGGCTGGAGTGCAGTGGTGTGATCTCGGATCACTGCAGCCTCCACCTCCTGGGTTCAAGCAAATCTCTGCCTCTGCCTCCTGAGTAGCTGGGATTACAGACACCTGCCACCATGCCCAGCAAATTTTTGTATTTTTAGTAGACACAGGATTTCATCATCTTGGCCAGGCTGGTCTTGAACTCCTGACCTTGTGATCCACCCACCTCGGCCTCCCAAAGTTCTGGGATTACAGGCGTGAGCCACCGTGCCCGGCCTGTATTAGATATTTTTAAGTCAGTTTCCTAAGACAATTAAATATTTCAGGTAGTTGGGACTTTTCTTTTTTTGGTTTGTTTTATTTTGCTTAATTTAACCATTTTAAATATGATTCTCTGGGAATTTTTTCTTCAAAATATAGAATATGTGTGCATTAGTTTGCTAGGCTTGCTGCAACAAAGTACCACAAACTGGGTGGCTTAGACAACAGAAATTTATTATCTCATAGATCTGGAGACTAGAAGTTCTAGATCACGTTGTTAGAGTTGGTTTCTTCGACAACTGTGAGAAACCTTATGTTCCATGCCTCTCCCCTGGCTTCTGGTGGTTTGCTGGTCATCTTTGGCATACTTTGGCTTGTAGGTGCATCACCTGGATCTCTGCCTTCATGTTCACATGGTGTTCTACCTGTGTGCGTATCTGTGGCCAAATTTCCCCTTTTTATAAGGATACCAGGCATATTGGATTAGGGTTCCTCTCTACTCCAGTAGGACCTCATCTTCACTAATTACATCTGCAATAACCCTTTCCAAATAAGGTCACATTCTGAGGAACTAGAGGTTAGAGTTTCAACATACGAAATTTTCTGGGGGGTGAGTAAGGGACACAATTCAATCCATAACAATATGTTTATGAGTAAATGAGTTAGTGTGTTATTGTCTTTCTGCCACCTCAGAATCTGAGAAAACACAGTTTCTTTTTCCATTCCTTGGGCTGTAGGTGGAGAAGGAGGAGGATGATGATGGTGATTATTTTTTGGTCATGCCCCATAATGTGACCCACTTTAAAAAACAACAAACAATTGTAAGGAGGAGAACTGTCATACACCTACTGCCCAGCTTAAAAATAATTAGATCATCTTCTTTAAACATAACTGTCATCCCATCATCACACCTAAGAAGTTGACAGTTTCCCCAGTTTTTTTTTTTTCTCTTTTTTTTTTGAGATAGGGTCTTTCTCTGTTGCCCAGGCTGGAGTGCAGTGGCATGATAGTGGCTCATGGCAGCCTCAGCTTCCCAGGCTCAAGGGATCCTCCCATATAGCTGGGACCACAGGGGTGCATCACCACATCCAATTTTTTGAATTTTTCTAGAGATGAGGTCTCCCTGTGTTGCCCCACCTAATTTTTTTGTTGTTGTTGTTCCATTCTTTTTTTTCCTCCTGTTAATCAAGGTCTGTATGTAGTTTGGTTACTATGTCTCTTAGGTCTCTTTTCCTTTATAGATTCCCCTCGTGATTTACTGAAGAAACGGGGTCATTTGTCCTGTAGAATTCTCAAATTTTGATTTTGCTGATATTATCCCCAGAGTGTCATTGACCATGTTCATCTGTTCCCCAAATTTCCAAAAACTGGTAGTTAAATTTAGGTGGTTGATCTGATTCAGATTACACTCTCAGTATCGCATATGCTTTGATCAGGAGGCATAATGTGTACTTGTGTGTGCGTATGTGTGTTTTTTTAGTGATGTTAGTGGTCACTGCCTGTGTCAGCATTTCACTACCAGGGTAATTTGGCAATGTCTGGAGACACACTGTCACAGCTTGGGAGAGGGAATGCTATAGGTACCTTCAGGGGTAAGAGTCAGCACAGCACAGCCCCCTAACGCAAAGTATTAATAGGCCTAAAATGTCAGTAGCCCTGAGGTTGAGAAACTCTGGCCTACTTTTGTAGTTTCATCAGGTGTTTGTGAAATGGTTTTATTCTAACTGTTATTTCTTCTTTCTTTGTTAGCTGGAATTCTTTCATAAAGAGAAACTCTTTGATCAGTTAGTTACCCAAGGTACAGTTCATACAGAAAAGGCAGGATGTATGTTTGATTCTTTCCTAGTTTTCAAAATAATGAATTAGTTTCCTAGCATCTTCCAAAATTGACCAATGAACTTTGTGTGTGTGTTTTTTTCTTTTTTAGTATATTATGAACTTACACGTTTTAACATATTTGTGTTTCCTTTCATCGCAGTTATTTTTATTTTATTTTTATTTATTCATTTATTGTTTTCAGGCAGGGTCTTAACTCTGTCACCCAAGCTGTAGTGCAGTGGTATAATCGCTGCCCACTGCAGGCTTGACATCCCGACCTCCAGCAATCCTCCCACCTCACCCTCTTGAGTAGCTGGGACCACAGGTACACCACCATGCCCAGCTAATTTTTGTGTTTCTGGTAGAGACGGGGTTTTGCCGTGTTCACCAGGCTGGTCTTCAAATCCTGAGCTCAAAAGCAATCCACCTGCCTCTGCCTCCCAAAGTGTTGGGATGATAGGCGTGAGCCACCGCACCTAGCAGTTATTTTTATTGGTGCTCGTTTTTTCCCTTCGTTGAATGCTGGGTGCAGTGAATGCTGGGTGCATCTTCATGTTGGGTTCTGAGTCCTTTTGACATGAGCACATTGTCTGGTGTTGTACGAGAGAGCAAAATAAGGAAACTGGTGTTCTATGCTTATCTTGTACATTTTCCCCACACTTGGAATCAGCCATTCCTCCAGGGAGTGCAGGTTCACAGTCTGGGCTCTAAGAGAATTATAAGGTCAATGTGGTCATCATCTTTTAGTATTAAGTCAGATATTCTAAATTATTATTTACTTCTTACATTTGGCCCAAGAGTTTAACCAGATATTTTGGGAAAGAGAGAAGGAATTAAATAAATAAATCTCATGGTTAGAACTGAAGTGATAACTATACTTTCACAAGGAAATATAACTTATAACCCATGCGGAATAGAAAATTATTTTTGCTCCTTTAGATTTCTGAAGGAATGAAATGAGCTGTGAGAAGAAACTTTAACTGGAGCATCTTACCAGTATTATTCATGTTTTAACTCTGCTTCAGTAGTTTTTCAGGTTTATTACAAACCTGCAGTAGCCAACTGAATTAATTATCTCTAAACAGGGATTTAGCCAGTGGACTAGGCACACTGAAGCTTTGTGAGAGGGGAAATTGATATTCACATTTTTTCCAGCTTGTTTTGAGCTCGATATATTCTTTTCTTTTTTTTTTTTTAATTGAGACAGACTCTCGCACTGTCACCTGGGCTGGTGTGCAGTGGCACGATCTCTGCTTGCGGCAACCTCTGCCTCCCAGGTTCAAGCAATTCTCCTGCCTCAGCCTCCCGAGTAGCTAGGATTACAGGCGCCCGCCACCACGCCCGGCTGATGTTTTGTAGTTTTAGTAGAGACGGGGTTTCGCTTTATTGGCCAGGCTGGTCTTGAACTCCTGACCTCAGGATCTGCCTGCCTCAGCCTCCCAAAGTGCTGGGATTACAGGCCTGAGCCATCATGCCCAGTCAATATATTCACATTTTTAATAGGAATAACAGTATACTAAAATCTTTTTTAGTGCATGTTTAAGATTTGAAGATGTAATTTGACTCAGTACTTTCCACTTGCATTTTTTTCTTCCACTTGCATTTCTCCACTATTAGAAAAGTGCCTGCTAAGACTATTCTAATACTTTATTATAGTTAACCCCTGCGAAAAGAGCTCCCAGAGCTTACAGTGCATTTAATTGATGTCATATGGACTATTCATTATTTTCTAAATTATTTTGTTTGTATAAAGCAATCTGAAGAGGATGTAAGTCAGTTTGATTCCAAGTTTACACGTCAGACACCTGTCGACAGCCCAGATGACGCAACTCTCAGTGAAAGTGCCAATCAGGTCTTTTTGGTAAGTGAAAGAATTTCCATGTAGTCATGGGAAATTTTAAGTATGAGGATGGGCTCTTCGATAAGAAAATTCAGTTTGCTTGCTTTGCAGCTCATGTAGGTAACCTGGCCCACTTTTTTTTTTAAATAAGCCATGCTCTTATAACTTATTGATACCTATAAAATTGATTTTCATAATCCAACATTTTATTTTAGCAATTAGAGTGGGAATGTACAATTCTTTGGAGAGTATGATTCCCTTTTTTGGTTGGGCCACAGACTTAAAATGATGTTTGGCTTAGCATCTCAACCAAAAATTAAGTCATAGCAGTGGGAGAGAAAAACCTCACTAACTACATGTATTTTATTTCTGAAACAGCTATAGATTTTTGGTACCTTTTTTTTTTTTTTTTTTGAGACAGGGTCTCACCTTGTAGCCCAGGCTGGGTGTAGGGTGTAGTGGTGTGATCACAGTTCACTACAGCCTTGACCTCCCAGGCTCAAGTGATCCACCCATTTCAGCCTCGTGAGTACCTGGACTACAGGTGTGTGCCCCATCCAGCTAATTTTTTATTTTTTTGTAGAGACAGAGTCTCACTATTTTACTCCTGGACTCAAGCTATCTTCCCACCTCGGCTTCCCAAAGTGCCAAAATTATAGGCATGAGCCATCATTCCTGGCCCTATTTTTGGTACTCTTAACATAAGTAGGGGATTTTTTTTTTTTTTTTGAGACTGAGTCTCACTCTGTCGTCAGGCTGGGGTGCAGTGGCGCGATCTCAGCTCACTGCAACCTCTGCCTCCTGGGTTCAAGTGATTGTCCTGCCTCAGCCTCCTGAGTAGCTGGGACTACAGGCGCCTGCCACCACGCCCAGTTAATTTTTGTATTTTTAGTAGAGACAGGGCTTCACCATGTTGGCCAGGATGGTCTTGGTTTCTTGACCTCATGATCCACCCGCCTTGGCCTCCCAAAGTGCTGGGATTACAGGCATGAGCCACTGCGCCCGGCCAAGTAGGGGATTTTTTAAACCTAATTGTGAATATTTGACATCAAATTATATTGGTTCATATGTAATAATGAATTCTCATTGTAGAAATATCCGTATAGATTTATAGCTTGTCTCCTCAGAAAAGTGAAGGTTTTAGATGTTGGCCAACAGAAATGATGGATTTATATCAGATGACCATCAATGCATACATACTATTTTGCTTAAATACCATATATGCTTGTTGATTTTATTACTGTACTTATATGTCACATGAACATCTTTCTCATTTTGTATCCTTTTTTTTCTTTTGTCGTTCCTGTATGGACTACCTCTAGGGAGAATAGAATATGGGGAAAACAATTGTTTGGGAGTGGTTTTTTCCCTCTTTTTGAGTTCACTGGATTTGTCACTAACTTAATTCTATGCTTTTCTTCCCCACACTGCTCACTATATAACACAAGTAGTGTTGTATCTTATGGGATGGGAAATAAGCTCTAAAGTTAGCATGGAGTTGGGACATCGTGGCTCACGCCTATAACCTTGAGGTCAGGAGTTCGAGACCAGCCTGGCCCACATGGTGAAACCCCATCTCTACCAAAAATACAAAAATTAGCCGGGTGTGGTGGCATGTACCTGTGGTACCAACTACTTGGGAGGCTGAGGCAGGAGAATGACTTGAACCCGAGAGGCAGAGGTTGCAGGAGCCAAGATCGTGCCACTGCACTCCAGCCTGGCCAATAGAGTGAGTGAGACTCTGTATAAAAAAAAATTAGTTAAAAAAATAAAGTTAGCATGGAATGCAAAAGTTGTGTATAGTACAGTATGGTTTCAAGTAAACAACACTGAATAGTAATAATCCTATAAATTAGTAATATAGAGCACGTAGGCAAAATATAATCTTACAGTATTAATTACATAAGAGATAAAAGATGAGTGAGTGCATGCATGTTTTTAAATTCAAGTTTGATGTGTGCATGATCAAAGTTACGGCATCTCTGTTAGTAAAATCTTAGGTTCACTCAGGGAAGTGGGCATGGATCACTTTAATTTTGGCTTTTTTTTTCTCTTTCATGTACTACTGATGTGGAATTTATACCTTTGATTTAACATAGAGACCTTTTCATCAATTGAACATTGCAGAATTTCAACTTATGTGACAGTTTCCCCCCACAAAATAGAAGCATTTTATTTAGCTACCAAGAAATCCTAAGTTGTGGTGGTAAATGTGAGATATTGACGCTTTCATTGCCAGTTAAAGTATTGTTGAGCTTTTCATAATTACTTAAATTGGCTATAACTGATGAACAGAGCAACTCATTTGTTAGGTTGTAGCCAGAATTCTGTACATAAAGTGGGTCTCTTGAAACATTAGTAAAAACAAAAATAGGCCAGGTACAGTGGCTCATGCCTGTAATCCCAGCACTTTGGGAGGCTGAAGTGGGTGGATCACAAGGTCAGGAGTTCTAGAACAGCCTGGCCAATATGGTGAAACCCCATCTCTACTAAAAATACAAATATTAGCCAAGTGCGGTGGCACACGCCTGTAATTCCATCTACTCGGGAGGCTGAGGCAGGAGAATCACTTGAAACCAGGAGGTGGCAGTTGCAGTGAGCCAAGATCGTGCCAGTGCATTCCAGCCTGGGCAACAGAGCAAGGCTCTATCTCAAAAAAAAAAAAAAATTCCGCATACATAAGAAGAGAATATGCATTAAAAAAATCAGCAGAGCCTCACATTCCAGGATTTTCTACACAAGAAACCATTCCTAAAATATGTGCTTGGAATTACTAGGGTTTCTCTTGCAAACATTTTAATAACACCTCATTCGTTTTTTTTATTATAATATTTATTTAAGCAAAATTTCTTTTTTTAATTTTATTATTTTATTATTATTACACTTTAAGTTGTAGGGTACATGTGCACAATGTGCAGGTTAGTTACATATGTATACATGTGCCATGCTGGTGTGCTGCACCCATTAACTCGTCATTTAGCATTAGGTATATCTCCTAATGCTATCCCTCCCCCCTCCCCACACCCCGCAACAGTCCCCAGAGTGTGATGTTCCCCTTCCTGTGTCCATGTGTTCTCATTGTTCAATTCCCACCTATGAGTGAGAACATGCGGTAACACCTCATTCTTTAGGGGTGTGGTTATATGTGTCATGTTATTAGATCTTTACAGCAACTCTCCTGGGTAAAGCGGTTATTACTAGGTCATTTTATAGAAGGAAAAATAACCAGTACTTTTTTTGCTTTACTTCAGTAGCTATTGCCTCCTTCAATTTGACATTTCAATCCTGGCACATAGTGGGGGCTCAACAAATATTTGTTGGAGGAATGCCATTTAAAATACAGTGATTGGATAGGAGAATATTTGAGGGCATTAACAGTTTTTAAAAGCCAAAAAAAAAATTACAACTGGACTTATGAGATTTTGATTTTTTTGTGTATTTTCTTTTAAAAAATAAGCTTCTCTAGGCTGGGCTTGGTGGCTCATGCCTGTAATCCCAGCACTTTGGGAGGCTGAGGCAGGTGGATCACCTGAGGTCAGGAGTTTGAGACCAGCCTGGCCAACATGGTGAAAACCCGTCTCTACTAAAAATACAAAAATTAGCTGGCCGTGGTGGCACACACCTGTAATCCCAGCTACTAGGGAGGCTGAGGCAGGAGAATCGCTTGAACCCGGGAGGCAGATGTTGCAGTGAGCCAAGATCACACCACTGTACTCCAGCCTGGGTGACAGAGCAAGACTCTGTCTCAAAAATAAATAAATAAAGTATATAAATAAATAAGCTTCTGTTTTGGCTTCCTCCAATGTAGTCTCTTTGAGTAGGAAGAAATTGTTATGATTCAAACTAGTACATTCTTTTTTTTTTTTTTTTTTTTTTGAGATGGAGTCTTGCTCTTATTGCCCAGGCTGGAGTGCAGTGGCGTGATCTTGGCTCACTGCAGCCGGCTCACTTGAACCGGGTTCAAGTGATTCTCCTGCCTCAGCCTCCCAAGTAGGTGGGATTACAGGTGCCTGCCATCACGCCTGGCTAATTTTTGTAGTTTTAGTACAGATGGGGTTTCACCATCTTGGCCAGGCTGGTCTTGAACTCCTGGTCTTGATCTGCTGACCTATATCCGCCCGCCTCGGCCTCCCAAAGTGCTGGGATTACAGGTGTGAGCCATTGCACCCGGCCGACAGGTAAATTCTTATATCAAAAAACTGAGTTAGACTTGGTCCCTGGAGCTGTTTTCCATCCCTAAAAAGATGATGTCAAGCTATCATGTATAATAAATAACAACTCAATTGACCACATATTTTCCTTTAAGCCTAATGATGAAATAATATTATAATGAAATACTTAGAAGTTTTAAGGGAAAAAATCCTTTAAGTCATTAAATTAAAATTGAAACCAAAACAATAACTTCACTGTTTTAGGATAAAATTGGCATAAGAAAGGTTTGATAGTGAACGACAGTAAGATTAACCTACTACAGCATTTGCCTTTAGCTTTTACTGAGTAATACTTGGAGCTATATATTTATAGCATTTGCTATAAATGTGCAAATGAAGACATTATTTATTGTATTACTGCTGAGATTAATATTGTCTTTTTCAGATTTCTAAAACATTACAGCAAATGCGCACGAGGGCGCTCTAATCAGCTAGATATGGAGAGGGTAGGCATTTGTTGACTGTTAAGTCAAAACTAGTTCTATACTTTTACAGATGGAAAAATCAAGGTCCACCAAAGAGGTTATGATTCTACACGAGTTATTCTCTAGAGGAAACAAATTGGGTATTAGAATTTTGAAAAGATTAAACAGAAATCCCTGTCAGTGAATTTATGCTGGAGAATTTTGACTTTTATCCTAGCAACTCCTTATTGAAAATCTTTACCCATGCCATGATATAATTTATCTTCAATCTTAAATGGGTTTGGTAATAGTGTTTATAAGATGTAGGAGAGTTAATTAGAATATTTATTTTTATGAACTTTTGCTCTATAAAATTAAAAAATGTTAATTGTGCTTCATTTATACTTTTTTTTTTTTTTTTTTTGAGACGGAGTCTTACTCTGTCACCCAGGCTGGAGTGCAGTGGCGTGATCTCAGCTCACTGCAACCTCTGCCTCCCAGGTTCAAGCGATTCTCCTGCCTCAGCCTCCCAAGTAGCTGGGACCACAGGCACGTGCCACCACGCCTGGCTAATTTTGGTACTTTTAGTAGAGACGGGGTTTCACCATGTTGGCCAGGGTGGTCTCGAACTCCTGACCTCAAGTGATCTGCCCGCCTTGGCCTCCCAAAGTGCTAGGATTACAGGTGTGAGCCACCAACACCTGGCCCATTTATACTTAAGGCTGATTCTCAACTGATTTGGGTAAGATCCTTAGTCTTTCCCCATCTCTGACGTAATTCCTAGTTTGTCCTTTGGCTTTCCTGTGTATATAAAGCTACCAGGCTGCTTGCAGATTTTTCGGGGAATAAGTCCCATAAACACTCACAAAGATTTTATTAGGGAGAAGCTATGATGCGAATATAGAATGTAGATTTTTTAAATTTCAAAATCAGTATGGGCCGGGCGCGGTGGCTCACGCCTGTAATCCCAGCACCTTGGGAGGTCGAGGCGGGCGGATCACGAGGTCAGCAGAGCGAGACCATCCTGGTTAACACGGTGAAACCCCGTCTCTACTAAAAATACAAAAAATTAGTGGGCGCAGTGGCAGGCGCCTGTAGTCCCAGCTACTCGGGAGGCTGAGGCAGGAGAATGGCGTGAACGCGGGAGGCGGAGCTTGCAGTGAGCGGAGATCGCGCCACTGCACTCCAGCCTGGGCGACAGAGCGAAGACTCCATCTCAAAAAAAAAAAATCAGTATGTAGAGCTGGGCATGGTGGTGTGTGCCTATTAGCCCAGCCACTGGGGAGGCTGAGGCAGGAGAAGCCCTTGAGCCCAAGAGTTCAAGACTAGCCTGGGCAACACAGCGAGACCCTCATCTCGAAAAATAAATAAATAAATAAATAAAGTATTGCAATATTTATTATATAGGCAAATTTTTTTCAACTTAAGTGCTACCCTCATCAGGGGAAGATTTGTTTGATTAGATCCCCACACAGGCTGGCCGCTTCCTCATTTCTACTTTTTCTTTTCTTTTTGAGATGGAGTTTTGCTCTTGTTGCCCAGGCTGGAGTGCAATGGCGCAATCTTGGCTCACTGCAACCTCCGCCTCCCGGGTTCAAGCGATTCTCCTGCCTCAGCCTCCCGAGTAGCTGGGATTACAGGCACCTGCCACCACACCCGGCTAATGTTTGTATTTTTAGTAGAGATGGGGTTTCACCATGTTGGCCAGATTGGTCTCAAACTCTTCAGTTCAAGCGATCTACCTGCCTCGGCCTCACAAAGTGCTGGAATTACAGGTGTGAGCCACTGCGCCCGGCCTCATTTCTACGTTTTCAAAGAAGTCAATTTTCTTTAAAAAATAAACTCTTTTGGCCACGCGGCGGCTCATTCCTGTAACCCTAGCACTTTGAGACTCAGAGGCAGACGGATCGCTTGAACTCAGGAGTTCAAGACCAGCCTGGCCAACATGGTGAAACCCTGTCTCTACAAAAAATTAGCTGGATGCAGCGGCACGTGCCTGTAGTCCCAGCTACTCAGGAGGCTGAGGCAAGAGAGTCACTTGAGTCCAGGAGGCAGAAGTTGCAGTGAACTGAGTTCACGCCATTGCACTCCAGCCTGGCTGATGGGAGTGAAACCTTGTCTCAAATAAATAAATAAATAAACTCTTATTTAAAAAAAAAAAAAGCAAATCATGAAACAAAACAAAACCCAGGGCTCTGAATGAAAAAGATCTCTCCTTTAGGGGGCTAGGTGATGGAAAGGAAAATAGGTCATGAATTTCATGTTCTCATTTGTCTTCGTTAATGACTTGTATGTATATATATTTCCATTGAAGACATAGATATGCATTTGATCACCTACACTTGTTTGTATTTTGAGTCATAAATTAAGGCATTTCCTGTCCAGAAAGCACCTGACAATCTTATGATAAAAAACATGGAATTTTAAAATCACAAATGCAAATAACAAGCCAGGCACAGTGGCTCACGCCTGTAATCTTAGCTCTTTGGGAGACCAAGGTGGGTAGATTGTTTGAGCTCAAGAGTTTGAGACCAGCCTGGGTAACATGGAGAAACCCTGTCTTTACAAAAAATAAAAAATTAGTGGGGCACGGTGGCATGTGCCTGTAGTCCCAGATACTCAGGAGGCTAAGGTGGGAGGAGTGCTTGAGCCCAGGAGGTCGAGGCTGCTGTGAGCTGTGGTGGCAACACTGCACTCCAGCCTGGGTGACAGAGTGAGACCCTATCTCAAAAAAAAAAGGAGTGCAAATAACAGATGACCTTACAAACATCAAAAGTTATGTCTTTATAATAAGTTTTGTCTACATTCAATGAAATATGTTAGCAAGGAAAAAATGTAGCAGTATGCATATGGCTTTATTTTATCTTGGCCCTGCCCACTACTGTGCCCTCATTTCTTTTCCTTCCCACTGAGTCCTTCCACACTAGCCACACCACAGCAAACCTGACAAGCTTCTGCCTGAAATAGCACCATTGCACTTCTCTTCCCTTTGCCTGAAACATTCTTTTTTTTCTTTTTTCTTTCTTTTTTTTTTTTTTTTTTTATGAGATGGAGCCTCACTCTCTCGCCAGACTGGAGTGCAGTGGCACGATCTCAGCTCACTGCAACCTCCACCTCCCTGGTTCAAGCGATTCTCCTGCCTCAGCCTCCCGAGTAGCTGGGATTACAGGTATGCACCACCATGCCCGGCTAATTTTGTATTTTTAGTAGAGACGGGGTTTCTCCATGTTGGTCAGGCTAGTCTCGAACTCCCGACCTCAGGTGATCCGCCCGCCTCGGCCTCTCAAAGTGCTGGGATTACAGGCGTGAGCCCCTGTGCCTGGCCACCACAATCAATTTTAGAATATTTTCATTTCTCTCAAAAAAAAATACCATACCTATGAGCAGTCACTCCCCATTTCCTCCATCCCTCAGTCCTAGGCAACCACTAATTTACTTTCTTTTAGGATAGGATTTGCCTATTTGGACATTTCATATAAATGGAACCATACAATTTGTGATCTTTTGTGACTGGCTTTTTTCAAGTAACCTAATGTTTTCAAGGTTCATTCATGTTATAGCATGTGTCAGTACTTATTTCCTTTTTTTTATGGCTCAGTAATATTCTGTTGTAGGAATATAACACATTTCATTTATCTGTTTATCACTTTTTTTTTTTTTTTTGAGATGGAGTCTCAGTCTGTCACTCAGGCTGGAGTACGGTGGTGTGATCTTGGCTCACTGCGGCCTCCGCCTCCTGGATTCAAGCCATTCACCTGCCTCAGCCTCCCAAGTAGCTGGGATTACAGGCACGTATACCATGTCCCGCTGATTTTTGTATTTTCAGTAGAGATCGGATTTCACTCTGTTGGCCAGGCTGGTCTCGAGCTCCTGAGCTCAAGCAATCCTCCCGCCTTGGCCTCCCAAAGTGTTGGGAGCCACCACACCCAGCTGTCTCTACTTTTTGACTATTATGAATAATGCTGCTATGAACATTCATGTATAAGTTTTTGTGTGGACATATGTTTTCCTTCCCCTTGGGAATACGATGAAGCCTGGCATTGCCAGGTCATATGATAACTCTATGTTTAAGCTTTGGAGGAACTGCCAGACTATTTCCAAAGCAGTTCCAACTTCATTGCAAAGCATTTTACATTCCCTCCAGCAACATATGAGTGTTTCAATTTTTCCACATTTTCTCCAACACTTGTTATTATGTGTCTGTTTATTATAGCCATTCTTGTGAGTGTGAAGTGGTATCTTAACATGGTTTGGATTTGCACTTCCCTGATGGCTAATGATGTTTCTATGGTTTGAATGTTGGAGTCCTCCAAAATTCATGTTATAACCTAAGACCTAATGTGACGATGTTAAGAAGTGAGGCCTTCAAGGTGGTGATTAGGTCATGAGGGCTCTGCCCTCGTGAATGAAATTAATCCCCTTATAAAAAGGCTTCACATAACATTTCTTCTTCTTTTTTCCTTTCTTCTCCTGCCATGTGAAGATGCCACTGCGAGAACGGGAACAATGGAACAGGCCCTCACCAAATGCCAAATGTGCTACCACCTTGATTTTGGATTTCCCAGCCTCCGGAACTGTGAGGAATAAATTTTTTTACTTATAAATTACTTAGTCTCAGGTATTTTGTTATAGCAGCACAAACAGACTAAGACAGAAATTGAGTGTATTTTCTTGTGCTTATTGGCCATTTATTTTCTTTCTTTTATTTTTATTTATTTATTTATTTTTAGGTGGGGTTTTGCTCTGTTGCCCAGGCTGGAGTGCAGTGGTGCAATCTTAGCTCATTGCAACCTCTGCCTCCCGGGTTCGAGTGATTCTTGTGCCTCATCTGCCTGAGTACCTGGGACTACAGGCATGCGCCACAACGCCTGGCTGATTTTTATATTTTTAGTAGAGATGGGTTTTCGCCATGTTGGCCAGACTGGTCTTGAACTCCTGGCCTCAAGTGATCCACCTGCCTTGGCCTCCCAAAGTGTTGGGATTATAGGCATAAGCCACCACCTGGCCCTTATTGGCCATTTGTATGTCTTCTTTGGAGAAATATCTGTTCAGATCTTTTGTCCATTTTAAAATTGGGTTATATCCTTTTTATTATCAAGTTGTAAGAGTTCTTTATGTATTCTAGATCCAAGTCCATTGTCAGATACTGTAGTCTCCCGTATGCTCTCTGCAGTTTCAGTTACCTGCGGGCAGCTGCAATCCCAAATATTACAGTATTTTGAGAGAGAGAAAACTATTCATGTAACTTATGTTAAAGTATATTCTAGCCGGGCACAGTGGCTCACACCTGTAATCCCAGCACTTTGGGAGGCCGAGGTGGGTGGATCACAAGGTCAGGAATTGGAGACCAGCCTGGCCAATATGGTGAAACCCTGCCTCTACTAAAGATACAAAAATTAGCCGGGCGTGGTGGCAGGTGCCTGTAGGCCCAGCTACTCGGGAGGCTGAGGCAGGAGAATCGCTTGAACCTGGGAGGTGGAAGTTGCAGTGAGCTGAGATGGCGCCATGGCACTCCAGCCTGGGTGACAGAGCAAGACTCCATCTCAAAAACAAAAAGTATATTCTAATTGTTCTCTTTTATTATTAGTTATTGTTGTTATTCTATTACAGTGCCTAATTTATAAATTAAACTTCATCATAGGTATGTATGTATGTATAGGAAAAAAACATAGTACATATAGAGTTTGGTACTATCTGCAGTTTCAGGTATACACTGGAGGTCTTGGAACATATTTTGTTACATATATATCTATATATTTATAAATATATATTTATATATAGCTATATATTTATGTATCTATATATCTATAAATATATGTTTATATATCTATATTAATCTATATCTATATATGAATATATAGGTAGATAAATAAATATATACATATATATATATTTTTTTTTTGAGATAAGGTCTCGGTCTATCGCCCAGGCTGGGATACATTAATGTTATCTTGGCTCACTGCAGCCTCAACCTCCTGGGCTCACGTGATTCTCCCACCTCAACCTCCCAAGTAGCTGGGACCACAGGCACATGTCACCACATCTGGGTAATTTTATTTATTTATTGTAGAGATAGGGTATCCCTATGTTGCCCCGGTTAGTCTTGAGCTCCTGGGCTCAAGTGATCCTCCCACCTCAGCTTTCCAAAGTTCTGGGATTACAGGCATGAGCCACTGCGTCTGGCTACATATTTTCCACAAATAAAGTGAGCCTACTTTGTATATAATTTGCAAGTATTTTCTCCCATTCTGTGGGTTGTCTTTCACTTTTTTTTTCTGGAGTCCTCCAAAATTCATGTTATAACCTAAGACCTAATGTGATGATGTTAAGAAGTGAGGCTTTCAAGGTGGTGATTAGGTCATGAGTGCTCTGCCCTCGTGAATGAAATTAATGTGCTTATAAAAAGGCTTCACATAGCATTTCTTCTCCTTTTTTTGCCTCAGCCTCCTGAGTAGCTGGGATTACAGACGTGTACTACCATGCATGGCTAACTTTTGTATTTTTAGTAGAGACAGGGTTTCACCATGTTGGCCAGGCTGGTCTCAAACTCCTAACCTCAGGTGATCAGCCCGCCTCGGTCTCACAAAGTGCGGGGATTGCGGGCGTGAGCCACCATGCCCGGCACATGCATCAGTTTTTAATGCTTCCTTGGTTGGACTGATTAACCAGTCAACTACTGGTTCCAGTAAGGTTGGATGAGGTGGCGTATACTCTACTTATTTGCCGCCCCCGCTTCTTCCTTTTTTTTCAGACAGGGCCTTTGACGCGCTGGCTGGAGTGCCGTGGTGTGATCTTGGCTCACTGCAGCCTCAACTTCCTGGGCTCAAGCAGTCTTCCCACCTCAGCCTCTAAGTAGCTGGAACTACAGATGTGTGCCCCTATGCCTGGCTAATTTTTGTATTTTTGTCGAGACGGGGTCTCCCCATGTTGCCCAGGCTGGTCTCCAACTCCTGGGCTCAAGAGATCCGCCCACCTTGGCCTCCCAAAGCCCTGGGATTGCAGACATGAGCCACTCTGCCTGGCAACTTGTAACAGTTCTTTGTATGTTCTTGATACAAGTCAGTTGTCAGATACAGCGGTAGTACATAATTAAACATAATTATATAGAACTATATTTTATATAAGCGCAGCATTATATGAAATAGCAAAAATTTGGAAATAACCAAATGTCCAACAATAGGTAGTTAGCTAAGTAAATTGTGAAACATCCAAGTAATGAAAGCTATACAACTATAAAAAATGATCTAGATCTATTTATACTGACATCGACAGATGTCTAACATAAATTACATGAAAATAGGAAGTGACAGAGAAGAGAGTATGGTATAATCTCATTTACATTAAAGTAATCAAATTGATTCTCGGACTCGTGATTCTTGGACCTGTGAATCCTGGCTATAGGAGAAACAGTACCATATATTGGATGCTGATTCAGAGCATACATGGCCTTCTGGAGAACTTTGCCCCAGCCCTGCAAAGTATTGTCATAGTGACTCCAAAAGGCCATTCCACCATTCTATCAATCCAGCTGCTTCAGGATGATGGAGAACATGGTAAGACCAGTGAATTCCATGAGTATGAGCCCACTGCCACACTTCTTTAGCTGTAAAGTGAGTGCCTTGGTCAGAGGCAATGCTGTGTGGAATTCCATGCTGGTGGATAAGGCAATTTCATGAGTCCACAAATGGTAGTCTTGACAGAAGCATTGCATACAGGATAGGTAAACCCATATCAGGAGTAAGTGTCTATTCCAGTGAGGACAAACCTCTGCCCTTTCCATGATGGAAGAGGTCCAATATAATCAACCTGCCACCAGGTGGCTGGCTGATCACCCCGAGGAATAGTGTCATATTGAGGGCTCAATATTGGTCTCTTCTGTTGGCAAATTGGACACTCAGCAGTGGCCATAGCCAGGTCAGTCTTGGTGAGTGGAAGTCTATCTTGCTGAACCCATGTGTAGCCTCCATCCCTGCCACCATGGCCACTTTGTTCATGGGCCCATTGGGCGGTGACAGGGGTGGCTGGGGAAAGAGGCTGAGTAATGTCCACATTACGGCTCATCCTCTCCACTTGATTGTTAAACTCCCCCTCCACTGAGGTCACTCGAGCACTCACATGAGATACAAATATCTTCACAGTTTTTGACCATTCAGAGAGGTCCATGTACATACTTCTTCCCCAAATTTCTTTGTCACCAATTTTCCAATCATGCTTCTTCCAAGTCCCTGACCATCCAGCCAAGCCATTGGCTACAGCCCAGGAATCAGTGTATAATTGCACATTTGTCCATTTCTCCTTTCATGCAAAGTGCACAACCAGGTGCACTTTTCAAAATTCTGCCCACTGGGAACATTTCCCTTCACCGCTATACTTCAGGGATGTCCTAGAAAGAGGGTGTAGTGCTGCAGCTGTCCACTTTTGGGTGGTGCCTGTGTATTATGCAGAACCGTCTGTGAACCTGGCCCTAGTCTTCTGTTACTCTGTCAACTGATCATAGGGAACTCCCCATGAGGCCATCAGTGCAGGCTGGGGGAGAGAAGGCAGGTGGCAGGAGTGAAGACCCTGGGCATTTGAGCCATGTCCTCATGTAACTTACTTGGCCTTCAGGACCTGCTTGAGCCTGATCACATACATACCACTTCCACTTGATGATGGAATGCTGCTGTGCATGACCCACTTTATGGCTAGATAAGTCAGAAAACACCCAGTTCATGACAGGCAGTTCAGGTCACATGGTGACTTGATGACCCATAGTCAAACGTTCAGTTTCCACCAAAGCCCAGTAACAGGCTAAGAGCTGTCTCTCAAAAGGAGAGTAGTTATCTGAACTAGATGGCAGGGCCTTGCTCCAAAATCCTAGATGCCTCTGCTGTGATTCACCTATGGGAGCCTGCCAAAGGCTCCAAACAGCATCCCTATTTGCCACTGACACTTCAGGCACCACTGGATCTGCTGTGTCTTATGGTCCAAGTGGCAGAGCAGCTTGCACAGCAGCCTGGACCTATTGCAGAGCCTTCCCCTGTTCTGGACCCCACTCAGAACTGGCAGCCTTTCAGGTCACTAGATAAATGGGCCAGAGTAACACACCCAAATGAGGAATGTGTTGTCTCCAAAATCCAAATAGGCGCACTAGGCATTGTACCTCTTTCTTGGTTGTAGGAGGGGCCAAATGCAGCAAGTTATCCTTTGCTTTAGAAAGAATATCTCGGCAGGGCCCATACCACTGAATCCCTAGAAATTTTACTGAGGTAGAAGTTCCCTGAATTTTAGTCAGATTTATTTCCCATCCTCTGGCATGCAAATGTCTCACCAATAAGTCCAGTGTGTTTGCTACTTTTTGCTCACTGGATCCAATCATCATAATGTCATTGTAATGGACCAGTGTGATATCTTTCAGAAGCAAAAAGTGATCAAGGTCTCTCTGAATAAGATTATGACGCAAAGCTGGAGAGTTGATATACCCGTGAGGTAGGACAGTAAAGGTATATTGCTGACCTTGCCAGCTGAAGGCAAATTGCTTCTGGTGGGCCTTATGGACAGGAATGGAGAAAAAGGCATTTGCTAAGTCAATACCTGCATACCAGGTACCAGGAGACATGTTAATTTGCTCAAGCAATGAAATCACATCTGGTTTCATTGGAAACCAGCTGCAATTGGAGTCACAACTTGGTTAAGCTTATGATAATCCACTGTCATTCTCCAAGGTCCATCTGTCATCCACACAGGCCAAATGGGAGGCTTGAATGGAGAGGTGTTGGGAATCACCATCCCTGCATCCTTCAAGTCTTGATGGTGACACTAATTGCAGTCCCTCCAGGGATGTGATATTGTTTTTGATTTACTATTTTTCTAGGTAGAGGCAGCTCTAATGGCTTCCATTTGGCCTTTCCCACCATAATAGCTCTCACCCTACCAGTCAGGGAGCCAATGTAGGGGTTCTGCCAGCTGTTGAATATATCTATGCCAATTACACATTCTGTCATTGGGGAAATGACCACAGGATGAATCCAGGGACCCACTGGGCCCACTGTAAGTTGGACCTGAGCTAAAACTCCATTAATTACCTGACCTCCATAAGCCCCTAATTTAACTGGAGGAACACAGTGACATTTTGTGTCCCCTGGAATCAACGCCAAATCAGAGCCAGTGTCCAGAAGTCCCCAAAATATATGATCATTTCTCCTTCCCCAGTGCACAGTTACCCTGGTAAAAGGCTGGAGGTCTCCTTGGGGAAGGGTGGGAGAAAGATTCACTGCATAAATTGTCAGTAATGTAGTGGGGTCCTTCCTCAAGGGGACCCGGCCTCCGCTTCATTCAAGGGTTTTTGGGTCTCTAAACTGGCTCAATCCTGGAAATTGATTGAGGGGCCGTGATTCTCTGTTTTTATGATTCAAATTAGTCGTTTGTCCATTTGACCTGGAAGTTCTTTGTTTGTATAATTTAAGTAGGAATGCAGTAGGCTTCCTATCAATTTCACTTCTAGGAACACCATGATTAATTAGCCAATGCCAGAGCTCTACACGAGTCAGACTATTCTGATTGCCGCTTTGCCTCTGCTGTCCATTACAGTAGTTATGCCCACCTTGCCTTTCATGGTTGAGTGCTGCCACTTAGCCCCTGCTACCTTGGGATCCAATTATTCCCATTGTATTTAAATTTTGTAGTTGAGTGACTGCAGTTCCCACCGTTAGATCTGACATACAGAGAAGAGCAATCACAGGGCTCTTCAAAGATGCTGGTGCCATGCTTGCAAATCTGTTTCGCAAGCTATTGTTCAAGGGTATATCTTCGGGACCCTCCCCACTGGGATAAGTAGGTCTAAAGTGACTAATCCACTCCACCATCCCAATCTCCCTAAGCCTTCGGATCCCTTCCTCTACATTAAACCAAGAGAGATCAGGCATTTCCAGCTTGCTCACAGTGGGCCATCTTTTAATCCATATTTCAGCTATCCAAGCAAATAAACTATTAGAATCTTTTGTAACTCCCCAAGCTGCAACATTAAATGCAGAATCCCTACTTAGGGGCTCAAATCAATAAATTCAGCCTGATCCAACTCTATGTTCCTTCCACCATTATTCCATACCCTTAATATCAATTCCCATGCATGTTCTCCAGATTGCTGTTTTTATAAATTAGAGAACTCAAACAGTTCTTTTGAAGTGCCGTGCACCTCCTCATGGATCACACTCTCAACCTCACCTCCAGGGGCCCACTGGGACTTTAGTCTATTTACAGGTCTAGACTGTCATCAATGTAATGGACCAGACTTTAGTCTAGTTACAGGTCTAGACTGTCATCAATGTAGTGGACCACGAAACAGGGGTGTTGGGGTGGCTCCTGAGGAGAATCAACATTATTTTGCCTGGCAACTGCCTCAGAGGAGGCCATCACTGTTGCCTCAGGCAGCACAGGGTTTATCTCCTCAGACAAAGGTGGAAAGGCTGATGGCACCACGGGTCGGGAGTGGATGTTGCTACTACTGGGGATGGGGAAGCTGTTCCTTCTGGCAAAAAAGGTTCATCAGAGTTTACAAACTCAGTGTCCCCAGCTTCATCTGAGTGCTCCCACATTTCCCCATTCCAAGTTGCAGGGTCCTATTCTTTTCCAATCAATGCCCTCACTTTAACAGTAGACACCTAGTGAGTCTGTACATGCACCTTTTGTTGCAGGTCAGCCACTTGCATGATAAGAATTTGTGTTTGTTTTTTCACAATTTCAGCTCTTTCTCTACAGAAGATAAGGGTCTCACTCAGGGCAATCTTAGCAGATTTGAGGCTCAGTATCTGCTTCTGAAGCCAGGAGACATAATCCCTGAGCTCATCGTTTTCTTTCATCACTTTGTCTATTGAACTCAGGAGCAACCAACCAGCTTCATTATGTTCCTTGGTTCTCCACATATGGTCAAAGGTATTATGTATAGAGTCACTAAACTCCTTGCCTCTCATGAGCAGTGAATCAGGAGTGCCAAATGCATTTACTTTGCTTAACTCTCTAAACAGTTCACACCAAGGACTATCAGTGTTCTCCATACTATTAGACGTAGAGTCCTTAGCATTTTGGGGTCTAACCATATTAAGCAGCCAACTCTAGAAAACCCAAAACCAATGAAAGAACTCCACTCTTAATATTCCATTTCTCTAGAACCACTCCTGGTACCAAAATCTGGATTAGTCAGGGTCCTCTTAGAGGGACAGAACTAATAGGATATATAGATAGATAGATAGATAGATAGATAGATAGATATAGATATATATATACACACATATTAGGATATATATAAATATATAATATAAATATACAAATAAATCATATATGTGTAAGTTAACATTTAATATGTATATATTATATAACACATATTATATATATAACACATATATATACATATATATAAGTGTAAGTTAACACTTAATAAATCCCATATATATATGGGATTTATTAAGTGTTAACTTACAAGATCACAAGGAAACAACCAGCAGAGGAGAAAGATGTAGGCTGGGAGGCTAGGCCCTCTCTCCTTTTCCAAGTCCCTAGCAGAAAGACAAGAGGACCCCCTAAGCAAATGAATCAGGAGTCACTGTAAATAACAAATGTCTCCTTGAGGAGCCCAGGGACATAGGGTCCTGAGATTTAGAAGCAGCTAACACTGCCTGAAGAAATTATTTCCCTGCAGCTGTGCTGGTCTCCCAGTTGGGAATGTTTCCATAGAAGGGGAGAGTCTCCCAGACCATCCTCCATCAAGTCCCATCAAGCCCATCTTCCCTGAAAAAAATTAATTTTGATTTTCTCATTCCTTCTGAATATATATATTTTACACACTTATCATGTAGAGCCATCCCTTGGTATCCACAGGGGATTGGTTCTAGGAATTCTCATGGCTTCCAAAATCTACACATGCTCTAGTCTCTGATGTAGCATAGTATTTGCCCATAACCTATGAACATCCTCCCATATACTTTAATCTCTAGATTACTTAGAATACCTAAACAATGTAAATGCTATTCATAAATGTAAATGTAGATCATTGTTATACTGCATTGTTTTTTATTTGTTTTTCTTTTTTCTTTTTTAGTTTTTGAGACAGCATATTGCTCTAGCGCCCAGGCTGGAGTGCAGTCATGTCATCTCAGCTGTTTGTAACTTCCGCCTCCTGGGCTCAAGCGATCCTCTTGCCTCAGCCTCCCAAGTAGCTGGGACTACAAGCATGTGCCACCTCACCCAGCTAATTTTGGTACTTTTGTAGAGAAGGGGTCTTGTTATGTTGCCCAAGCTGGTCTAGAATGCCTAAGCTCAAATATTCCTCCCACCTTAGCCTCCCAAAGTGCTGGGATTACAGGTGTGAGCCACTAAACCTGGCCTATTGTGTTTTTTTCTTCCCCAAATATTTTCCATCCATCATCGGTTGAATCCACAGATTTGGATCCCACATATTCAAAATGTCGACTGTATCTAAAAATGAAACTATTTAAAAGGTAGAAAAATGCAGCCACGATTTTGTCTCTCAATTCTTTTCTTCTATTTTCCTGTATGCTAGACTCAGTTGGGAACCCAAGACAGAAGGAGTTTAGAAGGGAGAACAGGTAGAGATAAGTGGGAAAGAGAGGGTTTTAAGGCCCTCAAGTCTGTAAAGGGTGAATGCAGACTGCAGTACAGGACTGCCAGCTGGTCTCTGGTCTCAGCCTCCAGGAAGAACTGTGGCTATGTCACCATCCTCAGCTCATCTTGCTCCCTTGATCCCTGCCTCTGCTTGCTCGGCTCCTGGCCTCCTTGGAGGAAAATGCCTGTGTCAATGGGAGCATGATGGAGGGTTCCAGGTTGAGGTGGGATGGGGGATAAAGACATGTTTGCATGAACATGTCCTAAAGGAACATGTACATAAGGAAATGGACTCCCATCTGGAGAGTGAGCTGGGGGAGGTGGGCACTGCAAGGAGTAGGAAAACAGGCCGGATGTCTAGAAGTTGCTCCATAATCCATAGTTCCTTTCGAGTGTCCTGCTTTGTCTGTTCTGGCTTTTGCCCCCACCCGGAAACCTGGAGAAACCTCAACTGGAACGTCAAGTAAGCAGATTCCAGCTCTCTGGGCCCAGGGTGAGAAAAGGAAGTTGTATGAAAAGAGGAGAAAGGAAAAAAACAGTCTCATATTGTGCAACAGGTGAAGTCCCACATTGCCCCTTCGAGGATTCCATTCTGCTGTTTGTAATTCCTGGTAAGCATTTCTTCATGAGGCTGCCCTGGCCTCCTGCAGCCTTCCCTGGTGGCCTTGCCTCTGTGGAGCTGAGCTCCTCCCTTTCCATTAGCTGAGGGGCAGGGAGGATTGGGAAAGGGACTCCATCATGAGGGAGGATACCGGGACTCTGGCCCTAACCCTGCCTGCTCACTAACAATGAACCAGAGACAGGTCATGGTTCTGCTCTGGGCTGCATCTGACAGATGAGAGGATGGACTCTTTCCCAGATAGGAATCCAGGACCCCTCAGAGCACCCTAGATGTCTCAAGAAGAGGCATGCTTCCTAAGGGTCTTGGACCCTGGATCAAGCCTCAGCCCCAGAACTCAGTTGCTGAAGCAGATCTCCTCTTGGAATGCCTCTCCTCATTATAGTTCATCTCCTTGAGGTGTGTCCCTCTCACCCTGGGTTCCTCCTGCAGGGAGATTTGGCTCACCCTCTAGAATGCTCCCTTTCCTGCCACACTGAGCTATTGGGGGTCACTATCAGTGACACATCAGTTGGTGGTTGTATTTGTTTCCTATTGCTGCTGCAAAAAATTACCACACACTTAGTGTCTTATGACCACATATTTATTCTCTAAAAGTTCTGGAGGTGAGAAGTCTGAAATTAGATTCACTGGGACACTCCCTTTGGAGGCTCTAGGGGAGGAACAATTTCCTTGCCATTTGCAGCTTCTAGAGCTGCATCCTAAAACCTCTTCACTCCTGGCCTCTTCTTCCATCTTCCAAGCTGGTAGCATAGCATCTTGCTTCTGCTGTCACATTGCTACCTTCTCCTCTATTACCAAATTTTTCTCTTCCTTCCTCTGGTAAGGACACTCACAACTACATTTAGGGCCTGACCAGATAATTCAAGGTAATCACTCCATCTCAAGATCCATAACTTGATCATATCTCCAAAGTCCCTTTTGCCATACAAATTGACATTCACAGGTTCTGGGGAATAGGATGTGGATGTCTTGGGGGCCATTATTCAGCTACCATAGTGATCTATACCTTGTCTCTGGCTTGGGGTCATCCATTCTCTCTCCCATCCCGTCCCCTCAGAATAGAATTGTGTATCTTTCTCCAAATCTGCACCCTAATCTTACAGACCATCCCAACTGCTCCTCCCTTCACTCTCTTTAGGCTCTGAGAACATTCTAGGAGACTGCTCTCCAACAGAACTTTCTGCAATGATGGACAGAAAGTCCATAATGCATGCTGTCTAACCTGGTAACTAGCCATGTTACCAAGGTCTACTGAGCACTTGAAATGTGACTAGTGTGACTCAGGAACTAAATTTTAAATTTTATTTCATTTTAATTAAATGTAATGAAAATGTAAATAGCCGCTTTGGCCAGTGGCTAACATATTAGATAGCTCGGATCTAGGCAAATGAAAGCAGAAACTATGGCCAGGCACATTCTTTGCTGCTAGCCTCTTCCCACACCTGTTTTGGATCAGCTCTGCCCCCTAACCTCCTTCTCTCAGTGCCCGCAGAATCTGAAGTAAGTTTCCACTGGGGCTCTGGAATGACGGAGGTGACTAAGGGCAGGACAAGGAAGGGAATTGTGTCTGTTGACCCCAGAGAAGTACAGGGCCCCAGTTCTGCTTTTGCACAGGACTAACAACACTCAAATGATTTTCAAGGTAGTCTCTGCCTTGTCCTTACTCAACCGGTCTCCCTTTTGAGGACCACAGAGGTGTGTCACTAGGGAATGTGTGCAGGAAAGGGCCTGAGCTTGGGAGCTGGCACTGGCCAGGCTCCTGCTCTGCTATGTACTCGTTGAGTGGCACGTGGCAAGTTACTTCCCAGGCCTTCTCCCTCAGTTTCCATAAAATGAGAGGGTTGGACCAGATGGTCTAAAGTTTCCTTTTAGCTTTAGTAGACCATGAGTCTATGTCCTGTGGATCAGGCTTTATTGTGCATGTAATTCAATTTCAGAGCCATGTAGTCTCTGACCCATGGAATGGGAGTACTGATTGAAGGATAATTAAGTAGAAGTGGCTTTAGGTTACTCCTGCAACACTTCCAAACAAAACCAGACCTCCATCCTTCTGTCATCATGACAACACTTCACAGTAACTTGGGCTTTAGAGTGCTGATCTGTCAACTAACTAATCTAATCCTCATGATGATCCTGACAATTGTTAGGTCCATTTTAAGTGAAAAGGCTGAGGCTCAGAGGCGGAAGGAGAGAATCTTCCAGGTGCCCAGTCCCATGATGGGTGCTTTACACATCACCTCGTAACAGCCCTTCATATGTAGATAAACAGCCCTTTATCTATATAAATCTACGTAACATTTATGTAGATAAATGTTAATATTATCTACATTTCACACTTGTGAACACTGAGGTCTAATAAAGCAAGATGACTTTCCCAATGTTATGCTGATAATAATATGATGAAGTCACTTTTCTCACTCTTCTTCCGCCTTTGCTGTGCTGCTTCCCCTCTTTACAACTCCCCCCACAAGATGTTGAAATGATAACCTCCTTTTTAAAGGCATTTTTTCATGACACTCCCAAGCAGACCTACTAGCCTCAGCAAGTCACTTCACCTCTCTGTGCCTCTCTTTCCTTAACTGTGAAACTGGGGGCAACAGTCCCTACTTCATAAGGGTGTTAAAACCCTTGTTGAAAGTACGCAGTGAGATCATGTATTAAGAGTGTTCAGCCCAGAGCTCATATTAAGGACTCAGCAATTGCGCATTCTTACTGCTTTTGGAAACTGTAGCTTGCCCCACCGCCCAATGGTACCAGGCAATTCCTTTTACCCCCAAATCAAATTAAAATCACAAAGAAACTGTTTGCATTTTATTTTAAAGTTTTATTATGAAAACACATGGAATTAACGGTGTTATCCATGTATTTGCAACAGCAGAGAAAGAGTGAGAGTGGACCATCCCCATAGGGGACACTTATCCTTTGGCTAAACTAATATAAATAATGGAAATAACACCTAATACAATAATACAGCACATAAAAGAGATTACATTAAGAGAAGAGACAGGAACTGCGGAGAGGAGTCCTGAGTATGGAGGAGATGCGGCTCATGGAGAAGCATCCAGGCTCAGGTGACCTTCCCTGAAGACTTCCTGTCTCTGAGCAGCTCAGTTCAGTTCCAGGTCATACACGTACTCCTGGACCCAGGACTCACTGGGGTCAGCGCAGACTTGCTTGCCTCTTTTGGTTTGGAATCCGTAGAACAAGGAGCAGACAGATTAGAATCCCATGGGACCTTTGAGGTCATCTGGCTTTATCCCTTGCCTGTGGTAGGCATCTTCCTCTGCCTGACCATGGTCCATGTGGGGCAGCTCTGGTGGATGGGATCCTTCCCGGAGCAGCACTGGAAGCAGACTCCCTGTAACTTCCACTCACTGGATTTAGCTGTGGGCCCCAGGGGTTGCCCAGATTAGGAACCAGTGGGCATTGCAATCAGTATGAATAGATTGCCCCATTCCCTGCCAGCCTGGTAGTGACTTTTCCACATGTTTTTCTAGCATGGTTTAAGGAATTGGTCCATATCTCACGGGACCTGTCTGCCTTCCCCTGCTTCCCTGTCCTCTGAATAACTTCCTCCCCAGGAACCCCCTTCTGTCTCGGCTGCCACTCAGCCGCCTTCAGCACTTGAAAAGTGAGTTCATGACCTGTGACCTCACTGCTGTCAGGGAAGGCTTCAGCCCTGAGAGCTGCCTCCCCAACGCTCATCACCCCCTCCCCAAAACAGGCCCCCTTTAAAAATCCAGCCCTCACCCTTGCCTCCCAGGGCAGCCAGGGGTTGATACTCACACCACAGCTGGCTGGGAGCAGAGGCTGCTGGTCTCATAGTAATCTACCACAAAGTTGCGAGGAAGCTTCCTCGCGGTGTAAGAAAAGCAGCAGGCGGTGGGAGGGTCTGAGCCCACTGAAAGGAAAGGCCAGGGTGAGATCAACACTGCCCATGGGAGCTGTTTATTTTGACTTCTAATTTTGCATCTTCATTGAGCATCCCTGTGGAGCTACCAGAACCCCAAATATGGTCCCTTGTATCCATTCCCACCTAACATGAGCAGGAGTCTTATTCTGAATAGTGGATCTTCAGAGAAGAACGAGAAAGAAATCTAGAAGATTGGAACTGGATTCAGTCTCAGAACACATCGCACTCCCTTCATATGACAGATGGGGAAACCAAGGCACAGAGAGGGACAGGGGCTTGCTTGAACAAATAATTAAAGGCAGAGCCAATTCAACAGTCTGACTTCCAGCCCATCGTTTTCCTCTGCTGGTTGCTAATTCTTAAGAAAATAGGAACTTGAATGTTACTGAATATCTACTAGACTCTACATTTAGCAGCAGACTACATGGCAATCTTCCTAGCTGCCTTTTGTCCCATCCCCAGATCCCACTGTTTGCCAGCCATGAATAGAAAAAAGGACTCTGCCTACACCTTGACTCGAAATAGCAGCTGCAAAAGTAGACTTACTTGGTGCTGAGAGTGCTAGAGAGCAGAAGGCAGCTACTAGCACGAGGAGAGACAGGACAGTCACGCAGAGCTTCATGGTATTGGTGGCAAAGAGGTTTTCTCAGAGGTGAGGCTGCAGAACTCAGAAGCTTCAGAACCTAGCTGTGTCCTGTGCTGATACTGAGTTGGGAATCTCTCTTTATAGGGACTCTGAGGCCTAGGACAAATGTGGGGGCACAGGAGAGTGAGTGGAATTTCCATGGTAGAGATGATGTCATGGCTCCTGAAGCTAGCTGAGTGAGGAGTTCCTCTCAGCTTCTCTTCCCCAGGGCGATGTCATCATAGAGGAAAGATGAGGGAGGTGCAGGCGAGAAGAAAAGGGAAGTGGTACAGCCAAAAGCAGTGACCGAGACTGGGGAGAGAGTTGCAAACCCCAGAGGAAAAGATGAAATGTTCACACCTGCTACAAGTGGCTTGTAGACAAGAACTGTGCTGCTCTTGGTGGTTGGCACCCCCAGATGCTGGAGGGTTCATGCCAGTCTTTCCAGGCTGGCCACAGTCCTGGCCCCAAAAACAAAGCGGGAACCAGGACTCCCCCATCCCCTTCCTGTGCCTTCTTCTGCTGAGCTCAGTGCCACTGACTTTTGTGCCCTATATGTTTCCTTGGGCATGAAGAGTCCAGCATTGGATGTGCGGAGGGACCCAGTAGGGTGGCTCAGGAACATTTGTAAGTTCTTATTGGACACTTACCTTGTACCAGGCACTGGGAAAGCTGTGTTACACATATTATATATAATCCTACCATAATCTTGAGCAGGGGTGTCTAATCTCATTTTACAGATAAGGCAATTGGGGATCAGAGAGTGGTCCACTGATGGTGCTCAATGCCACAGAGCTGATGAATGGCACTGCCAAGATTTGAATCAAGATTCGAATCAAGATTCATCTGACTCCAAAGTCCATTTTCTTTCCATGCTGTAGTCTCCAGAATAAACATAGAGTGTGACCACAAAGAGAAACCATTGACTGATAGACTGCTAGGAGCTATTCCACACTCAAAGACCGATTATACTCAGACTTAATTCAGGGAAGGGATAGGGCTAGTCTGTCCTAGGACAAGGAGGGAACGGAGAAGAAATAAAGATTTCAAGATATTTTCTTGGACCAGCAAAAGACCAGGACAAATTAACCAGTAAGAATCAAGTCTGGAAGACCCAGATAGAGAATGTTCTTCTAGTATAAAAACAGAATTGAGCTGGGTACAGGGCCTCACACCTGAAATCCCAGCACTTTGGGAGGTCAAGGCAGGCAGATTGCTTGAGCCCAGAAGTTTGAGACCAGCCTGGGGAACATGGTGAAACACTGTCTCTATAAAAAACACACATACAAAAAAAAAACTTGACTGGGAGTGGTGATACACACCTGTAGTCCCAGCTGCTCAGTAGGCTCAGGTGGGAAGATCACCTGAGCCCAGGAAAGTCCAGGCTGCAGTGAGTGGTGATTGTGCCACTGCACTCCAGCTTGTTTGACAGAATGAGACCCTGTCCCAAAAACAAAGCAAAGCAAAACAAAACAAAGCAAAACAAACCAAAACAAAACAAAACAGAATTATATACCTAGTAATGAGTTTATCTATGTTACAGGCAAAATGTGTAATCTAAGGATGTGGGTGTGTCCCAGCCAGTCCATAGGGAATGCCCATGCTCATGTTAAGCCCTGGCTGGTTTGACAGTTGCTGGGCACCTGTACAGAAGGTGAAGCTTACAAAGGCCCTGCATACAGGAGTGTGCAAGGTTGGACAAATGAAGGGAATGAGGATAATTGGATCAAGACCTCTATCTGCCTTTAGCTCCACTACTCTAACCCACCTGCTCACCTTTAACCCCACATTGTTACCTGCTCTTCTCTGAGAAAGAAAAAAGAAGAGTAAAAAAAGGGAGCCATGACTTCAAACTATACCACAGGGCTGCAGTAACCAAAACAGCATGGCTTTGGTACAAAAACAGACTCATAGACCAATAGAACAAAATAGAGAGCTCAGAAATAATGCTGCATACCTGCAACCATCCGAACTTTGACAAAGTTAACAAAAACAAGCAACAGGGAAAGGACTTCCCAGTCAATAAATGGTACTGGGATAACTGGCTAGCTGTATGCAAAAGATTGAAACTGGACCCCTTCCTTACACCATCTGTAAAAATCAACTCACAATGGGTTGAAGACTTAAATGTAAAACCTAAAATATAAAACTATAAAAATATGATACCTGTAAGATAACCTAGACAATATGATTCTGGGCATAGGATCTGGCAGATATTTCATGATGAAGATGCCAAAAACAAATCACAACAAAACCAAAAACTGACAAATGGGATCTAATTAAACTAAAGAGCTTCTGCACAGCAAAAGAAATTATCAGCAGAGTAAAGAGATAACCTACAGAATGGGAGAAAATATTTACAAACTATGTATCTCACAAAGGTCTAATATCCAGAATCTATAGGGAATTTAAACACATGTACAAGCAAAAAACAAACAACTCCGTTAAAACGTGGGCATTGAACATAAACAGACACATTTCAAAAGAAGACGTACACGCGGCCAAGAAACATACAAAAAATGCTCAGCACCACTAATCATTAGAGAAATGCAAATTAAAACCACAATGAGATACCATCTCAAACCAGTCAGGATGGCTATTTTTAAAAAGTCAAAAAATAACAGATGTTGGTGAGGCTGTGGAGAAAAGGAACACTCATACACTGCTGGTGGGAATGTAAATTAGTTCAGCCATTGTGGGAAGCAGTTTGGCGATTTCTCAAAGAACTTAAAACAGAATTACCATTCAACCCAGCAATCCCATTATTGGGTATATACCCAAAGGAATATAAATCATTCTACCATAAAGACATGTGCACATGTATGTTCATCGCAACAGTATTCACAATAGCAAAGACATGGAATCAACCTAAATGCCCACTGATGGTAAACTGGATAAAAAAAATTTGGTATATATATATATATATATATATAATGGAATACTTCTCAGTCATAAAAAAAAGAACAAGATCATGCCCTTTGCAGCAACATGGATGGAGCTGGAGGCCATTATCTTAAGCGAACTAACACAGGAACAGAAAACCAAATACTGCATGTTCTCACTTATAAGTGGAAGCTAAACATTGAGTACACATGGACACAAAGAAGGGAACAGCAGGCACCAGGGCCTACTTAAGGGTGAAGGGTGGGAGGAGGGTGAGGATAAAAAAAACTACCTATTGGGTACTATGCTTATTACCTGGGTGATGAAATAATCTGTACACCAAACCCCCCGCAACACACAACTTACCTATATAACAAACCTGCACACGTACCCCTGAACCTAAAATACAAGTTAAGAAAAAAAGGGACCCACAGCATCTGGGAGCCACAGGAGAGGTTGGAGCAGCATCCTGGGGTACTTCAGGGTCATTAAATAAAGTACAAGGTCATCCTGCCTCAGCACTCTCCCTCCCTCCCCACCCGCACACACAAGCTGCACTTCTCTCATCTGTTCTCTCCCCCTTTTCTTTGTACAGCTCTTGCTTCAAATGTTCTGATCTTCTCCAAGACCCTCGCCCCCAGCTGTAATGTTCCGTGTTGCCTGATAGCAGATGTGTTAGTACCTCTCCTGGCCTTTCCTAGTTGGTGCAGTTTCATCTTCATGCATCAAGGACCTCACTTTAAGGGAAGCAGTATGTGTTTCATGTTCTCTGGATTCACGCAGACTTCGTTATTTATGACATTTTTGTTCAGCCCAATGTACTAACCATCTGCTCTTTGCCAGGGCAGACAGAGCTGAACGAAGCCCCATCCCTGCCCTCGAAGAGTTCCATGTCTAGTGATGGCATTGACAGTGACAGAAATAACTATCCCAAGAGGTGGAATAAGCTAAGTGTCATGTCAGAGGAAGAAACAAAGTGTCAGGAAGCCTGAAGGATGGAGAAGGCTGTCTATTAGCTGTAGATGAGTAGTTTCAAGTTAAGTCTCAATTCCCACTAGAGCAGCTGTCTGAATGAGCAGGGTGGAGGGGTTAGGAGGAAGCCTGTTCTGGGGCTTCAGGAGAATAATGATTGATAAAATGGGTGATTAGCCATCACTGAGCCATACAATGAGTTTGTCTGTTGACTTTTGTTTCCTCGCCTTGATCTGATCTTTGGCTCATGGGGGTAAAACGTTTTGATGGATCTTCATGAAGATCCTAACAACAATACTATGTCTGCACCAGTGGAAGTCCACACTGAGAGTAAAAAGGACTTGTATCATTTTGTTCAGCAATATTAACTTACCCCCCACCCCCAACAAGATTTAGACACTGGTGCCATTTAGAACTCCTGGAGGGCAAACGTGGAGACCGGAAAGCCAAGAAGAGCCAATAAACAAATGATTCTCAAATACATGACAAAAAAGATGTTCATCTTCTCTAGAGAAACTTCCCTGATCTCTTTCCCAAGTAAACTCTGTATCCTTCACTGTGCTCCTACAGTCTCCTGAACTACTTCCTTCTTACCACCTATCACATATTTATCTATTCATGTGGTTTCCTCCCCGACTAGAAAGTGAGCTCCTTGATGCAGAAACTATGTTATGCTTATCTCCATGGAGGGGATGTGATGAGTAATATGGACTCAAGATGTGGACCCCTATATAGCCAAATGAGTAAACCAAGTATGAATGAACTGGGTGTTCTGACATTCCACCCAAAAGGTGATTCCTCAGCCCTGATAGTGTGGTACTTCCCCTTCTCCCCCACCCTCAACCCACGCATCCAGTAGTTTTATCATAATGGATACTATTCTTGGACTCAACTCTTTGTAGCTCAGGGTTGCAAGAAGTGACAGCAAGGGTCATCCATGGTTCCAGGGAGCTCCATTCAGAGGGCCACCCTCTCACCCCTGAGCAGGGAAGCCCTTCTTTCCCCCTCACTTGTGGTCATTTAGAGGTTCCCCCCCCCACATCCTTGACCACCACTATATTCATAACTCCATTCTGGGCATTTTTACATTTGTCTTGTCATGTTGTCCTCAACCTCCCAGGCTGCAGACAGGCCCAGCAGCCACAGCAGTAACATGACCTTGAAAATGCCCTGGTATTTTTCATTTTCCTCAGCATATCCGTGGCCTGTGGTTTTACCTGACCCTGATCTGTTTTGCCACGGTACAGATTAGGAAAGCAAAACCTAGAGAAGTGAAAAGACCTGATCAAGGTCACACAGGATGCATGTCAAGACCCAAGGCCTACAATTCCCAGTTCAGAGATGACCAGAGTCCCTCTACAGGTATGACCTTCTGAGATTACACATATAGGCAATCTCTGTTAATAACAGACTCTCAGAAGAGATTACCAAAGTGCTGAGGAGCAGGGTAGAGAGGCAGTCAATCTGGACATCCTGGCCTCTCCTAGAGTGTTGGGGAGACCTCTGAGTGTTGGGGCCAAGAGGTGGCCTCCAGGAGGTGGATGCCTAGAACTAGAGAACTCCTGGAGGGCAAATGTGGAGACTGGAAACCCAAGGGGAGCTGGAACATAGGGTCATTTTGCCAAGATAAGAAACCAAGACGAGGCAAATCCTGTGGTTTTGCCAGTATGGTATCCAAGTCACTTTGGGGGAAATGGGAGCAGAAGCTGAATTGTGGATTGAAGAAACAAGTACACAATTATCCAGAGTGCAGCATTCTTCAGGATGAAATCTGTAATGCTGTAGTAAACTGAGGAATGAAGAGACCAATATGGGAGAACAGGAGGATATTTATTTTAAGGTGTGCACTGGCTCAGTGAATTCATATCCAAAAAGCTGAGCATTTGGAGCATTTCAACAAAGACAGAGTGGGGTTTTACAAGCAGGCTTGCAGAAGCAAAACTAAAGCAGTTAATCATATAATGATAGGTCCCATAGTCTATAGCATAGCATAACTTGTGGCCTTGCTTAGCTGGTGGCCTTACAGCTGCACTGAAAGAAAAACAGAACTGGCTAAATACAGACATTTGTCCCTTTTTTTTTTCTTCAGACTTGTTATGGAGGTGGGGTGTCTGGAGCCCATTCCTTTGGCTTCGACTTCTCAAACAACGTTATCTTATAACTGTCCTTGAAGCGAGCTTGCTAGGCAGAGGAAAACTTCTCCTTTATTGCCTGTTATTTTCTTGGAATGAATGAGTGCATATTTATTTTTTAAATTTCTGCCTCCATAGGACAGTGAGCGGTTGGAGCAGCTCATCGGTGACTGCCACACTCTGACTACAGAGCTGGCCAGCCCCACTCTTCTTACCATGGAAATGGACCTTGGTCACCGCCACAGCCTGCTCTTAGTTGTGAAAGGCAGAGGTCAGGAACTTCAGGAGATGTTAAATTCCTGAGAGAGGGGTAAAGCCTCACCAGCATTCATGAGGTCAAGAAAACTTTCAGTATTCCTTGTGAAGCATCTTCCTTCAAATTGTTTCTGGCCTTTTTCCATGCAGGCGATAGGGAATACTCCAGCAAGAGATGAACATAATTCAGTAAAGCTGTATTGAGTACCTACTGTGTGACAGGCATTGTGTCCGAGGGCGAGGGTAAGCACTTTAGATGGTGGTAGTGAAGTGTTATGGAGGGCTTCCAAAAAATTTGAGATATGTTTTTGTTTTTTTTTTGAAAAAAAATTTATGGCCAGGGGTGCTGGCTCATGCCTATAATCCCAGCACTTTCGGAGGCTGAGATGGGTGGATCATCTGAGTCAGGAGTTTGAGAATAGCCTGGCCAACATAGTGAAACCCCACGTCTATTAAAAATACAAAAACTTAGTTTGGTGTGGTGGCACATGCCTACAGTCCCAGCTACTCGGGAGGCTGAGGCATGAGAATCTCTCGAAACTGGAAGGTGGAGATGGCAGTGAGCCGAGATAGCTCCACTGCACTCCAGCCTGGGTGACAGAGCGAGACTCTGTCTCAAAATAAATAAATAAATAAATAAATAAATAAATAAATAAATAATATATATATATATAACTAATATATGTATTATATCTATATATTTATAACTAACATATATATCAGTTTGTTTTTCTTTTATAGAAAGTATACGTGGTCGTTTGCAAAACTGAAAAAATATAGGGAAGCATATATAAGAAAATTAAAATTGCCCTATCATTCTGTACCTAGCTTTATATTTTACTATTGGTACTTAATATTCTTTCATGACCTAGTATATCTTATTATTGCTACTTAGTCTTCTTCTGTGCCATTACAAACTTAAATATTACTCAAAAATGGCATGAATATACACATGATATTTTATTGCATAGATATACCAAAAGTTGTATTTAATCATTCACATCAGTCCATTTACATTGCTCTAACTTTTCTCTATTATAGGTTAAACTGAAATTAGCCAGGCAAAGACAGGGATAGGGGTATCCAGGCAAAGAACAAGAGACCTGCACTTGTTTCGGATATAAAATGGAGGTATTGAAATATTTCAATAATAATAAAATGGTAATAGTAATAATAGTAGATAGCACTTACTATGAACCAGTAATGTTCTCGGCCTTTCATAGGTATTAATGCATTTAATCCTCACAGTGGCCCTCTGAGTTAAGTGCTGTAACTATCCCCTTTCACACACGAAGAAACTGAAGCACAGAGAGGTACGTAACTTATGGAAAAACACACAGCTGACACACAGCAGATTTGAAACTGAAGCCAAGAAGTCTGGCTCTAGAGCATGAATAAATCAGAAAAGGGAAGTGTGCTGTATTATAAATTTATGTTAAAAGCATAACAACCAAAGTTTCTGTTATTCTGGTGTAAAATGTCTTTTCTGTTGTGCATTTTGCATGTCTTTGAACAGCAAGATCCATGGATTTCTCTCTTTTTCTTAGAAAATTTGGGGAATTACATGCTGGGTTTGCTGGCTCATGCCTATAATTGTAGCACTTTGGGAGGCTGAGGTGGGCAGATCACTTGAGGCCAGTTCGGGACCATCCTGGCCAACATGGTGAAACCCTGTCTCTACTAAAAATGCAAAAATTAGCCAGGCATGGTGGCACATGCCTGTAATCACAGCTACTCGGGAGGCTGAGGCAGGAGAATCACTTGAACCCAGGGGGAGGGGGAAGGGGAGGCAGAGGTTGCAGTGAGCTGAGATCGCCCCCACTGCACTCCAGCCTGGGCGACGGAGAGAGACTCTGTCAAAAAAAGACAAACAACAACAAGAAGAAGAAAAGAAAAGATGGGAAATTACATAATGTTTTTCCTTAATTGTTCTAAATATGAATCCCTGCAGCTGTCACGGGATGTGCCCACATTCATAGCATTTCACTCTGCCCTGTGGTTTACAAGAAGGTGAAATTGTGCTTTACCAAGTGGGCACCTCCTTCATTAAAAGCAAGGTAGAGAGCTGCACATTTAAGGAACCACAAGTAGTGCAAAAAGGCTGGGTCTTGGTTTTCAGGAAGTCTCAGCAGGCAAGTCACGAGGCCAGAGAGGTAGACAGGGGTCAGGTTACAGAGAAGCTTCCATTTCATGTCAGAAACGATGCAGAATGTTTGCAAGATTTTAAAAGGAGAGAAACAGAGACTGATTTGAGCTTTAGCAAAAGTATATTGGATGCTGTATGGTGAGATAGATTAAAAAGAGACAAAACTAGGCCGGGCGTGGTGACTCACTCCTGTAATCAATCGCAGCACTTTGGGAGGCCGAAGCAGGCAGATCACTTGAGGCCAGGAGTTCAAGACCAGCCTGGCCAACATGGTGAAACTCCGTCTCCACGAAAAATACAAAACATTAGCTGGGTGTGGTGCCACATGCCTGTAATCCCAGCTACTTGGGAGGCTGAGACACAAGAATTGCTTGACCTGGGAGACCAAGGTTGCAGTGAGCCAAGATCGAGCCATTGCACTCCAGCCTGGGCCACAGAGTGAGACCTTGTCTCAAAATAAATAAATAAATTAGAGACAAAAGTGGAAGAAAAAGCAGTTGCTAGGACCCTCTTCTAGTTGTCATGGTGAGAATCCATAAGAACCTGACCTAAGACAGAGGCAGTGGGAATGGTGAGAGGCAGATGCACGTAAAATTGAATGTAGACTAGAGTTGGTGATTGAATAACTGTAGGAGATGACAGAGAAAGAGGAGACAAGGGTGACTCTCAGCTTTCTGGACTGGAAGACTGATAGGAAGAGGCACTTTTTATTGGGTAGAGAATATGGAAGAAAGGGCAAGGGACCAGGAGAGGGATCGGATCCAGTACCAAGACATACGCCCTGACCTACTGCACACATGCAAGAAATGGCTAGAGAAAATAACAAGGACTCAGGACGGGAAACAAGGGGCTGGCTGCAGAAAGAAGGGGCTGTGTCAATGAGACATTGTCTGTCTAAGATACTAGACAGGGGACTCCAGGCTGCTGCTTCTGCCTGCATGAAAAGTGGGGCCCACACCTGCTGCAACCTGACCACGCAGACCACATATGAGAAAAGGAGGCCAAAGCTGGGCCAAACAGGATGTCATCATCAGTGAACCCATCCCTGGGGCGCCTGCTGCCAAAGGAGATAGAGGAGGGTGACACTTGGGGAAGTGGAGCCTCGGGGCCAGAATCTGGAAGGAAAGCAATGCTCCGCACTGGAGAGCACAGGCAGCAGCACACAGTGGGGAGGCAAGCTGAGCAGCGCAAGGCAAAGACGCCGCAGAGGACAAACTGCCCAGCCAGGATTCCCCGCACTGTGGACTGGGACGCTCTGCTGGACTGAGGTGGGGCCTCGCAGAGGCTGAAATGAGCCAGAACGCTGGGACACAAATCAAATCCCTCCATGCTGAAGGGTCCATGGTGTTGACTGCTGGCTACTTACTGTCACCACCACCTAAGGAATCTTGGGTGGTCAGTTTCCCAAAGATCAAAACTGTGACACCATGGCCTTTTTCTCTTTTCTTTTCTTTTCTTTCTCTCTCTCCTTCCTTCTTTGCTTCTTTCTTTCTTTCGTCTTTCTTTCTTTTTTCTTTCTTCTTTCTTTCTCTTTCTTCTTTTTCTTCTTTCTTTCTTTCCTTTATCTTTAAAGCAAATCATAAACTTTTAGATCCAAGTTACTGAAAACTTCTTTATATAAGTTTAATTTACATTTCTCTTTCAAATTGTATCTTTATTGGGACCCTCAATTCTTTTTTTTTTTTTTTTTTTTTTTTTTTGAGACGGAGTCTCGCTCTGTCGCCTAGGCTGGAGTGCAGTGGTGCGATCTCAGCTCACTGCAGCATCCTGGGTTCAGGTGATTCTCCTGCCTCAGCCTCCCGAGTAGCTGGGACTACAGGCATGTGCCACCACGCCTAGCTAATTTTTTGTATTTTTAGTAGAGACAGGGTTTCACCATGTTGACCAGGCTGGTCTCAAACTCCTGGCCTCAGGAGATCCGCCTGCCTCAGCCTCCCAAAGTGCTGGGATTACAGGCATGAGCCACCGTGCCTGGCTTCAATTCTCATTTTATTTAAAAATTCTTCCTTGGCTCTGGAGACCTGTCATGCTTCTGACTGTCTCTCCTGATTCTGTGTGTGTGTATGTGTGTGTTTGTTTTATTTTAAGTTCAGATATGCATGTGCAGGTTTGTTACATAGGTAAACTTGTGTCATGGGGGTTTGGTGTACAAATGATTTCATCACCCAGGTATTAAGTCTAGTACCCATTAGTTGTTTTTCCTGATCCTCTCCCCGTTCCCACTCACCATGGCCTTTCTTATCCTACCTTTCCCATTAGTATTTCAACTCCATAGTGAGAGTTCAGGCATAACACATATTGTTAGTCAAATCAGTGATTTATTTATTCATCAAATAGATATTAAGCTTCACTATATGTCAGGCATTGTGGTTATCACTGGAGATACACTGGTAACTAACACAGACAGTGGAATATAAAACTGACCAATTCCACCTGCATGACCCTGGGTACGTCATTTCAACTGGGAACATCAATTTACCACCTAGGAAATGTCTAAGACCCTCCCAACTCAACCCCGTCCTACATCTCCCTTACATTATTCATTCAACGTATATAAATTAAGCAAATGCTATGCGTGCAACTATATTTTACTCCAAGCCAAAACACATGGCAAAGGGCTATTTCCTGGTTTGGGGATTGATAGAGAAAGTCTTACAAATATATAAACACTGAGATAGAATTATATATTCAATAAATCATCTTTATTATAAAGAACACAATAATAAGAGATAGAGACTAGGTCAGGAGGTTCATCATGTTATAATCATCATGTACTAGGATTTGGTTTAAATCAACCAACGAGACATGGTCTGGAGTTGGTTTACAATCTGAGAAGACACTCTAAAAAATCTACCATTATAGGATTGGTATGAGGATCAAATATAATAAGTTGTGGTACAGGACGTGTAGCGTGTGGTACCTAGAGTCAGACTACCTGGATGTGAATCCCTGCTCTGCTAGTCATCAGCTTTACGGCCTTCGGAAAATTGCTTAACCTCTATTTACTTTGGTTTCTTCACCTGTTCAACTAAGAAAGTATACTGGTAACTAAATCATAGGGTTGTTTTGAAGACAGTTCAAACATGTAAATCCATATTATGGAAATCAGCACATGGTGATCACTCGATAAATATTACTTATTGTGAACTAAAATTTGTGTAGTTGCTAATCTATCATTAGTACAAAATCAAAGTTTGTTTCCAAACTCCCACATTGCCTTTATTAAACTATAAATTTCTTGAGAAAAAGAAACTAAAATAAAATCAACAGGACATGGTCTAGGTTTTTGAAGAGCAAATTACATAGGTAACTAATTATAACACACTGTACTGTAATCACAGAGATAGAGGATGTCCCTTATCAGAACACTGACTGATTCAGCAGTTTCCATTTCCTTTTCTCACTCTCCACAACTCACAGAAGCCAGCTCCCAGAAAAGGAATCACGAGTATGGAGGGGGTTCCCCTAAGAAGTGAGTGACGGAACGCAATTCAGGGTATCAACGAGAGCTGAGAGGCAGAGGGTGGGGTGAGAAGGAGTCATTGCCTGTGATGTAGGTTTCTAATGAGACAAGTGGCAGAGATACCTTTATTTGGAATTGGTAGCAATAGGGGAAGATACGTGGATGCCAAAGCTCTGATGAAACCTACCACGGCCCCTGATCTTGCCTCTGCTTCTCCTCCCTCAAGACTGGCACTAGCCATCACTGGGGTGGAATGGAAACAGAGCTCATGTGTATTAAAAGACCTAACTCTAAAGACACTCAGGAAGGACAGAATTTCAAAGGCGTGGTCCCACTTGGCTTCTGTCCTCCGTTGTTCTCCAGCATCAAGTGTGTCAACTCTAACCCCTTTGGGGGGAATTCAAGGCCTGTCCTGGTTTGGTCCCAATTTACCTTTATCATCCATATTCACCCCCACTGCTCTGCAGCTCCACTGAAGCACCCCCTCTTTCCTCTGAGCCACAATGTCACACCCAGGACTCTGCCTCAGCTGGGCCTCCACTGCCCACCCATCTATAGATGCCTAAATCCCGGGCAGTTATCCAGACACAACTAAAGTTCCATCCCTTCCATGAAGCCTTCCCCAACCCTCTGGTGGAAGGTCACTTCTTCCTCATGGGGTTCTGAGCTTTCATTTCTTTTTCTACTAAGAGTTTTACAATTACCTGTTCATACACTCTACCTGCCCCCATGAGACCAGGGGCATCTCAGAAACAAAGATCATTAAAACCAACTAAATCTATTTCTCATTATAAAATGAGATATGCTGATTGATTGCAAAATAATAAAATAACAAAGTATGGAAAAGAAAAAAAAAAGCATATAATCTGGCTGAGAAGGTAGAGACCCTTCCACACCACTGAAATTATGTGTTGAAAAGAATAAGGAAAAAACTGCTTCAGTTTGGCATTATTTATGTAAGTATAGTATAGGATCCTTAAAATGGTTCAAAGAAATGGGAAATCAAGACTTCATTTTGGCAAAGCCCATTGAACAGAAACTGTAGCATATTTATCAGTAATTTCTTTCAGATTAAACAACTGACAACAACCCACTTTTCAACCAGTGATGTTGGAAATGTTTTAAAACAAAATTAGTTCATAAATTTGTGGGTTGACCAAGAAGGTAATAAAGTCTCACTAAATAAAATGAGGAAAATTCAGAAAAAGAAAAAAATAAGAAAATAAATCACCCATGGATCTAAGCACTATTCATTCTTTAAGGCATGTATTTCCAAGCCTTTTAATTTTTTCCATGCCTAGAGTTGGCATGGCATATATATATCTTTATACAATTCTTCAAATTTTATAGAATTTGTATAATGTTTTATCTTGCTTTTTTTTTAACCACTGATGTTATAAGCATATTTATGCCACTTCATTCACGTTAGAGACTTAATAATAAAGGATCTTGTGGATAATTTATCATTCCCTGATAGAGAAAAATTTAGCTTTGCTTATTTTAGAGTTATAAATGATGCTGGGTCAGGTATCTTTATGTTTGAAGATGGCTCCATATTTGGGTTGTTTCCACAGAACTCTTTCCCAGAAATGCTTTTTCTAGGTTAATGGCTACACATATTTCTAGGCACCTGACATACTGACACCCACCTCTAAAGTATTTTTATGATCCACAACTAGCGTTTAACACAGCGCCCCAGTCACTCCGAGACTAATAAATAGACAAATGACTGAAACGTGACCTCATGCTTTCTATTCCTCCAGCTTTCATTGAGTTCCTTTCCTCTGGGAGGACTGGGGGTTGTCTAGCCCTCCACAGCATCAGCCCATTGACCCTATCCTTGTGGTTATAGCAGCTGAGGAAGCAGAATTACAGCTCTGTGGGAAGGAATGGGGCTGGAGAGTTCATGCATAGACCAATTCTTTTTTTTTTTTTTTTTTTGAGATGGAGTTTCACTTTTGTTGCCCAGGCTGGAGTGCAATGGCATGATCTCAGCTCACCACAGCCCCCACCTCCTGGGTTCAAGCGATTCTCCTGCCCTCAGCCTCCCGAGTAGCTGGGATTACAGGCATGTGCCACCACGCCTGACTACTTTTGTATTTTTAGTAGAGATGGAGTTTCTCTTTCTTGGTCAGGTTGGTCTCAAACTCCTGACCTCAGGTGATCTGCAGCCTCGGCCTCCCAAAGTGTTGGGATTACAGGTGTGAGCGACCATGCCTGGCTGCATAGACCAGTTCTTATGAGAAGGGATCAACTAAGAATAGCCTTGGGTTGACACACACCCCTCTTCACACTCACAGGAGAAACCCCATGAAGCTAGAACCAGTCATGAGTTGAGAGCTGAGAGTTAGAGAGTAGCTCAGAGATGCTATTCTTGGATATCCTGAGCCCCTGTGGTCACCAGGGACCCTGAGTTGTGCAACACTCAGCATGACAGCATCACTACACTTAAAAATTTCCCTCCTCACCCCCAGATTCCATTTCCCCATCCGCCAGGGCTGCCTATAAAGAGGAGAGATGGCTTCAGACATCAGAAGGACGCAGGCAGCAAAGAGTAGTCAGTCCCTTCTTGGCTCTGCTGACACTCGAGCCCACATTCCATCACCTGCTCCCAATCATGCAGGTCTCCACTGCTGCCCTTGCCGTCCTCCTCTGCACCATGGCTCTCTGCAACCAGGTCCTCTCTGCACCACGTGAGTCCATGTTGTTGTTGTGGGTATCACCACTCTCTGGCCATGGTTAGACCACATCAGTCTTTTTTTGTGGCCTGAGAGCCCCGAAGAGAAAAGAAGGAAGTTCTTAAAGCGCTGCCAAACACCTTGGTCTTTTTCTTCACAACTTTTATTTTTATCTCTAGAAGGGGTCTTAGCCCTCCTAGTCTCCAGGTATGAGAATCTAGGCAGGGGCAGGGGAGTTACAGTCCCTTGTACAGATAGAAAAACAGGGTTCAAAACGAATCAGTTTGCAAGAGGCAGAATCCAGGGCTGCTTACTTCCCAGTGGGGTCTGTTCTTCACTCTCCAGCTCACCCTAGGTCTCCCAGGAGCCCTGTCCCTTGGATGTCTTATGAGAGATGTCCAGGGCTTCTCTTGGGCTGGGGTATGACTTCTTGAACCGACAAAATTCCATGAAGAGAGCTAAGAGAACAGTCCATTCAGGTATCTGGATCACATAGAGAAACAGAGAACCCACTATGAAGAGTCAAGGGGAAAGAGGAATATAGACAGAAACAAAGAGACATTTCTCTGCAAAACCCCCCAAATGCCTTGCAGTCACTTGGTCTGAGCAAGCCTGCCCTCCTCAACCACTCAGGGATCAGAAGCTGCCTGGCCTTTTCTTCTGAGCTGTGACTCGGGCTTATTCTCTCCTTTCTCCGCAGTTGCTGCTGACACGCCGACCGCCTGCTGCTTCAGCTACACCTCCCGACAGATTCCACAGAATTTCATAGCTGACTACTTTGAGACGAGCAGCCAGTGCTCCAAGCCCAGTGTCATGTAAGTGCCAGTCTTCCTGCTCACCTCTAGGGAGGTAGGGAGTGTCAGGGTGGGGGCAGAAACAGGCCAGAAGGCCATCCTGGAAAGGCCCAGCCTTCAGGAGCCTATCGGGGATACAGGACGCAGGGCACTGAGGTGTGACCTGACTTGGGGCTGGAGTGAGGTGGGTGTTACAGAGTCAGGAAGGGCTGCCCCAGGCCAGAGGAAAGGGACAGGAAGAAGGAGGCAGCAGGACACTCTGAGGGCCCCCTTGCCTGGAGTCACTGAGAGAAGCTCTCTAGACGGAGATAGGCAGGGGGCCCCTGAGAGAGGAGCAGGCCTTGAGCTGCCCAGGACAGAGAGCAGGATGTCAGGGCCATGGTGGGCCCAGGATTCCCCGGCTGGATTCCCCAGTGCTTAACTCTTCCTCCCTTCTCCACAGCTTCCTAACCAAGAGAGGCCGGCAGGTCTGTGCTGACCCCAGTGAGGAGTGGGTCCAGAAATACGTCAGTGACCTGGAGCTGAGTGCCTGAGGGGTCCAGAAGCTTCGAGGCCCAGCGACCTCAGTGGGCCCAGTGGGGAGGAGCAGGAGCCTGAGCCTTGGGAACATGCGTGTGACCTCCACAGCTACCTCTTCTATGGACTGGTTATTGCCAAACAGCCACACTGTGGGACTCTTCTTAACTTAAATTTTAATTTATTTATACTATTTAGTTTTTATAATTTATTTTTGATTTCACAGTGTGTTTGTGATTGTTTGCTCTGAGAGTTCCCCCTGTCCCCTCCACCTTCCCTCACAGTGTGTCTGGTGACAACCGAGTGGCTGTCATCGGCCTGTGTAGGCAGTCATGGCACCAAAGCCACCAGACTGACAAATGTGTATCAGATGCTTTTGTTCAGGGCTGTGATCGGCCTGGGGAAATAATAAAGATGTTCTTTTAAACGGTAAACCAGTATTGAGTTTGGTTTTGTTTTTCTGGCAAATCAAAATCACTGGTTAAGAGGAATCATAGGCAAAGATTAGGAAGAGGTGAAATGGAGGGAAATTGGGAGAGATGGGGAGCGCTGCGACAGAGTTATCCACTTCACAAAGTTCTGGAACATTGAAACTACGAATATGTTATAACTCAAATCGTAATATGCACGCTCTAGGAGAATTAACTACTTGAATGGCCACCATTAAGCAGAGTATTCTGTAGGGCATATTCATGATGAATCAAGCTCTTAATAGCAATTATTTACATTGTTGAGGCTTACTCCTCCTACTGAGTGCTTTTTATACATTGTTCATTTAATCTTACCAATGCAATAGTACAGCTTAGGTACTATTAATACCTCCACTTGACAGAAAAGTAACCCAGGGCTCAGAAAGGTTAGACAACTTGGCTGAGGTTACACAGCACGTAAACGGTCAATTGTGTTCCAAAACTGGACTTTTATTGAACTACAGACTATGCTGTTAACCATTGACCAAGTTATTTCCCAAAGTATGACCCGCCTATACTCAAATCTTACCCCATTCTTTAACAGATGATACTTTATCCATTGCAACCACTTCCTGTCAGGATTCTGAGTTGACATAGAGTGTTTCAGCAGTGATTATTTAAGCCAATTACATCAGGATCTTTAGGTGTAGACCTGGGAACTGATATTTTTATCAAGCTCATGAGGTGTTCCATAGCATGTTAATGACTGAGAGCCACTGTCAATAGAATTCACCACTGTTTTCTAAATGTGGTAAGTCTCTGCATATGGCAACAGGTGTATTATACATTATTTCTCTAGAATCTACACTCTACAAAATAAATAGCTAATGTTAGAGAATGAAAAGACAACCAGCTTCTGTGTGGAGCAGGATGCTGTCTATAGGTTTGAAAGGTAAGTTATTTAATAGATGGATTGCTTGCATTATATGTACAAGAAATGCATACTAAGCTAGGGTCCTTTTTGCAGAAGAAAGGGAAATTCAAAATATTTGTGTGAAAACCAAACGTGTTAATTTTTATGAGCTATGCTTATTTCATTTTGTTTAAAATAATCTAATTTCTGTGTCCAAACATGTTTAGAATTGTAGGGCTCAAACTCTTTAAAGCATAATTAAACACTACTACTTAGCAGATATTAAAATGCACATACTATGTGACCTACATCCCATTTGACCTGATCCCATTTCTAGGAATCTGCTTCATAGAAACACTGCCAAAAGATAAGAATATGTAGACATGAGGATATTCTTTCAAGTATGGTTGGTAAAGAGCAAAGAAATGCAAACAGTCATCAGTAGGGGATTAATAAGTAGAGGATTAAGATGTCCATCAATGGAATATTCTGCAGTCAGTAAACAAAAGCAGCACACATCTATAACTGTGGAAAGTGTCCTCAATATTCTAGGTAAAATGCATATCTATTTACATTCAGTATATGCATATATATTCTCTACATATGCTACAAAACTGTCTGTAAAGGATATTATTTTGTTTTTATTTTTAAAAGCCATATACACACATATATTTACATAGGCAAATATTTGGAAAGACACACATCAAATAGCTAACTGTCGTTTCTTTGAGGAAATGAGGCTTTTTTTAAATTTTTTTAGGAATGAGGGTTTTTCCTTTTTATATTCTGCACTTTTAAAACTTTGAGTTATTTTCTGATTAGCTTGCATAGCTTACCTCTCTGGTCTCATCTTACCCTGTTCTTTGATGGGTGATATTCCATCCATCACAACCACTTTCTGGTAGGGATTCTGAGTTGATGCAGAGAGAATAGAGCTCAGCCTGGCTTACAGCATTTTGATGCCATGATGGCTTTCGTATAATGAGGGTACAGCAACAAACACATCCTTTTGACAAGGCTGTTCTCTGTCTCTCTCTTTCACACACACACACACACACACACACACACACACACACACACACACACACACGAGCAGCTTTTGTCCCCATAGATGCAGTGAAGGTGTCATCATTCCTTCTTTATTGACTTTCAGGAAAAAAATATAGGGGCATACAATATTTGCCTGCACTGAATTGTTTCACAAGGTCCAGAAACCCAAAGCTAAACAAAGTTTAATCATGCCCAATATTCCCTAAATACAAGTGTTATGAACAAACAGAGTAAGTTAAACACAGACTCCTGTTAGGGAACTGGAGAATGGGAATTGCATTTTTAAGCAGTTCAGCTGATCTGGCAGTCCCTAGCTCTCCTCCCTGGGGGAATGTCCTCCACGGACAATCTGAGATGTGCAATGTGGAGGATCTGCTTTCTGGAGGCTGCTGACTTCCTGTCTGTGTGAGTTAGCCTGAGGTTGCCTTAGGTATTGTGTAATCAGCGACTGTTTGGAACCAGTCTTGTGGTTTCTTTGGCAATGTGACTCCCTTCTAATGTCCATAGGCTACTATTTGCTTCTGATCAATTCCATGGGCCAGGTAGCCAGAAGCAGAGATGTTTTCAGTTACAAAGCTCGAATTTGCATTTTAAATGGGGTTGGGGATAGGCACTTTCTTTTTTCTTTTCTTTTTTTTTTTTTTTTTGAGATGGAGTCTTGTACTGTCTCCTGGGCTGGAGTGCAATGGTGTGATCTTGGCTCACTGCAACCTCAGCCTCCTGGGTTCAAGAGATTCTCCTGCCTCAGCTTCCCAAGTAGCTGAGATTACAGGTGCCTGCCACCAAATCTGGCTAAATTTTTGGATTTTTAGTAGAGACGGGGTTTCACTATGTTGGCCAGGCTGGTCTTGAACTCATGACCTCGTGATCCACCTGCCTCAGCCTCCCAAAGTGCTGGGATTACAGGTGTGAGCCACCGCGCCCAGCCAGGGATGTGCACTTTCTAGCACAGACCTCACTACCAGTGTCACCTCTACCACCAAGTCCCTGGTGAGAGACCTCTGCCTGCATCTTGGCCCATGTGGAGGTGATGAATATTTGACCCTTGGCCTCATTAGGTCTCTCATCTTCCTGTCTCTGCTCATGCTAACTTTATCTTAGAGTAGAAAATTCTGCCATTACAGCCCTTCAAGTCTCCAGATTACTGGGTTCTCAGTCAATAAGTTGGAAGGGCCTTTTTTAGCAAGTTCAATTTCTTCCTTTTTCAATTTCAGATGAGCCCATTTCAAAGCAGCCTAAACTCTTTCTTAAAGGACCTTACTGATGTAATACATAGCTACTAAGTTCCAATATTCAGAATCTTCTTTTTTTTTTCTTTTTTGAGACGAAGTCTTGCTCTGTCGCCCAGGCTGGAGTGGAGTGCAGTAGCGCGATCTCAGCCCAGTGCAAGTTCCGCCTCCCAGGTTCACGCCATTCTCCTGCCTCAGCCTCCCAAGTAGCTGGGACTACAGGTGCCCACCACTACGCCCGGCTAATTTTTTGTATTTTTAGTAGAGACGGGGTTTCACCATGTTAGCCAGGATGGTCTTGATCTCCTGACCTCGTGATCTGCCTGCCTCGGCCTCCCAAAGTGCTGGGATTACAGGCGTGAGCCACTGCGCCTGGCCTATATTCAGAATCTTTTCTATCACATTCCTTAATGCTGCAGCGTTGGTATTTGGCACAGGCTTTTAGCACCAAAATAAGACAGACCATAGTTCAACCAGCACGTGCAATACCTTGTAATGGGTATGGCAAAAGGTAGTGTCCAGACAGGACAGCATGGTGAATATCACCTGGGAACATGGGAGAAATGAACATTCTAAGCCCCACTTCCTTTCTTAATGGACTAGGGCCCAGCAACCTGTGTTTTCACAAGGCTCCAGGTAATTCTGATGCATGTAAGGTTTAAAACTCCTTCCATTTCACAAGGTCCTCCCCAAATTACCACTTTCTCATTTCAGCCAGTTCCACACTTCAGTCAGGGCCTGTGACTTTTAACAAACCCTGTGTCTCTGCACAGATGCAGATCTCGTATCTCTCAGGATGCTGGCAGTTTCCAGGCAGAAAGCAAACAAGCAAACCAAACTCAAAGAGGCTTTGAGTAAATGCACGTTGTGGCTCCAAGACTATAGGGCATCGAGGTGGCCCTAGCTCCAGGCAAGGCTGGACGCAGCAGCCCTATGGTATCTCATGAGTCCTCTTTGCTTCTCTTTCTGATCTCCCTTTCCTGTGAGAGGCCCTGGGTGGCTGCCAGTACCTGCCAGTGTTACATGAATCCTTTGTTCATTTTCTGCAAGGAAGAGTGAGTCTGTGATCCCACTGGAAAAAAACATCACTAGGCCCTTTCGGATGTGACTGACTTAGGAACCGAATTTCCTAACCTGTCGCTGTGGTTATGGGGATGGGTTTCATTGATTTGCTTAAGTTAATCAAGGCACATAACTTGAATCTTTGGGTTTACTGAATTTTACATAAACTTAAAGCCTGAGAATGGTGCAGAAGGGAGATTTTCCTGAGGAAATGTGAGTTTCGGGCATCAGGAAACATGCAGAATAGATGCTGGTTAGGAAAAACAAGTTTTCACTATAATGTGTTTGTCTTTTTCCTGTTATTTTTGTTTTCGTGATATAAAAGGCACTAATACTTTGTGTGTGGTAAACATTTCTTCTCCTATGCTCTCTAGATTAGAAACTATTAGTCGTCCACTTTCCTGAATGACTTTATTTTTAATAAGATGCTGACTCGTGTATTTCCTGTTGCACAGTGAATGACTATTGCCCAAACCTAGGGCAAAAGAGACATAAACTCTTCATGATGTCAAGGTAACCACTAGAAAATGGGGCTACATACCCACGCCAGAACATACTAAGAAAGGTAGAACTGGACCTGCCATACGCACTACCCACCTTCCTTCATAGAAGCCAAAGATCGGGCACTGAGGATGCAGGAGGAGATGAGACAATTCTTAGAACAATGAGTCCTCAATAGAAATTGTCCATATTAAGGAACAGAAGGGAGTCCTTTCATAGTGGATGGACAAAGGGGTAGACAAGGAGACTGCAAGCGAAGGAGACACTTCATACTTGCCGTTTTTATTCCTCCTCTTTCCTGGGAACTGCACCCACAAAAATACATTATGTGGGATTGACCACATCCCAAATGCTAGGTGGCTCCTGATTAAAATAAGCTGATTTGCATCTTGAGTTTTTTAAGCTTACCATAACATAAGCATTTCTCATGTCACTGCATTGTTTGTAAAGGCTGCCTAATAGCCAATCAAGGGAAGATCCCATAATTTTCTTAGCCATTTCCATATCATAGGCATTTAAATTGGGTCCAATTTTAAGTTGCTATAAATATGCTGGGGACCAAATACACTTATGCATTGTTCATTTTTTCCATATTTGAATTTATTTCTATGGAGAATAGATTCCTAGACATGGACCCTCTTGGCCAAAGGCTAAGAACATTTATTTCAAGGTTCCTTATGCATATTAGCACCCATATTAAACACATCTTTAGGTCCTTGGCTTAGCGCATATCTCTCTTGAATGAACAGATGTCTGAAAGCCTGGCTGTACTCTCATCGCTCAGTAGCTCAGGCTTTGCTAATACAGCTCTGTCCATCTGTGTGTGATTGAAGTTGGGCTGTGCTGCTCAGGACTCCTGGCATCATTGCATAAGTCAAGTCTACACCGTTAGAACAGCTGTGGGATAACATAGAAGTTTCTGCTCTGCCAGGGAAAATATGACTACAGAGCTTTAGTGAGAAGGAACTAGCTAAGTGTCGTCCGGGGTGACAACAATATCTCACCTCCTCTCACTGTGGAAACCACTTCCCCATAAACAGCCCCAAGACAAGTGAGCACTTGAACTGTTCCTGCAAATACCCTGAGCCCTGTGGTTACCCAAGACCCCCGTGCATGTGCAAGTCAACAAGACACCACGGTGCTTAAAAAACATCCTGTCTCATGAGCCCCGGTTTCCATCTTCCCATGACTCAGGGCTTACCTCTTTAGAGAAGGGGACACAGCTTGGACCCCAGAAGGGGGCTGGTGACTGAGTGCGCAAGCCCTGTCCTCTTTTGCTCACTTTCTTGGGCCCCCACGTCCTCCTCATTCACAATGGCCCCCTGTTCCTGGGCCTCCTCTCACGAGTCAGTCTTTGTCCTGCCTTTTGCTGTTGTTCCCCTCACTCTCTAGCTGGGGTCAAACCACATCACCAAAGTCCAAGGACAAAGGTACCCAAGTGAAACAGAGAACTTCCTAAGGGATTTTCAAAATGCCCTGGGCTATCTGTTCAGGAAGATTTTCTTCCCCAAAGAGTTTTCAGTTTTTATTCTATAAACCTTAAAGGCAGGATACGGTCTTGTCCTACTTAGGGAAGGAGAACATTGAGTAGGTTTCAACAAGCGGCAGAACCCAGCTACAATCCCGGTGGCCAGCTGAGTCATAAAATTGCCACAGGTCTGCCTCACAGGTGATTTGCAGAGATGGCCTCTTGCTGCAAAAATCTCTTCTTAGACCATATTATGTTCCACCAGTAAAGCTGGAATAAGAGGCAGAATATTTAATTAGCTGCAATTCCTACAGAGGGAGACGGAGGCCAAACCTAAGGCTCAAACAGAAATGGAAGGGAAAAGTGGGGAAACAAGAAATCCCCAACTTCCTGCTGGTTCTTCTCACCCCCACATCCCCAACTTCCTGCCAGTTCTTCTCATCCCCAAATCATCCCCTGAACAGTGCTGTCTCCATCTGCTTCCTTCTGATTTTATCACTGGGTAGAAGGAGTTGGCTCATTTGTCCCCAGTGAAAAATGACTCAGGGTCACGCTGCTCCTTCCCTCAGAATGCCCAGGTCCCCAAGCACCCAGGCATCTGCTGCTTTTCCTAGGATCCCCAGAAGCCCCCTAGCAAAATGGTAGATGGCAATTATGAGACTCACTGCTGGTGCCAGGTGAGGGCTGGTGCTCCTGCCCATCTCTAGAGAGAAGCAGGACTTGGAGGGTGGCAGCCTGCAAGGGCACCAGTCGGTTTGAGGGCCATCCTGGGGACCCCAGGCCTTTGAGGTCCTATCTGGTGGTGGGACACAGGGAAGGGCCATAGAGGTGTTTTCTGGCCTGACCTGGGGTCTGCAAGGAACCACGGAAGAGCTGCCCCTGACAGAGGGAAGACAGGAGGAAGTGTTAGCCGGAAGAGGCTGCCTGAAGAGACCCCCTGAGCCACTGATGAAAGGTCTAGGGAGCTGAGGTTGGACAAAGAGTCCTGAGCAAGTGGACAGGCCCGACACTTGCCAAGACAGAGAGAAGAAGGTAGCACGGAACCAGGAATTCTCTTGCTGATTCCTCAATTTTTATAACTGTCTCTTTTAACAGCTTCCAGAATGAAAGTGGCTGAGGCTGGCAGGTCTGTGCCAACCCCATCGAGTTCTGGTGCCAAGTGCATCACTGACCTCAGAGTCGAATCCCTGAGTGACCTGGAAGCAACAAGACACTGTTACATTTGTGGCAAATTAGGAGGCAGGGACCCAGGCCCTAGGGACGTCCCTTCAATTCCTGAACCTACCCCTACCCAAGCAACCACACTCTGGGGCTCTTCTTAACATGCATTTCAACTTATCTATTTAATTTTTGTAATGTATTTCTATGCGTTCTTGACTGCTTGTCGGAAGGGACCTCACAACACCCTCTACGCCCCTTCCTCAGCCCCTCCAGTCACACAGCGGCTGACACATATTCAGGCACATGGCTATTCTTTGCGGCTCTCGTACAAGGTGGGTGGCTACGTTCAGCTTTTTCTAGAGGACATTGTTCCAAAGCTGTCAACCAACAAATATTTATAGAACATTATTTATCATTTCTGTGTTCAGCTATGTAAAACAATGAATTCGTTTTGAGTAAACCAGTCTTAAACTGTTGGTGATCCTATTGGCTTTGTTTTGTGACAAAGCAAGGTGGTGGGATGGGAGGGGAAGAGCAGAAAACTCTGAAGAGGGGAAGTCAGCAGAAAGGAAATGACGGTAATGCCTCTCCCCAAATAATGAAACTCTATTTTTTAAAACAATGATTATTTTATAAAGTATTATGCACCCAGTGTATAATGCATATGCACTAGGTAAATTCATGCTTGATATATATATTCATGCATTTAAGCTTATTTTTCTCATGAGTCAAGCTCTCTTAAAAATTATTCATTGTGCTTCAAATTCTAACAGTGTCTCCAAGGGCTAAGTATTATTAATATTCCCATTTAACAGAAGAGGAAATGTTGGCTCAGAGAGTTAAAACAACTTGTCCATGGCCATGCAGCGAATAAATAGTGTAACTAATATGCAATCCTATGAGCATTCCAGAACCACCTGGGATGGTCATTTAAAATGCTCACAAGAGAACTGGGTTTGGATGCGGGAATCTAGATTTTTACCAAACCCCCAAGTGATACACATGCAGACTAAAGACAAGAAACTACTGAACTTGTCAATAAGACTTTTTTTTTTTTTTTTTTTGAGACTGAGTCTTGCTCTGTCGCCCAGGCTGGAGTGCAGTGGCATAATCTTGGCTCACTGCAATCTCTGCCTCCCAGGTTCAAGCAATTCTTCTGCCTCAGCCTCCCAAGTAGCTGGGAGAACAGGTGCCTGCCACCACACCCGGCTAATTTTTGTATTTTTAGTAGAGACGGGTTTTCACCATATTGGCCAGGCTGGTCTCAATCTTCTGACTTTGTGATCTGACCACCTCGGTCTCCCAGTTTTTTGTTTGTGTGTTTGTTTTGTTTTGTTTTGACTTGTTTTGAGATGGAGTCTTGCTCTGTTGCCCAGGCTGGAGTGTAGTGGTGCCATGCCGGCTCACTGTAACTTCTGCCTCCCGGGTTCCAGTGATCTTCCTGCCTCAGCCTCCCAAGTAGCTGGGATTACAGGTGCATGCCACCACACCCAGCTAATTTTTGTATTTTTAGTAGAGACGGGGCTTCACCATGTTGGCCAGGCTGGTCTTGAACTCCTGAACTTGAGAGAGCTGCCTGCCTCGACCTCTCAAAGTGCTGGGATTACAGGCATAAGCCACTGCACCCGGCCTCAATAAGAATTTAACCACTCTTTCAAAAATAAGACACACATGGTAATAGACATCTTACCTGGGTATTATTTCCCTAGAATCCATGCTCCACAAAATCAGTGGTTAACATTAGAGAAAGGAAAGACAGTCAGCCAATATATACAATAAGACTTCTATCGTGAATGCAGAATTACTTGATGGATTGCCTAGACTGAGGTTAAGAAACTATGGTCCTCAGAACAAATCTAGTATGACCCCTGTTTTGTAAACAAAGTTTTGTTGAAACACAGCCACTCCCACTCTTTTATATATTATCTATCCCAGCTTTCCAAGACAAAGGTGGAGTCACATTGTTGCAACAGAGATTATATAGCCCACAAAGAACAATATTTACTATCTGGTCTTTTATAGAAAACATTTGCTAACTCCTGGCCTATGTTTTAGTATATACTTTTTTAAGTATAAGAAAGTTAGACTGAGTCAGGATTCCTGCTGTACAATGCAAGGGGGAGAAATTCAACACACTTGTGAGAAATGCAAAATATATTAACTTTTTGATAAGCCCTACTTACTTTGTGTGTTTAAAACAATCTATTTTTTAGTATCAAAAAGTGACATTTTGGTAATCAGCATTTTTAAAAAGCAATGACACAGTCTGTAAAAAAATTTAAAATTTACATACTCTTCAGTCTATCTTATTTCTAGGAATCTATTTCAAGAAACACTATCTAAGGAAACAAAGGAGGGCCAAGCACGGTGGCTCACCCCTGTAATCCCTGCACTTTGGGAGGCCAAGGCAGGTGGATAGCTTGAGGTCAGGAGTTCGAGACCAGCCTGGCCAACACGGGAAAATCTCATCTCTACTAAAATACAAAAATTAGCCGGGCATGGTGGCAGGCGCCTATAATCCCAGCTACCTGGGAGGCTGAGGCAAGAGAATTGCTTGAACCTGGGAGGCAGAGGTTGCAGTGAGCCGAGATCTTGCCACTGCACTCCAGCCTGGGCGACAGAGTGAGACTCTGTCTCAAAAACAAAAACAAAAACAAAAAAGAACCCCCCCCCCACACACACAAAAATTGTTGGCACACCGCTGTTGTTTGCAGCTCTGTTTGTAAAAACAACCAATATAAATCAACTCTTTAAAATATGGATAGTTTAAACCATGATGGTACAGCCACATAATAAACATGAAATTACTGAAAAGAATAAAGTAGATATACATACTGAAAACAAAGCTATCTATGATCTTAATGTAAAACTAGGTATATAGAATATATTCCATATGTGGAGAAAGAAGCAGAATGGCAGTTGCCAGGGGCCGGGGGAGGAGGAATGGGGAGGTGTTGTTTAATGGGTCCAGTTTCAATTTTGCAGGATGAAGAGGCTTCTGGAGATGGGTTGCACACAGCGTGAAGGTAGAAGGTACTGAGCACGACTGAACTATACGGTAAAAATGGGTGGGTGGGTGGGGAGTGAAGGAGCAAAAAGAAATGGTTGAAATGGGAAATTTATATTTGTGTATTTTAGCACAATAAAAAACACCAAGAGTCTCCCAGGACTGGTAGTGCTCATTGAATGCTCACAACAGCCACGTAGGGCAGGGACAATCAACCCTATTTACAGATGGGCAAACTGAGACTGACCCTTAGAAGAGTGCACAAGCAAGGGTGCACCCCGGGGCGTCCAGCCTCCCCCAGGCCCTCCAGAGGCCTGTGCCAGTCCTGCTTCAGCTTGCTCACCCTGGGCCCCTCCCCACACCCCAGTCCCAGCTCCCCACGACCCAGCCCCAGCTCCCCACGCCCCAGGACCCCGGCTCTTCCGGGAAATGCACCACATCCCCGTCCCTGCAAAGCTGGATTTACACAGAGAAAGAACTGGGGACTGGGGGAGCCACCATGGCTCAGGGCCTCCCATCTGCACTTCCAATGCCTGAGGGATACACCCCTAAGTGGACCCCTAAGCAGACCCCCAATCCTGGAGAGATGGGGGGGTCTTCGCTCCGGGGGGCACTGGTCATCCCCACCTTCAGCTTCCGGTGGCACATTTGATGCTAGGGAAACTCCAGACTGGCAGCCTGCAGGCCCTGGTGAGTGCCCAGGCCCAGCGCAGACACCCCTGTTGCTCAGGGGAGAGGCCCTGGAAAAGCCTGAACGGGACTCTCCCCAGGCAAGGTCCACATCCCAGGCAGGGCTGGGGTTTGACGCTGGTTTTCTGAGTGACACGGCGGGGGCCACAGCTGGGCTGGGGCTGGTGGGGTTGGGGAGGGGTCTCCCATCCCACCCCCACCCCACACAAACCGATTCCTTGCTGGACTGCGACCTCTTCCGGCCTCGGTTTCCCAGCCAGTCCCGGCCGGGCCGGACAGGCACCCTCGGGGGCGGGAAAAGGTGCCAGAGCGCCCGCCGGCCGGGCCTTAGCCTCGGGACTCCGGCGCTTGCCTGCTCCATGGGGCTCGGGGCTCGGGGCTCGGTCCGGGAGGAGGGGGGTCCTTTCTGCTCCAGGACAGCTGGCGCGACCGGTGGGCAAAGGTCCGCGGCCCTGGAGAACGCCACGGCGGGGTCCACGGACACCAGAGGAGGAACCGCCAAGGTTTTTCCAAAGGACAAGCGGCCCGGCCCGGCGGTCCTCCTAGTTCTTCGGCCCGCGCGCCACCCGGGAGGCCGAACCGGCCCCAGCCCGGGGCCCCCTCTCCAGCCCGCCCCAGCCCCGACCCTCCGCTGCGGGGCCCTCACGGAGCGGCCGGCCAGCGGGGAGCGACTAGGCTGCCGGCTGCAAGGCGTGTCTCCCCGGGACGCAGCTCCGCCCTTCCCAGGAACACAAGCGGCTGCCCGCGCCTGAGCTCCCAAAGGGCTGGCGGGCAGGGAGCGGGCGCCGCGCCGGCTCCCCGGAGCCCAGCCCCGGAAACGGGACACCCACAGCGGGTGCCCCCAAACTTCCCACCTCTCTGGTCCGGTCTGGGGAGGGGTCGGGGCCGGGGCCGGTGGGCAGGGCGCGGAGAGCTCATGGAGCTCTTAGGGTCTGCGGCCCCGCGGCTGGGGGTTATGCCAAGGGAGAAAGCGACGACGCGATGGGGAGGGACCGAGAGCACCCCGAAGCCGGGATCATCAAGCCGGAGCCAGTGGAGGGGCGCGAAGTCGGCGAGTTGGAAACTAACTGCAATCGTCCACTCGTAGCCTTCGGCGTCCGGCTCGTCCTCTGGCGGCTTGGCGGGCGGCTGCACAGGGCTGGACCTGTGTTGGATCCTCAGGCTCCGAAGATATGGTCCCCATCCTCGTCGTCGTGACACTCGGGACAAGTGGAGAGCCATCAGGACAGGGACCCACAGAACGCACACTCACATGTTCCTGCAGGTGCCAGCACATGCTGGGCTCCGCTCTCACGGGACACACGCAGGTGTGCAAGGACAATGCAAGTGCACACACACATGTGCAGACACGTAGTGGAAGCATCCACTCGCTCACACCTGTAGGACACACACACACAAACATATGCACACATACAGAGTTGGTTGAGGATGCTGTAACACAGTACACCCCCTAATGCACGTGCGCGTCCCCGCGTGCACACACACACACACACACAGGTGATCCAGGGCACCCAGGGCAGAATCTTCCCCAAGCACCCCTAACAAGAAGCACAAACATGCACCCATAGAAGTAATCGGGGGACCCTGGGCACAACTCCCTCTCTCCTTCCCCATCTACCAGGACATGGAGTCACACTCCTAGGCATGTGTGGACAGGCTGCCTACACACTGGCAGGACATGTACATGCTCAACTTTACAAGGACACTGTGGGCACACTCTGCGCACACGTATTCTCAGGTCACATGACCACAGCACTTTGTAACCTGGAGTCAGTCCCTCACTTGGTCAGTGAGTGGGCTGAAGCACCCACTGGGACAAGGTGGCTGAGAACCAGGACAGGGCCTGGTCAGGAGGGGTTGAGGGCAGGGCCTGGGAAGTGAGTGATGCAATGAGGTTGGGCATGATGGCATTGGTACCACCCCCCACCCAACCACCCACTGCAGGCCTCCCACATAATCGGGTCACTAAACAAATCCCAGAGGGCCCAGCCCCACCTGTTGCCTGGCTTTCCAGAAACAGAACTCGGTTGGGAATGGTTGCTGCTTGGACAGGTCTGTCCCCAGAAAGCCCTGGGCATGGATGGAGTCCTGTCTACCCTCTGGTTTCCACTGACACATTTATCTACCAACATTCTGTCCAAGTCTCCTCTTTGGAGCCCTCACCAGAATCACCCTTAATGAAGAGTCACAGGGAGAAGATGTCCACCCACGCATGAGGAGACAGGCCTGGAACAGAGCCTTCCTGCACAGCCTCAGAAGGGACCCACCCTGCTGACACCTTGATCTTGGACTCATGGCCTCCAGTACTGCGAGACAGTAACATTCTGTTGTTGAAGGTGCCCAGTCTGTGGTACTGTAAAACAGCCCTAGGAAACTAACACAGCCTGTTAGCCCACAGATGGTGGAGAGATGGAATGCTCTATGGAGCTCCAGGTTTACTGTCTGCAGCTCCCAAAGTGTGCTACGGGACCCTTGGGTGGGTGAGGTATGCAAGGTAATTTTGGGTGGTTCAAGGTGAATAATTTAAATTGACATAATAATATATTTATCTTGCTGGGTAAATCGGATCCCCACCTGTTAGGAACCAGGCAACACAGCAGGAGGTGAGCAGCCAGCCAGTGAGCAAAGCTTCATCTGTAGAAACAGCCACTTCCCATCCCTCACATTACTGCATGAGCCCTGCCACCTGTCAGATGAGTGGTGCCATTAGATTCTCATAGGAGCATGAACCCTACTGTGAACTGCGCATGCCAGGGATCTAGATTGCGTGCTCCTTATGAGAACCTAATGCCTGATGATCTCTGACTGTCTCCCATCACCCCCAAGTGGGACCACGTAATTACAGGAAAACAAGCTCAGGGCTCCCACTGATTCTATGTTATGGTGAGTTGTGTAATTATTTCATTATATATTACAGTGAAATAATCATAGAAATAAAGCACACAATAAATGTAATGGGCTCGAATCATCTCTGCACCATCCCTTCCCCTTCTCCCAGGTCCGTGGAAGAGTTGTCTTCAAGAAAACTGCTCTCTGGTGCCAAAAAGTTTGGGGACCGCTGGTGTAAATGTTTCTAAGAATAGTTAAGCAACTTAAGCTTCACATGCTACGAAGAATACAGCTTTAAATGCTAATAAAAATAGGTGCAAATGAAAACACTCTTTCTGTGGTCCAGGGAATCTTAACCATTCTATCAGAAAGACTTGCAGCTTGGAGCTGCAGCTGCCCTCCCACATCCTGTCCACTGTAAAGCCCTGCAACACACACATACACGCACACACACACACACACACGCACACATGCACATACATACACATGCATATGCTTGCATACACACATGCACACAGATGCACATACATAAATACATTCACATGTATATACCTGCACACACACACATGCACACACACATGCATATTCCTGCAAACACACACACACACACACACACACGCTGTGCTTCATGCCCTCACTAGGGTGGCCTGGGAGGAAATGCGTGTTTTTAGGAGAAATGAAGACAACTCAGGCCCCTCATTCTCCTGGTGTTTGCACAAGTGCCTTCTCTGCAGACCATGCTTCAGCCTCTTTCTTGGTTCTCCCTCTTACTGAAAGAGAGAAGCAGAGGCCCGGCACATACTCGGCTGCTTAGGGCTCAAGCCAAGTTCGCAAGCTTCCTGGGGAGCCTAGTGAGATGAAGGCACTGCAGAGCCTCCCCAAAAGAGTCGTCGGCTTTTCGTGGATCCTTGAGCCCAGGAAGGCGATAGGTGAGACATCACAGTTCATCAGAAGACACGAGCAAACTCCGGCGAGAAAGGGCAACGGTCAAAGATTTTATTCTCTCGGAAAAGGGTTCTCGGGCTGTAAGCAGCAGGCAGAAGACTTTATTGCACGCGTAGTTAGGTGATGGCGACCTACGGTTTTCACTGGGGACTGGGATCGAGAGTGACCCGACCTCCTACTCATGCTCGTCTCTCCCTGTCTCTCTCTTTGCCTTTTGTGTCTCTCTGCCTGTCTCTCTCGCTCCTTTTCCTCTCAGCCTCCTCTGTCTCTCTCCTTATCTCTCATCCTCTCTCTATCTCACTCCCTTCTCCCCATCTCTCTTTCTCTCTCCTTCTTTTCCACTTCTCTCACCCTCCTCATCTCTCTGCCTGCCACTGTTCAGGCTCCTGGGGCCCCACGTGGATGGGCGGACACAGGACTCCTAGGCTACCTTTCATAGCGCAAGCAGAGGGCTGCAGGACCTTGGTCCCCACCTCCCAGCATCCTCAAAATGAGGGGTGTGGGGTGTGCCGTGCTCTCCTGAGTGGGCGCCCCACACTCCAGGAAGCAGAAACTGCAGGTCACAGCTGGCTCGAGTGGTGCCCACGGGGCTGCCAGCTTCCATCGTGTGATCTGCTGAGGCCAAAGCAGAGGACAGCAGCCCAGGCCCATCTCTGCAGCAGGGTGGGGGTAGGGGTGGGCTTGGGGGTGGGGATGGGGATGGGAGCCGCCAATGCAAACTGGCCCCTGGCTGGTTTCCTACCCTGCACCCTGCCATGCAAGTCCTCCTCTCCTACCCCTACCCCTACCCCTGTCTGCCCCACCTCCACCCCTAGGCTGCCCCACACCCAGGCTCCAGAAGTCTCCCAGGATCCAGGAACTAAGGGCAGCCATTGGGTTCCATAGCCCCTAGTCCATGAGTCAGCCACCCCTCTGCGTGCTGACAAACCTTGGCTCTCATGCCCCACCCCAAGCCAAGCACACAGCCCTGTCCCCCCACCAGCATTATCACCGCCTCCTGATTTTGGCCCTGACAGCCCTGCTTCCTGGTAACCTTGCCCCCTCCCACCCTGCTCCAGGCAAGCCCAAAGGCCAGGCCCTCCACCCACCCTTCCTGGGGGCCACTCTACTATCTCCTTGCCCAGATGTCTTAACCTGGCTTTACCAAGATAGAATAAATAACAGGGATGAGGCCCCGGACCCCGCCAGGAAGATGTGCCAAAATACCCTCCATTTAGAAGTGGGAACAGTGATGGGGCCTATGGATGACCCCAGGATTGTCACCCAAGCAGCAAGAAGGGCAAGGAGCCCGGTTTCCTGCCCTTACCCGGGGAGGACGTGGCCAGGGCTCCAAAAGGCCCTGGAGAGGGGTGGGCAGGAGAGCAGATCCACCCTCCTCTTGAGGAAGCAGCCACCATCCCCAGGAAGAGCAGATGGGGGCACACAGGCAGAGTCCCCACGTGCTGTAGAGCAGGGCCAGCAGAACTGTACTCAGCCCCAGCCCCAGGGGAGCTGCAAGATAGACTGAGACCCTCACAGGTTGGGCTCTGTGTCCCCACCGAAATCTCATCTGGAATTGTAATCCTCCTGTGTCAAGGGAGGAACCTGGTGGGAGGGGATGGGATCTGGGGACAGTTTCCCCCCTGCTGCTCCCCTGATAGCGCGGGAGTTCTCAGGAGAGCTGATGGTTTGAAAGTGTGGCACTTCCTGCTTCTCCGCTCACTCCCTCCTGCCGCCTTGTGGAGAAGGTGCCTGCTTCCCCTTCGCCTTCTGCCATGACTGTAAGTTCCCTGAACTGGGAGTCGATTAAACCTCTTTCCTTTATAAATTACCTAGGCTCAAGTATTTCTTTATAGCAGTGTGAAAACAAACTAATACCCCTTCCCTGAGGCGCCTTCTCCTTAGGCAACCCGCTGCCCCCATGCTCCTCCTCTGCCCCCTGTCCTTTCTTTTCCCCTCATGAGGCCCAAGTGATAAACGGGGCCAGCCCCAGTCCCAGCCCCAGCCCCAGCCCCAGCCCCATCCTACTGCAGGCCTGTGTGGCTGCTGGAGAGGCCGTGTTCCTTTCCTCTCCCCGAGCCTGCCTGATATGCTTTCTGGATCCTGGAGGAAACTGACCCCCTATTCTCATACTGGTGCAACATCTTCCAAGACCTCAAAGCTGTACCATTTGAGCCAGTCTTTTTTCTTATCTCCACTTGCTAGGGCTGTCATTGGGACAGTCCTAGAGGGTGGTGCCAATGGATGAATGGATGGATGGACAGTAGTCCAGGGATGATGTCCCTGTCTGTCCTGAACCGGGCCCTTCCTCCAATGAGAAGCCTTCCTGAGTGAGTATATACAGTCATCCCTTGGTATCCATGGAGGATTAGTTCTAGGGTCCCCGGGAATGCCAAAATCCATGGATGCTCAAGTCTCTGATAGAACATGGCCTAGTATTTACGTATAAGCTATGCGCATCCTCCCGTATACGTTAGACCGTTACTAGATTATGATGTGTAATACAATGCAGATGCTACATAAATGGTCGTGATACTGTATTCTTTAGGGAATGATGACAAGAACAAAGTCTGCACATGTTCAATAGAAACATAACCATCCAATTTATTTTCTGAATATTTTCCATCTGCTGTTGCCGAATCTATAGATGCAGAGCTCCTGGATACGAGAGCCAAGTGTGCTTTGAGAGTAGGGTGGGTGAGGTTGCTAATGAGTACAGGGGAGCAGGTGTTGATCAGGAGGGCCCTGCACTGGGGCATCTGGACGTCCTGCCTCAGGACTTGAGACTCCAGTTGGATGGCACAGACAGACTCAGCCCAGGTCAAAGCCGTCCCCTTGAAGTTTCATTTTATCCCAAGCTCTTTCTGGACCCTGGAATTTGGCATCCCCTAGGCCCTGCGTGGAAGGACAGATGAACCAGGTTTTAGATAACATGTCTAGAAGAGTGAGCCCCTACTGTGTGCTCGGCACTTTCCCCACAGGATCCTCTAGCTAGAATATCCAAGGGTCATGGAGAGAAATACCCAGTTAAAATATCAGAAATGAAAAAGCGATACCATTAGATACACTAAAAAGACCATTAGGTAATAGTATTAGCTTTTGTATTCTGAGATCCAACAGCAGCAGTCACTTCCCTCCACCCCTATGTGTATCCCAGGACCACCCTGGGCGGGGAGGGCTGAGGTTAGGGAGCAGCCATGGATGCTCTGATGCTGGCCCTGGGCCTCGGGGGTGACAGTGATGAGGAACTGGGTGCACACATGAGTGGGGCAGCCGGGCCTGGCCAGAGAAGCAACACACATGTGCACAGACATGTTTACCCACATACACGTGTGCACGCACGTGCACAAACACGTTGCAGGCAGGCATGTTGACGCCTCAGGCAGCGGAGGACCCTGACTCTGGGTGCTGCTGACCCGGGCAAGGCCCCACTGTGATTCGTGCCATGACCTCAGAATGTTACTGGTGCTTAGCACCTATCTGCTCTCTGGCCTGCGTCAGTGGTCTACAGCAGTTACACACAGGCAGTGGTATCTGTGAGCAGCTCTGTGGACTCAAAGGTTTTCTCCCTGAGAGGCATGACCCAGGCCAGCTGATTCATCAGAATCAGGTGAGCGTGACCTGCTCTCTTCCCTCCAGGCGGACTTGGGGACAGTGGCTACGGTGCGGGCGGTGTTGGCCTCTGTGGGGCAGCTACCGAGGAGGGTCATCCCTGAGCACTCACCAGGCGCCCGTTCTACACTGCCCGTGTAGACGATTGGCTCTTTCGTCTCCATGGTGGCTTCGTAGAGTGGGTGCTGTTCCCAAATGTCCCCATTCGACAGATGAGACGTCTGGGGTCAGAGAGGCAGTAACCGGCCTGGGAATCCGGACATGACCCTGAGTTTTGCTCTCAGCCCTGCCGTGTGCTGTGCTGGAATTCAGGCCTGAACCCTGTGACCTCCCTGCCCTAGATCCCAAATCTGCCCAGGTTTCCCATCCCGATGGGGCAGAGCCTGGTCCTGGCAGAGCCACTGGTATAGAGCCACTGGTACAGATCCACTGACGGTCCTCAGAACACCTCTGTGCCCTAAGCTGGGTCCTGATGGTCGCTGTGGGCCCCACTGAACACACATGGTCCCTTGTCCGGGGGAGCCTGCTGCCCTTGGGCAGCTGTGGAAAATGAAGGAGCCCTGGAGGGCTGGCTGAGGGGAGACTATCTTCCCTTGTGTTCAAAGGGGTCCGGGCACTAGGGTTCTCCCCAGGTATTTCTTGCTCTGCGTGGTCCTCTTGAAGCCTCGCCCTCCTTTTGCCTCGAGTATTCCCAGGAGGGACGGTCCATCCCGCTGTTCTTCAGGACCAAGGACCCACTGTTCTTCCTCAGTGACCCAGGAAAATGAAGCCTCCTCCTGTTGGGACGGCTCAGAATGGTGGACTCCACAGTCCCTCCGCGAGAGACGTGGTTTCCATGCGTACAATAGATCTTCCTCATCCCCCAAACCCAACACCCTCCTGCTCAACAGGCGTTATTCCTAAAGTGGCTTCACTGTTCAGACTGAAGAGCCACGGTAGCCAAAGTGATGAGCGGAGTAGAACCGAGCAGTCAGGAGAGATCTTGTTCCCTGTAGGAAACTGGGCATCGCTGAGGCCCTGAGCATCCCAGGAGGCCGATTGCACAGAGACCTCTGGTCGCTGACCCCAGTCTGCCTCCACATCCCTGGAATAGCCCATCATGGGCCCTTCACCCTTGGCAGGTGGAAACCATTCAACCTGCTGGGGCCGGTGTGTCCCCATTTCATGGCATTGGGGGACAACAGGATTCTCTGTCTAGGTCCCACTGTACTCAAGTCCTTGGGAAGATGCCCACCCCTGCTTGGGACTTGAGACTCCAGAGACTGGAGCAGCTGTGGGCCACTGGGTCTGGCCCCTTTTTCCCTGGGGGCGGCGGTGGAATGGGGGTTACGCAGCCAGCCAGCATCTGGGAGCCCGGCGAGAGCGGTTCAGGTGTTCTCCGAAGCCGCCGCGTACAGTGTGACCTTTAGACAATTTTGTCTCACAGGATGGACGTGGTAGAGGTCGCGGGTAGTTGGTGGGCACAAGAGCGAGAGGACATCATTATGAAATACGAAAAGGTACAAGTCGGTCTGCTTCTTGGAGGGAGGCCTCTTCCAGTGTGCCCTGGTCAAAGGGTCCTGGGCTCCCTAGGAGCACAGGGCAGGGACGGGTGGCCAATGCCCCCAGGCCCTTGCACCCTTTACCTTGGACCCCTCACCAAGGCTCCCTCTGGGCTACAGGGACACCGAGCTGGGCTGCCAGAGGACAAGGGGCCTAAGCCTTTTTGAAGCTACAACAACAACGTCGATCATTTGGGGATTGTACAGTGAGTCCTCTGCACTCCCCTCACCCCTAAAGCACCTGTCTCAGCTCAGGGATGGGTTTGCTTTTAGAAAGGCCTTTCTGACGCAGGACATGTCTCACCAGGTCGGGTCAACCTCCTTTCCAGGGACAGAACTCCTCCCTGACTCCCCTGCAGGTCCAGCCCGAGGTTGTTAGGCCAGAGGTGTGGGGCCCATCTAGGGAGCCGGTGGGAATGGAGACTGGGCTAGGTCAGGCCCCTGGGCGCTCAGCAGTTCTGTCGGCAAGTGAGCACAAGAGGAGCGGGGCAGCCTGAGGGTCTGGCCCTGTCTACCTGGAGACAACCCCGGTGAGATGCAAGGGTTATGGCCACAGGGTGAGGGGACGCCTGGCCCAGCCTCAGGGCTGTTGTCCAGCAGGTCTCTGAGGGCCCACCTGCCCCTGTTCTCCCCCATTCCCCTAGAGCTACAGCCCTCACTGTCCCGTGAGGGGAAAAGGCATGGTGACAATGGGGGCTGTAGCCCTAGGAGAACGGGGGAGAAGATGGGCAGGGCCCCGTTCTGGGCATCTCACGGTGAGGCCAGGGAGGCAGCAGGGCTCGCGGCTAAAGACCTGGGTCTGGTGCTGGGAAGGGATCTGGGGCCGGGTAAGAGGAGCCCAGCCAGGAGCCCATCCCTCAGGGATCACAGGATGGAGAGACAGAGGATCCCTGGGGAGGTAGGGCGGGAGGGAGCTGACGAGCGGTGCCACTTCTGAAACGCAGGGTGTGTGGCTCGGGTGCAGGGAGAGGCAGGTGGATGCTGGGAGGTCAGAACCTGCAAGGGCCTTGGGGCTGTCAAGTGGGGTGGGCCCCTGGTGCAGCCAGAGTACACCGGGCAGGTCTCAGGGCAGGCTCCCTTGACCCTGGCGGGGGGATGTGGTCACTCCCTGAGGGACTCCTGTCAGGGCCCGGTCGCCCACCCTGGGCGGCCCCCATCCCATCTCAGGGCTAACCTTTCTCAGCTCCAGCAGAAAGCACCACCTCGAGTCCAGGACGGGCAGCCCCACTGGGCAGCCTGACCGCCCCCCACGCCAGGGGCCCCAGTAACCCCGGCCAGGCTGTCCCTACACTCCTTCTTCTCCCAGGTCCTGCCCCTCCTGGGAGTCAGCCCCACAGGAAGGCCCTTGTCCTCCCTTCCCTGTGCCTTCTCCTGGGCTGAGCCCTGAGCTGGAAAGGGACAGAGCCAGTCCTTTCTGGGGGTCGGCACCCAGGCTGGGGCCGCTCCAGGCCCCGTGCAGTTCCTCAGCTCTGCCTGGGTTGCCTTACAGTGAGACGGAGCTGCCTCCTCTGACTGCGCGGGAGGCGAAGGTAAGAGCCTGATGCGTGGAGGGGCTGGTCCAGGGACGTAGGGACTGGGCGGGTGGTCAGTGAGGCAGAGGAAGCAGCTGGCCTGAGCGGTGGCGGGTGAGGGCAACACGCTGTCACTGGGAGGGGCAGCAGTCCCTGCTGGACCTGACCCCAGGTTGCTGTTCACTTTGGCAGTTTGATAAAATTCCAAAAGGAGAACCACAGTCCTGGCTTGGGGGTGGCTGTGCGCTTGTGTCAGGACCCCACCTAGAGGCTGGGACCTAAGACTGGTGTGTCTGTGGCCTGAGGATGGTACATCCCGGGGTCCCAAAGCCAGCCCACTGGTGCTCATTTGCTCAAAGGCTCTCAGCCCTTGAGGTCTGCCCTTCCCTGGCTCCTTCCAGCTGGCTCCCACCAGGGCTCCAGAGCCCAAGACCCAGCATCCGCGGGCGGCTCTGGGAAGCCTGGCAGCTCCGCTAACTCCAACCTGCCTCATTTGACAGCAAATTCGGCGGGAGATCAGCCGAAAGAGCAAGTGGGTGGATATGCTGGGAGACTGGGAGAAATACAAAAGCAGCAGAAAGGTAACGTGTGGAGGGAGGAAGCACTCTCTGCAGAGACAGGGGACAGGCACCCATGGCTGTGGCCTGGCACCATCAGCCTCTCAGAGGGTGGGCGGCACACTGTCCTCGCCCAGAGGACTGCAGGCCTGGTCGCCAGATTTCCTGCCTATTCGTGCAAGCGTCACCTTGCAGGGAGGGAATCTGAATCTAGGGCTGGGACTACCCGGAGCTCAAGGCTAGGGATGCCCTGGTGACCTGAAGGAAGGAAAAGGTTCAGATCAGAGTTTCGACTCTCAGTGTCCATCCACTCTTTCAGTCCTGGGAAGGGAGACCCTGTCCCAGCTTGATCTCACCTCTACTGAGGAATCATGGGGCCAAAACCGACAATTTCCAGAATCCCCGGGCTCTGGTCCTCACTGGGGTCACCCCGTGGCCTGTGACACCAGATTGTTTTCTGCCCACAGCTCATAGATCGAGCTTACAAGGGAATGCCCATGAACATCCGGGGCCCGATGTGGTCAGTCCTCCTGAACATTGAGGAAATGAAGTTGAAAAACCCCGGAAGATACCAGGTACGCTCAGCCAGAGCACAACAAACAGGACAGGCCGTGTCGGGGCCCAGGTCTCCAGCTGGAGGGAACGTCAAGACCACCCTGGGGAGCTGGGGGTGAAGGTCAGATGAACACCCTGGGCACAGATGGTGACACAGTCACCACAGACAAACTCAGCTCTGGTGACCCTCCCTGGCTTCAGTAACAAGCCAAAATGCAGCTTTCTGCAGAAGGAAACCTTCCTTCTGTCCTTCCTTCCCGAAGTGCTGACTGTGGGCTGACTGCCACTGGGGGCAGGGAGTCTTCCATCTGTTCTGAGACTGCTTCCTCCGCTTGGCCCTGCCCTACAGATCATGAAGGAGAAGGGCAAGAGGTCATCTGAGCACATCCAGCGCATCGACCGGGACATAAGCGGGATATTAAGGAAGCATATGTTCTTCAGGGATCGATACGGAACCAAGTAAGCCTACGGGAGCCACAGGGTCCCAGCAGAGATGGGGTGAATGAGAGGGATGGGGGCTTCCCCGGAGCAGAAGCCAGGGTCACCCAGGAGGGATGACACAGCTGCCAAGAGCTCTCCCGGCCCAGGGAGCAGCCGGCACCATGAACCGAGCACCTCCCTGGTTCCAAGCCCTGGGCCAGACTGGAACATGTGGGGCCAGAACCCAGGAGGATCCTGAGGAGATGGAAGGTAGCAAACAAAATCATGCACAATGGTGAAGGGTGCTCTCCCTGACCCATGGGGACCCATGGTAGGACCCACGGGAGGGTGGCAGGATAGAGGGCCCATGAGCCCCCCCAGGCAACAGTGACAGCACCAAATGCTGGGAGAATTAGGGGTCCTGGAAACTCTCATCCAGGTCCGCTGGGAACATGACATGGCACAGCCACGTTGGCAGCCAGTTGGGCAGTGGCTCACAAAGCTCGATGGACTTGAACCACACATCCCCAAAGTGTCACAGATATTGAACCCACTGATTTGCAAACTGACATCCACATGAAACCAGCATGCCAGGTTCACTGCTTGACTCCTCGTCACTCACACACGGAGCCTTCAGGGACGGCCTTCAACACGGGAATGGGGAGAGCAAGGCTGGTCCTCCCTTCAAACGGAAGACCCAGTGAGAAAAGGGAACGAGCCGGTGATGCCCGCACGAACGTGGGTGGATCCTAGATGCATTTTGCTGAGGGACAGAAGCCAGACCCAATAAGCTACCACCGTAGGATTCCCATTCCTAGGCCATTCTGGAAAAGGCCAAACCACAGGGACTGAGAAGCAGTCTGGGTGGCCAGGGGCTGACGGATCGGGGAGAGGCTGGGTGCATAGGGGCCACCCTGGAGACTTGGAGGATGAAGGAGTCGCCCCAGGAGGGGCTGGAGCGGTGGCCGGGAGACTCTGCACATTGGTTTGGAACCGTGGAGGAACTGTACACCCACAGACTGAACTGGCGTGTGTGCAAACTGAAAAAAAAAAAAAATCATTCAGAGTGAAAAGGATCAGGCAAGTCACTGTACAACTGGGCTATTTGCATGTCACAGATGTGGATTTTACTGAAACATTTCTTCAAGAGTCTCAGGCCCTGAAGAGCTCACTGCTTATCTGGTGAAACATCTGAACCTGAAATGGGATTTGCTGTTAGGCTTTGTAGACAAAGTGAAATTAACAACATCTGCACAAAACAAACCAAAGCCCCCTTTCTCTGTTTCCTAGGCAGCGGGAACTACTCCACATCCTCCTGGCATATGAGGAGTATAACCCGGTGAGTATTCCCGGCAGTGAGGTTCCCGGGCCATATTTCCATATTGACAGGAGTGGGTGTCTGGTGGGGGTGTCGTTGCTTCTTTTAAAGTTAGTATTTGTGACCCACCAGGATATAGGAGGTAGGATGTCAGCTCACCGCTGGCATAAACCTCCAAGGAAGGGGGTGGTCTCAAGGGGTCAAGCTGAGACACAAAGGAGTCAGGGCCCGGACTCCTGGTGTCACCTGGGCCTGACCACCACTTCTCAGAACAAGAAATGACGCCCTCCTCCTGGGGCTGCCCCAAAGCCCAGGAGCTTGGCAGCATCGCACACAGGATGGTGCTATCAGCAGACATTTTGGACAAGGTGCTGAAGTGCCTGATGGACTTGGCTCTTGTCATGAAATGAATGTGCATCCTGAGGAAGCCTCTTTTTCAGAGGAAGCCTCTCCTTCAGAGGAAGCCTCTCCAGTCACCTCTGCCCTCTCCAATGACATGAGTCCTCCCAGGTGACCTCAGCCCTCCCAGGTCATGTCCTTCCATGGTGACTCTGGCTCTTGCAGGAGGTGGGCTACTGCAGGGACCTGAGCCACATCGCCGCCTTGTTCCTCCTCTATCTTCCTGAGGAGGATGCATTCTGGGCACTGGTGCAGCTGCTGGCCAGTGAGAGGCACTCCCTGCAGGGTAAGTGAACAGCTGCCCCGGGGACCTCCTGCAGCCAGACCTGGGGATGGCCACCCTGGCCGGGTGATCACAGCTTTCAGCCAAGGCACCCTCCTTGTGTCGCCAGCTTGTTGGGAGACTTTAGGATGTCTCTGCTGAGGGTCCCACAGGAGTCCACGGCTGACCCCCAAAGCCCAAATCAGACGCCTCTCATCCCCATCAGCAGAGGGCATCTCATCCTCCCCGTGGCCACCCTCTGTGTCCTGGAGCCACGCCCTCCGGCTCTGATTCTGTGCAGCTGACTCTCCCCTCCCTGAGAGTCCTCCTGCCCTCCAGCTGCCCGGGCTCCTGCTGCCATCGGTGCCCACGAATGGGCCGACCAAGCCCAGGTGGCAGCATCTCCCCATCCCCTGTTCCCCTGGCCCGACCCCACTACCAGGAGATGACCGGGAAGCCCAGCGCCCACCCAGTTCCGGCCGCCCTGTCGTGGCCTGAAAGTCAGGCTTGCCCTTTTTGCACCCTGGCCCAGGAGGCCTCCAGGGGAACCTCCAGCCAGGCTCCAGGGAATGTTCCCGCCCCACCTCCCCAGGGTAAAGGCCGCATGTTGGGGTCACCAGATGGGAGGGTGGGAGTAGCCTTGGGGTTTGGGGGCCTCTCCAGCTGCCCAGCTCTTGCAGCTGATGGCTCCACATCTTGGGGGAAGGCTCTGATTTCATGATGGGCTGGGGGCTTCTCAGGATTTCACAGCCCAAATGGCGGGACCGTCCAGGGGCTCCAAGACCAACAGGAGCATGTGGTAGCCACGTCACAATCCAAGACCATGGGGCATCAGGTGAGTTTATGGTCCCCTCAGCTCTTCCCAGAGGCCCTGCCTCCCGTGGGGCTGTAGGAGCAGGGGGGCTGGGGCCCCTCGTGGGGCTGGTGACTGGCTGAGTCCCAGCCAGGGCCTGACCTGGGACGTCGGGTTCTCCATGGGCTGGGAGTTGGTTTCCTTTCCTGCCCTGGAGGAGACAGAGGCACAGGGATGGGGGCCCAGCTCCCGCAGAGCAGGGCAAAGGGCAGTGTGTCCACCGGGAGTGTGGGAAGGTGACAGTGTTGTGGGGAGCTCTGGACACCGCCCAGTGTTCTGCACTAGGGGAAGGGTCTTCAGAGACCCGAGAAGAGGGAGGTTTTTAGGGCAGCCCAGTGGCCTGAGCACCTCTGTTGCTTCCATCAGGACAAGAAAGATCTATGTGGGCAGTGTTCCCCGTTAGGCTGCCTCATCCGGATATTGATTGACGGGGTAAGGAGGCATAGGGAGACCCTGGCTCAGGGACCTTCCTTGCCCTGCAGTGCCCTGCTTCCCCAGCCCGGGGGTCTGGCTCACTCCCAGCCCACAGGAGGCTCAGGCGGGTCCCCAAAGGACACACAAGCAAAACCCTCTGCCCAAGAGGGGTCATCCCAGGGCAATGGCTGGGGCTCAGGCCCAGCCTCATGGGCAGACTGGGCCAGGACCCGACTTGAGAGGGCTCAGGGAAGCCTCAAGCCCTGGGCAAGCCCCTCTCTCCAGGAGCCACATCCCCACTCAAATGAGTGCCCCCCATGAGGAGCTTCAAGACCTTGTCTGACCCAGCGTCCTGGAGGGCTCAGCCGACCCTCATGGGGAAGGTCACTGACTCTGGAGACTGAAGCCCCAGTGTGCGCAGCTCGAGCCACCAGCCCCAGCCTGGAAGGACCAGGTTCTTTCACACCTGCTGTCCCCACAGATCTCTCTCGGGCTCACCCTGCGCCTGTGGGACGTGTATCTGGTAGAAGGCGAACAGGCGTTGATGCCGATAACAAGAATCGCCTTTAAGGTTCAGCAGAGTAAGTCTACGTGTGCCCAGCGGGGCCTGGGGAGCCCTGGGGTCAGACCCCGACTGGCCCGAGGGCAGCTTCCTCACACTGTCCTCATGATCCGCTGTTCTGGCCCAGAGGGAGGTCCGGCCAGGTGGGCTGGGCAGGACACTGTGACACCGAGCCCATCCCTCACATGACCCAGATGAAAGTCGAGAGTGTGGTGAGCACTTCCCTGTCCGGATCGCCCCCCAGCCACAGTCTCCTGTGTATATCTGGACACCTGGGGTGGCCACAAAAGGATCCGGCACCGCCCAGTAGGAGACTGAAGTGGCCACGGGGTATGAGCTGTGACCATTCCCAGGTAACTCCCCTGGCCTGATATCCACCCTGTCCCTAGAGCGCCTCACGAAGACGTCCAGGTGTGGCCCGTGGGCACGTTTTTGCAACCGGTTCGTTGATACCTGGGCCAGGGATGATGACACTGTGCTCAAGCATCTTAGGGCCTCTATGAAGAAACTAACAAGAAAGCAGGGGGACCTGCCACCCCCAGGTGGGCTCCAGTGCCATGTCCCCTCCCATGTCACCCTCTGGGGTAGTCAGTAGTAGGGGAGTGCCCGGGACCCGCAACCCTACTACCTGGGCCTTCCTCTTCACCTTTTCTTCCTCCTCTTCCTCCTGGACTCTAAGAAAGTACAGGAGGCCCACCGGTCCTCAGGGCAGGCGCTCAGTGCGTGTATACTGGACATGCTGTGCACGCAGGAGGGGGATGTGGGCAAGACCCTCCAACAAGCCCCCTCCCACTTTCCACGGTGTCTCCCTCTCCCCCTCGCAGGGCCCTCCAAGTTACTAGACGAGCCCAGACCCATTTGTGGGAGACCCCGCCCCTCCCTGCAAGCACCCACAGCCTCAGAGAGCAGCAGAGGCCCCTCACTCCTGCACGCTCCTCCAAGGTTGCCAGGACAAGAAGCCTGGAGCCAGGGAGTCAAGGGAATCGGTGTCCCTGACCCACAGAGCATTCAGGGAGAGGGCACAGGCGGGACCCCGGGCCCAGAGCCAGAGCCAAGAGTTCAGCCAGAAGTGGGAACGGTCAGTCCTGGCATGGACTGGGCAGCCCAGGAGGGCAGAGGGTGACCCACGTCCGGGCCCAATCACCCACTGCGGAGACGGGTCCCCACGTGAGGTGACAAGGGGCTGGGTGACATCCAAGGCCCCTCCCACCTGAGTTCTGACTGGGGGCCGTATCCCAGGCCCAACAGCCCTGGGACGAAGGTGTGTGGCAGGAAGCCCCCAGCCAGTCTGAACCCTGGGGGCAGTCCCAGGAGCCACCCGCCATGCCACGACAGCTTCCCCACGCCAGGCAGCATGCACCCCTCCCTCTGGGATCAGCAGACTACAGGCGTGTCCTCGGTGTCAGGCCACGGGGGCCACACAGAGACCCCGAGGACTCCGAGATGCAGGCAGGTGGGGCCCAGCCCGGAAAGGCCTGCGTGGGCTCACTGGAGATGCTGACCGCGTCTGTTTTCCTTTCAGCCAAACCCGAGCAAGGGTCGTCGGCATCCAGGCCTGTGCCGGCTTCACGTGGCGGGAAGACCCTCTGCAAGGGGGACAGGCAGGCCCCTCCAGGCCCACCAGCCCGGTTCCCGTGGCCCATTTGGTCAGCTTCCCCGCCACGGGCACCTCGTTCTTCCACACCCTGTCCTGGTGGGGCTGTCCGGGAAGACACCTACCCTGTGGGCACTCAGGGTGTGCCCAGCCCGGCCCTGGCTCAGGGAGGACCTCAGGGTTCCTGGAGATTCCTGCAGTGGAACTCCATGCCCCGCCTCCCAACGGACCTGGACGTAGAGGGGCCTTGGTTCCGCCATTATGATTTCAGACAGAGCTGCTGGGTCCGTGCCATATCCCAGGAGGACCAGCTGGCCCCCTGCTGGCAGGCTGAACACCCTGCGGAGCGGGTGAGATCGGCTTTCGCTGCACCCAGCACTGATTCCGACCAGGGCACCCCCTTCAGAGCTAGGGACGAACAGCAGTGTGCTCCCACCTCAGGGCCTTGCCTCTGCGGCCTCCACTTGGAAAGTTCTCAGTTCCCTCCAGGCTTCTAGAAGCATCTGGGCCAGGGCTCATGGCTGGATAATTTCCCTAGGCTTAACAACCCAAGCAAGCTTCGCGTCCTCGTTTTATTTTTGGTTAAACTTATGAAAATGTATTAAGAAAGAGTGCAGCTCGAGAGAGATTCAGAGATGGAACACACCAGACCCCAGATCACAAAGCCAACCATGCCCAGCCCCTCCCAGCACCCCAAGCCCCACGACCATCGTTCTGAATTCTGACGACACCGTGAGCCTGCCTTTGTACTTCAAACTCATGGAAGGATAACTACCTTCACGTTTTGAAATAAATGTTTCCTGTTGAAATGCTTTTAGATTTTAGACAGAAATATTGAAAAGGCACTATAGTGTCCTCCTATACCTTCCATCCAGCTGCCCCTAATAATGATGTTTTGCAGTCCCATGGCACATAAGAAATTTAGGCCGGGTGTGGTGGCTCACACCTGTAATCCCAGCAATTTGAGAGGTCGAGGTGGGAGGTTCAGGTTCACTTGAGTCTAGAAGTCTGAGACCAGCCTGGGAAACCTAGGTGGACCCGGTCTCTAGAGAAAAGTCAAAGAAATTAGCCAGGCATGGTGGCGTGTGCCTATAGTCCCACCTAGTCAGGAGGCTGAGGCAGGAGGATTGCTGGAGCCCACGAGTTCCAGGAAGCAGTGAGCCATGATTGCACCACTGCACTCCAGCCTGGGTGACAGAGTGAGACTTTACCTCTTAAAAAAATTTGAGAAATTTAATGTGGGTACAATTCTATTAACTAAATAATAATGTGAACTATTATCTAAGGTTATGAAGGCTAGAATTATCCCATTTTTGCCTAACTTCTCGTACCTGTCCCAAGATCCCACCTTGGACTCACCCTCTGCCTTCAGCTCATGTCTCTTCAGCTTCCTCCACATGGTCCAGCAAACACACACCTGGGCTGAATGGTAGAGCTGATTGCTCATACACAAAGGTAGACCGGTGGGCAGGGATTTTCAGACTTATAGAGTAAATGAGTTTTCCTTGGTGTTCTGGAGAGCACCGTTTGAGAAACACTTTGACAGTGAATCTAGGCCTCAAGATCCATCAGCTGCTCTAGCTTGAATTTTGCTCAAGCTCAGTGAACACCTGCTCTGCCGGGTGCACGTGAAAGGGACAAGGATGAGAAAGCTGTAGATAAAGAAGACAGGATGCAGGGGGTCTGTCTAAGCTCTATCCCCTGCCTTCAGCACTGAGGGATGAAATCCAACTCTTAGGGAACGGTGGCCACGTGCTGGGCCAGCCCCAGGCTCTCAGGATCTGACAGTGGGTGACGCAGAGCCAGGCCTTGCCCCTGGGGAGCTCTCCAGCATACACCTCCCTCTCCCCTCCCAGCGTCCCGCAAAGCAGGCGTCAACGCCATTGTTAATGCACGGAGGAGGAACCTGACTGTTAGACCTGGGTTTTCCAGGGTTGCACGGCTTCTGGGAGACGGATGTGACCCTGAGGACAGGGCACAGGCCAGTGTAATGCCAGGATGGAATGAGCTGTGATCTGTGCTGTATAGAGGCCTAGGCCAAGGTGGGACTGACGGATGACCAGGTCAGCCGGGTCACTGAAAACAGTCTTGGGTCCTCACCTGCCGGTTCCCAGGAGTCCGGAACTGCCAGGAGAGTGGTGGCAGGTCCCCCATCCTCAGCTGGGTGGGCCTAGATAGAACAGCAAGGCGAGGGCACATTTCCCTGGGCATTCCCTCCAGGCACAGCTGTGACCTGTTCATTCCAAATTGGTGGAAGTATTTCCACACACACAGAACTGCAAATAGCAGTGGACATGGTGAGAGGCATTTGCACATGGGATAGGCAGGATTTTGGAGGAAGAGCCTCCAGGGCTTGCCGATGGGTTAGCTGCAGGGCTTGAGAGGGAACGGAGAATCCAGGATGATGTGTTCAAATCGGTCCATTCACCTCTTCCGTTCCACGCCTGTGCTGGGCACTGGGAGAGACAGATGCACACAGGAGCCCCGGACGAGGGGAGGTGTGGGGGGAAGCCCAGAGTGTCTGGGCAGGGTAGGAAACCCAGAGCGTCTACTGGGAGCTGAAGGCTTAGGTCCACCTGGGTGCCGTCCAGGTTCTCTGCGTGTAGAAGTATAGGCTGAGCTTCCTGGAGGAGGAGCAGCTGCTGTTGCTGGTGACCAGCACATTCAGGAACGGAGACTACTCTGTCAACAGACAGGGGGATGACCTGAGGTCTGGATGGTCTAGGGGGTGGTAGGGCCCAGGAGGACCCAGGAAAGGGTCTCGGGGATGCAGAACATCCTATGGAGGGCATTTGGGAGTCAGTGCTCAGGTCACTCCGGGTCACTCAGGTCATTTGCCGGCCCCTGTCATAATTATTGCCATATGAGAGTGCCACCCGTCCTATGACATATTTTATATATTTCTGTGAATGGCCTACTTGTTTGTATTTATGAATTTATGTTTAAAGGATGGGCAGGGGTGCTCGAGAGGTCCCCAGGAGTTTCCCTCTGGGGAGAGAGGGGCCCACCCCTTCCCAGCAGCCCTCTGAGCCCCCCGATCGCTTGGCCACAGCCTCTGCCTGGAGAAAGCATCCCCCTCGGAGATATATGGACATCAGAAGAAACCTTTCTCTGTCACCAGGACAAATCCTGTTCTTACTTGAACCAAGGCCAGGTTTCCTAATGAATGCAGGGAGGACAGCACAGATCAATGAAACCAGCAGATAATCCACAAGACTGTTTCCCAGAGCTGGGAGATTTCCTTCCCTGCCAACACTTTTCCTGAAAGTTCTTAAGAATGAGGCAAACAGTTTAAGTCTCTCTCGCACTGTTCTTTTAGTGAAAGAGTTCAATGAGGAAGGAGAGGAAGTGGAGCATATGCTTAGTTTCCAAGCTGGAAAAGTGGCCCATGGTTAACCAAGACTAGATGTAAAAGCACAGGTGGCCACGGGTCCAGGTGAGCCGGTCCTACGATGGCATGGCTGCTAATGCCAGCAGATGCTCCTGTCCTCTCCTTTCAAAGACTGACTTCTTCTGGTCTTTCATTCGTTAAAATAAAATTGACAGGGCATCATCCGAGAAGCTCTACACTTTCCCTTACTTGGATTTCAGACTCTAGATTCGGCTGAGATTTGAGCTTCATGGTGAACACATTCTTGGTGTGCTTGCTGCTGAGGGGTGTGGAGGACAGAGAGATGGTGAAATGGCAAAGTGACTCTTGAGCATGGGTGGGGGAAGCCCCCACATGTCTGAGTCAGTGCCACCTGGACACTACCCTTGGAGCATCCTGCTGAGGTGGCCATTCCGGTTTTCTTTCCTTTCCTTTTATTCCACTGTTTCTGAATCACAAATAAAGATCCAAGGCAAACAGCACATTCAGATCCCCAAGCTCTCCACCTCCAATGTGACCAGGGACGTGCACCACTTCAGGCTCATGCAGGACCCACAGCCTTTGGACCTCAGCTAAGGGACCTGCTTCTCTTCAGCACACGGGGCTTGTTTGTGTTGGGGTCTGAGCCCTGAGCGCATGGTCAAGGAGACCCCCAGGTCTTTCTGAACAGAGACAGCTGGCCTGGCGGCCTCCCTCTCACTGCATGCAAGAGTCTGTTAGGGCGGCTGTCTTGCTTCTGTGTGTTGGGAAATTCAATTTAGGTACCTAAAAATGAAAAGTCCCAGGACATCTCCATGGCTTGGGATCCACAGGAGAGCATCATTGATGCTGGGGATAACTTAAACATATAGAAACCCGCAGGGCTACCTTAGACAGGGCACAGGGCACAGGGCACAGCACCCGGGGATGCAGAGTGGAAAGTTCACCACTACAGCCTGGAATTGCCTCTGTGATGCCTTCTTCATGACACTTGGCTGCCTTTGTGGCTGGAAGGCTGAGGCCCAGATCCCAACATGGCCACAGGCTAGCAGCTTGCTTCACCTTCCTGAACTGCAATTTCTCCATCTGAGCCTTTCTCCTAAGAGGAGTGTGCAGGGTCACTTAGCCCATATGGGCCAGAAACCCCACACGGTGCCAGGCACACAGTAGGGCCTCGGCAGATGCTGCCCCCTTCTGTCTCCACCACCCTCCTGGGGCTCCCTCCTGAAACAGCCTCCCTCAGCGCCTTGAGTCTTGCACCCTAACAGCCTCTTGCACGCAGTGAGAGGGAGGCCCCCAGGCCAGCTGTCTCTGTTCAGAAAGACCTGGGGGTCTCCTTGACCATGGGCTCAGGGCTCAGACCCCAACACAAACAAGCCCCGTGTGCTGAAGAGAAGCAAGTCCTTTAGCTGAGGTCCAAAGGCTGTGAGTCCTGCATGAGCCTGAAGTGGTGCAGGTGCCTGGTCACACTGGAGGTGTAGAGCTTGGGGATCTGAATGTGCTGTTTGCCTCGGACATCAAACATCTCACAGACTGCCTGGAAGAAGGTGGAGCAGACTGGGGTTAATGGTCAGCAGCAGCAGCATCCCCACCACTGGGGCTATCCCTTTTTAGGCCCTTACCATGGGCCAAACACTGAGCCGTGGGCTTCGTGTAACTTCTAAGCACGCTTACCTGATAGGGTGACAGCAAAGACTCGAAGAGGTGCCTGGGCTTGGCACATAGTAGCTATTGCTACTATTATGAATGTTGTTTTGTCTTTGTTTTTGTTTTGAGACAGGGCCTCACTCTGTTGCCCAGGTTGGAGTACAGCAATGCCATCATAGCTCACTGAAGCCTCAACCTCCCTGGGTTTGAGCAATCCTCCCACCTCAGCCTCCCAAGTAGCTGAGACTACAGGTGTGCACCACCAAGCCCAGCCAATTGTTTGTATTTTCAGTAGAGACTGGTTTTGCCAAGTCGCCCAGGCTGGTTTCGAACTCTGGGGTTCAAGCAATCTGCCCACCTCAGCCTCCCAAAGTGCTGGCATTACAGGCGTGTGCCACTGCGCCCAGCCATTATGAATGTCAATATTGACATGATCTTGTATCCTTATGCCCACACTGGGAGAGGTCTGATTGTCCCCATGTTCCTGGTGTGGAACCACATGGAAGAGGCCTATGTTATCCCAACAGTGCAGAAGCACAGCCTGAGTCTCTTCTTTGGCTGAGCCAAGGGCGTGCTGGAGAGGCCTGACAGAAGAAGGAGCGGCCCTTGTGACCAGTGTCCTTTTGGTTCACAAGGAACGTCTCCTCTTGTTGAAGTGACTTGGCTGAGCTTGCTACTTCTGCTGTGAGAGTCAAATATCAGGATCAAGACTTTAATTATCCCCAATTTACAGATGATGAAACCATATTGGGCAGGAAAGAAAGTCACCCCAGGAGAGCAAGTTGGACCTGAGCACTGGCTGAGGACAAAGGGGAATGATAATTTGGGATGTAGCTTGTTAAGGGGTCTCACAAGTGTTCTTGTGATCCAGGTGTCGAGAGGATACAGCAGAAAGGTTGCCAGGGAGATGAGGGTAGGTTACACCGCAAGAGTGGGAGAAATTAAAGAGAACACGCAACAAAGCCTTGGGACACTGGGAGGGGGATGGACCACCCTGTTTTGTGCTATGGGAGAAGACAGCAAGAAAAGGAATCTGTGTTAAATCCCGAGAGCCTGCAGGAGAAGCAAATGCCCTTCATTTCCTTCATCAGCGGCGAGACTGGCATCCCTGCAGCTTTGGGAAACCATGCTAGTGTAGATGCCAGCTCACGCCAGCGGGCCTGACTGGGAGACCTTGGGCTGGGGTTCTGGTCTGGGGCTCCTAGGCCTGATGGGAGGAGAGTTCAGCCCCAGGTTTCCTGTACTTCAGCTCATATCCACACAATGGTAATTATTGAAATGAGAGACTCAAAAGAAGATGGAACGTGAACTTTTTTGTTGTCCCATGTGGACACCTGTGTTCGGTTTCCAGTTCTACCTCTTGCTGTCTGTGTGTTCTTAAGTAACTCACTTAAACCTTTCTGAGTCTCATTTTCTTCATTTATAAAATAAAAGACATAACATTTATGTCAGATATTGTCCTGAGGATTAAATGGGAGAATGAACAAGCCTCTTCTGCATTCCCCTGGCATCCAGTGGGTGGAGGCCAGAGAAGCTGCTAAACATCCTGCCAGGTGCAGGACAGCCCCCATCACAAAGAATTGACCGGATCCTGATGTCAGTAAGGCAGAATTGAGGATCCTTGGTGTGGGGGAAAAAGAATAAACTCAGAAGCTTGGCAGATCTCAGTTCAAACCCTGGTTGTATCACCTCTAGCTGAGTGACCTTAGGCAGGTCTGTGAACTCTTTGAGACTCGGCCTCCTCATCGGTAGAATGAGGTAGATAAAAATGCCAAGCTCACCCAGAAATAACCCCGTGCATATATGGTCAACAGATCTTTGACAAGGCCATCAAGGATATGCAATGTAGATTCTTTTATTCCTTTACTTTCTTAATAGACTTGCTTTCACTGTACTGTAAAAAAAAAAAAAAAGCACAATGTAGAAAGAAAACTGTCTTCAATGAATAGTGTTGGGGAAAGTGCGTGAAAAAGAATGAAATTGCACACTTGTTTTACATCATATACAGAAAATTAGCTCAAAACGGATTAAAGATTTAAATGTAATATCTGAAACCATGTAAATCCTGGAAGTACACATAGGGAAAAATCTCCTCGACATTGGTCATAATTGGCAATTTTTTTTTGATGTAACACCAAAGCACAGGCAACAAAAGTGAAAATAAATAAATGGGACTACATCAATCTTAAAAGGTTTTACGCAGCAAAGGAAACCATGACAAAATGAAAAGGCAACCTACGGGATGGAAGAAAATATTTGCGACCCATATATTTGATAAGGGGTTATTTGAAAAAATATAAGGAATTCACACAACTCAATAGCAAAAATTAATAAATACATGAATAACCCAATTAAAAATAGGCAAAGGACCCCAATGGACTTTTTTCCCCAAAGAAGATATACAAATGGCCAGACAGCATATGAAAAGGTGTTCAACACCACTAATCATCAGAGAAATGCAAATCAAAACCACAGTGAGATATTGCCTCATAGGATAGGATGGCTCTTATAAAAAAACGACAAGAGATAACAAGTGTTGGCGAAAGCATAGAGGAAAGAGAACCCTTGTACACTGTTGGTTGGAATGTAAAGTGGTATAACCTTTACAGAAAACAGTATGGAGGTTCCTCAAAAAATTAGAAGCAGAACTAAGCATACCATTCAGCAATCAGGTTAGAACCTTGAAGAGAGATCTGCGCCCCATGTTTATTACAACACTATTCACAATACCCAAGATATGGAAACAGCCCAAGTGTCCAGCAACAGATGAATGGATAAATAAAATATATATAAACAATGGACTCTTAGCCATTCAAAAGAAGAAACTCCTGTCCTGGATAAACCTGGAGGACATTACGCTAAGTGAAATAAGCCAGACACAGAAAGACAAGTTTTGTATGATCTCACTTATATGTGGGATCTAAGAGAGTCAAACTCATAAAAACAGATAGTAGAATGGTGGTTGCCAAGGGCTGGAGGTGGGGAAAATGGGAAGCTATTAATCAAAGGGTGTAAACTTTCAGTTATAAGATGAACAAATTCTGGAGATTTAATGTACAGCATAGGTGGTAATGGATGTAATAAATTTGATTGTGATAATTAGTACACAATATATACATATATGAAATCATCACATTGTATGCATTAAATATATACAATCCTTGTCAACTATTTTTAAAAAAAATTTTAAAATGCCTAGGTCATAAGAATTCTGAGAATGAAATACAACATACACGAATGGACCTGCTACACAGAAGGTGCTAAATAGGTTTGTTTTGTTTTCTTTTATTTCAACTCTGGCAGATGTAGACTTATTGGGAAAGAATATAGAATGCACTTGTGCACAAGGATTATCTATACGATAGTTAAATATCCTGCATACATGCCATGTCATTTCTATTCCTCAGTCAATGGATAATAAAAGCAGAACCAGCCTTCTGGTGGTCACAAAACATTTTGACATGAGAAAGGCTGATCATGAGCAATCTGGCAATGTACATCCCAGAGCGTGCATGCCCTTTGACCCACAGCTACCATCATGTCATGTCCAGCAATTAGTCCTAAGGAGATGATCAGAGATGTGTAAAGAGATTTCATTCTAACAGCATCCTCTGTAGTGGTATATGTCAGGGGCTGGCAAACCATGTCCAGAGGAGCAGGCTGCATCTAGTCCACCACCTGTTTTTGTAAAGTTTATCAGAACACAGTCATGCCCATTCATTTACAAATTGTGTATGGCTTCTTTCCCTGCAACAGCAGAGTTAAGTGTTGCACCAGAAATCTATGGCCTGCAGAGTTTAAAATATCTACCCTTTGGCCTTTTATAAAAAAAGTTTACTGACTCCTGGTGAGTATATTAAGAAAAAGTTAGAAAAACCTAAATCTTCCAGAGTGGAGAATTAGAAAGTAAGACATGTTGTATATAAGACAGACAGTTTGTGTGTGCGTTTATTTGTAAATATATTATTTTGAAATAATGTTGTCGACATACGTTGCAGGTCTTAAAAATTGTTCAATATATAGTGTTAATCAAAAAATGGCAAACTGTAAAATGTAGACAGAATGTGATTGTGTATTTTGTGCATACACCAACAGAAAAGGGTGCTAGGAAACCTGTGGACCAACATACTAAGTGTGGCTCTTTTGATGGTGGTATCATGGATTTTTAAAAATCTTCTTGGTTTTCTGTAGATTCTGACTTTCCTGTAATGAGTATGAATAAATATGTATTTCTTGAGAAATGTGAAAATAACTTTATCTTCCCAGATTTCTCATAATTGAAAATGTTGGAATAAATGGTCCTGGGACAGATCTTTCCATTGAGAAGGGCAGAAGGGAAACCCTGGGGATTCAGCTGGGTTTCTGTTGCATTTCTAGTAACACACAGTTGTGAAAGGCCAGTGTTGGCCATTCCCCAGGACAGTCTGGGGTAGAGGAGGTCAGGATTTAACTACCTGAGGGTCCGGGGAACAGATGTGGCCACAGTCCTTCCTGACTCACTGTTTTCCCTTCCACAGTCCCCGTCTTCTCTTCACTGATGCACACAGAAGCCTGACCAGAGGAGAGATTTAGTTTTCATCTGAGGATTATCTGTTATGTTGCAGTTCTGAAATTCCCATAATGTTTAAGCTAGAACACAATTGATTTCATTATCTCCAAAGTGTATGGCTTGATAGAAATAGATTCCATTATGTAGCACCTTAAATCCAGATAAAACGTAAAGAATTTCTATTCCATGTTTGTATGATCAATGTTAATAATATAAGAAAATCTAAAAAGTAGCTATATCCTATATTACAGTATGAAATAAATATGCTGAATGATTTGTTTTGGGGGGTGGAAAGGTGTAAGACTGAGGAGGGTGCCTGTGGGGAACACTAATAGGAGTCCTTTCTTAAGGGTTGAGTTTTATATATGTCTTTTAAAATAGATGATATCATTAATAAATTATCTGTGGGCATCATGAAAAAAGTGTATAACGTACAACTTTATGAGCTTGACAGTTGGTGAAACACTTTTCTGTTTAAAATTTTATTTGACCCTCCCCAAAAGAAATGTTTATTTATGAGTATTAGGATAGTTCCAGTAGTAATGCCTCAAAAGAACCAGGAGGAATAGTGTTGTCTAAAATGTGGACTCAGGAGCCAGACTGCCTGGCTGTGCAACTAGCCTTGTCATTTCCTAGATATGTGGTAAGTTAATTAACTTCTCAGTGTTCTTATCTGTAGAATGGGGATAATCATAATATACATCTCAGGGTTATATTAAAAATTGAAAAAGTTAATTTTGTAAAGCACTTAGAATAATATCTGGCAAATAAAATTGTTTATAAAAGTAAACCCTATAAAAGTGTTTACTCATTAAATACAATAATCTGAAACCATTAGTGATTTAAACATTTGTGGCGGACTTGGCAATATTTATGAAAATAAATACTGTATTTATAATCTTTGACCTTATTTGACTCCTAGGAATTTATTGTCCAGCAAACATTTTCACAGGCAGACAAAAATATTCCTATAAATTCATGTTTATTACATCAATCTGTGCAAAACGAATAAACAGACAATTAAAATAGCCATCAAAAGGAGTATTGATTAAATGAATGATAGTAAATCCATTCATTAGTAATCACATTATCGAAAAAGAATGAGACATATTTATGTGACGTGGGAAGATCCATAACTAATGTTAAATGGTAAAACATATAAAATGTTATGCCCAATAAAATACTTTCTGTGAGAGAATATGTTAATTTATGCAAGTGGCGCCAATGTGGAGGGTTTATGCTAATTTCATTATACCTCACAGACAGACCTGGGCTCTCCCACTCATTATCTATGTGGCCTGGGGTAAGTCATTTAACTGCTGGAAGCCTCAGCTTCTTCATCTGTCAGGCAGTGATACCCTGACTACTCTGCAGGGTAACTCTGAGATTTCAACGTGATCATCTCAGAATATGCCTGGCAAACAGTAGGAGCTCAGAACTTGATTTTTTTTCCTACAGCAACTGCTGTAGGGGATAGCAGCTAATGCATGAGGTTGGTAAATCCTTATATATATCAAATATTGTAGAAACATAACTACATGCTACTATTTTTTCAAACCCTCCCCCCACCCTTTTTTTTCCCCTGAGACAGAGTCTCACTCTGTTGCCCAGGCTGGAGTGCAGTGGCGCCATCTCGGCTTGGCTCACTGCAACCTCTGACTCCCGGGTTCAAGCGATTCTTGTGCCTCAGTCTCCCAAGTAGCTGGGATTACAGGCATGTGCCACCATGCCCAGGTAATTTTTTTGGTGTTTTTAATAGAGATGGGGTTTCACCATGTTGGCCAGGCGGGTCTCCAGCTCCTGGCCTCAAGTGATCCGCCTGTCTCAGCCCCCCAAAGTGCTGGGTCAAACCCCTCATATCCAGTAAAACAGCCTCACTGGGTCAATGGATATCATGTGGCTGCCTAACATTTTTACTTTATAAAAGGTCTTCCTGAGGCCATTTGAAAGTATGAATAAAAACACCTTAAGATGAACAGGGCCACAGGTTTGCATGAGGCTTGTCAGTGGACCTCCAGGATGAAGACCAAAGTGACTGTGCAATTTCTAGTGGAATAATTTTCACTTAAGATCTTATTTATTTATCAAAAGACCACTGTGAGGTAGGAATTCTTAACCCCAATTTGCAGAAACTGAGACTTTGCCTGGCACCACAGAGCTAGGAAAAGGTGGGCATACGATCCTCACCAAGTCTGACTTCCAAAGGAAGATTTGAAAAGAAACGTCCTTGCTACCTGCCAAATCTCTGTAGAGCCAGCAGCCATGTTCACACATGAAACAGGACAATGACCAATGACAATAGCACCAGGAATAGCTACTCCTGGTCAGATGCCCTCATGACCTCAACTCCGCAGGATGGGGACACCGGGCCCTGCTTAGGGGAAAGGAAGGGGGTTTGTAGAGGAAGCCCAGCCAGCCAAGCAACCAGAGATGGGAAAAACCCATTGGGAAGAATTTGCTTGCTCTAGCTGGGCTTTGCAAAGAACAGGAAAAGATGAGTCTGCACGGACAGAAATGGTCCCGAGTGGGGAGCTTGGCCATGAGCATGACTCAGGGCGTGGTCAGCAGCTGCCATACCAGGACACACGATATGCAAAGATGCTGGGTGGGTGGTTCTTAAAGGTTTTGTGCCTTGAGAAAACTAAAGGATGCAGACGTGGGCAGAAGGTGGCTCTTTAAAAGTGCTTCAGGCAAGGAGGCATTTATGGCATGGTGGAAAGTGGTCTGGATTTGAGTTGAAGAGACCAGCCTTGCCGTTTATTTTGTAACAGATCACTTCACCTTCTGGGCCGTAATTTCCATGTCTGTGCAATGAGAATAACATTATAACTAAGATGTAACAGGAAATGAAAGCACAAGTGTAAGAAGTCCCCATACTTTCACCTCATCCACTCTAACCAGGGCTGACACGTATGATTTTCCAGGTTGTGCACTGAACAACTATGTCTGGTGGCCAGGATGAGTGGGACCATCATCCATCTCCAGTGTCATTTCTGAAGTGCTCCACCCTGGCACTGCCTGCACCTAGAGGGAGGGACACTTTTCCTAAATAGGATAAAGGTGCTGTCTGTTTACCCATGGGACTCTGTCTACTGGAAGGGGGCCTTTCTCTAATTCTCACACAAGCATCATTTGAACTAGTGGTGGTCTTCATGCAGACTGCCATGACTTTCTGCATTCGAATGCAGGCTGTTTATACACACATTTCTCACCCTCTATGGAGCTGAGGCTATGGTTTTCCTGTCTGGAACCAACTACTCTTTAGTACAAACTGGGGACAATTGTAGGCATGAAAACCTAATGGGACTCTGTTTATTCTGGGAATAGGGTAGAGATGAATCCTGCCTGGGATGTGGGAAAGGAAGAAAGCCTTTGACTCATCCCTTTAAGAGAAGGGGCTTTTGGCAATCTGGGGTCTTTATCTTTTCTGAGTTCCTGGCTGACACTGATGTTTTAAAGGCTAACACAATGTGGAAGTTCCAACTCCCAGGCTGACCATTAACTCCATCCCATGCCACAAGCACCCCAGGAAGCCAGGGTTGGAACCCAGAGCCAGGGAGATGGGTGGCAGCCCAGGCTCACAGGAGCCAGTTTCTTAAGCCTGGAGCATGTCAGGCAGAATCAGGCATAACCTGTCCAGAGTGTGCTGGAGATGGGCTGTCCTGGAGCTGGAGAATCATGCACAGAAAGGAGGACCCAAGAAATGCCCTCAGGCTAGGAGGAGAAACCCACATGACTATTGTGGAAAGTGTGGGTTTTGGTGTAGAATTTTTACTCTTTGATGATTTGAGCACTTTTCATCACCATGGTGGGCCGAGGACCTGCCCCAGCCCCCAGATGTTGCTCCAGACAATGAGTTTTGCAGCCCGCAGTGACTGTTTTCCCTCTTCAGCTGCTCTACTTGGGAGGCTGGCTCTGTTAGGAAGGTGCGGGCAACACTGCTCCCCCGCCCCAGGATTGAACCAGGACAAAGACATATCCAGGAAAGCCGCTGTGGCCAGCCTGAGCATAAGAGAGACTGCGACTCCCTGCCCAGTGGAAATACACTATACTGCAAGATGCCAAAATGAGCCACTCGAATCCTCTTTTTCGGGAAGTCAAAAGTACGGTGAGGCATGAGAAGAAGGATCTCCAGCTCCAATTTGGTCTCCCTCTTGTGGCTGAACACACTGTTACCAGATGCTTATGAAACCATTTGCATATGGTACAAGCCCATGTGGGAGAAATGAGAGCTCTGTCAACTTCTACCCATCTTCTGTCCTCTCCTGACAATGCATCTCCATCACTAATGGTGGCCTCTGGGTTTTACTTTCTTCTGTGCACAAAGAAAACAACTGGTGGCACCTGTACATAGAGAATTCCAGAGGCAGGAAACTCTCCCTACTTTTGGACAGTGCACAGCAAAGAGAATGTAGTTGGAAGTTCAGCCAACCTGGATTGCAAGCCACCTGTAGCAACATGGCCTTAGACGAGTCACATGACTGCTGGGAGCAACAATCTAGAAGAGTGGTGAAGATACCTAGGTCATCAGAAGGTTAAATAGAATAATGTGTGTGACTGGGCAGAGCACACAGAATGCACCAAATATGTGTTTTTTAGATTCTTTCCCAAATCTAGGAGATGCAACTTAGCAATGAAATGCCTTAAAACCTAAAACAAAAAGTTATAAAAATACATTCATGGTCATGGAAAAATATACATTAGGTAAAAAAATAAAGGGAGATTATTAATGTATGTAAAATGTAATGTAGTAGCTAGTTTGCATACACACTTACAAAATAAAAGTTCTGTAAGGATATGCACCAGCCGGTTTACTGTGGCTAACTCTTCTAGGTTCTAGCAGCCCTGACAGGTTTCTGTTGCATTTCCCAGCGACCATGACCCCTAATCCCCTAAGCCCCTAAGCCTCCCTCTTTTCTGCTCACACAGAACTGATGAGAGGAGAGACTCAGCTCAAAAGTGTTGAGTGAATGAAATCGTTTCTTAAAATATTGGGTTTATAGTTTCCTTTTAAAAAAATGAAACAAATGATTTAATTTTTAAGATTTTTTTCTGGAAAAATAAAAAATCTTATTTTAAAACATATAATGTTAATGTTAATATTTTCCCCCTTAAAATCTCATTTGATACTCCCATCAAATAAGATTTATTCTTTAGGATTTGAGTAATTCTGGGAATAAAGCCTTAATAAATCAGGAAGGACAACATAGTCATCAAGTGCCTGGGTGCTGCAGACCCTGGTTTCCAAACCAGCTATTTTCTGTCTAACTTCTGCCAAGTTACTTTGTCTCTCTGAGCCACAGTCTTCTTATGTATAAAACAGAATCATTAAAGTTCTCATCTCAGGATGTCATGAGGAGTCAAGCTCTGGGAGCAGTACCTAGCACAGCACAAGCATGACATAAGTATTTGCTAAGTGAATGAATAAAAATTTGATGATCTTTTATTATGCTGCCTGATTTGGTAGTATGTGTTAGTAAATGTTTGTAACTAATTTTATCATCTCACTCTTAGGAATTTTAAAAAATCACTTCTAGAGGTGTACAAAAATACTTGCATATGATCCAGTTCATTTCAGCATTATATGCAAGGACAAAAAATTGCAAACCATTAAAATGTTCACTAAAGGAATGTTGGTTAAATAGATTATAGTAAATTCATTTAATGGAGTATGACATAGTCCTTTAAAAGGATAAAGTAGGTAGATTTGTAGGTTGATAGAAGTATCTATTCACAATTATTGTTAAATGAAAAAATATGTTATAAAAGGTTAGGTATAATATACTTTATATAGCATTAACCTAGTATCTGTGAATATTTTCAAATACAGTCCACGGTGGATATTTCTCTCATGCTACACAGACAGATGAGGGTCAGGATCTTGGCTCTGCCCCTTATTATCTGTAGAACTCTGGGAAATTCATTGAGCCCCTCGGAGCCTGTTTCCACGTGTATAAAATGGTGATAATAACAATTATTCTGCAGAGTTGTTTTAGGTTTTCTTTTCTTGTCTTTTCTTGTTTTGCTTTGCTTTGTTTTGAGATGGAGTGTAGCTCTGTTGCCCAGGCTGGAGTGCAGTGGTGTGATCTCAGCTCACTGCAGCCTCTGCCTCCTGAGTTGAAGCGATTATCATTCCTCAGCCTCCCGGGTAGCTGGGATTACAGGCATATGCCACCACACCCAGCTAATTTTTGTATTTTTGGTAGAGATAGAGTTTCACCATGTTGGCCAGCCTGGGCTTGAACTCCTGGGCTCAACTGGTCCACCCACCTTAGCCTCCCAAAATGCTGGGATTACAGGCATGAGCCACCATGCCTGGCCCTGTTTCAGGTTTAAATGCCATAACCTCCATGAAAATCCCTAGCAAGCAGCAGGTACTCAGGGTGGTGTTTGTTCCCACAGTGACTGTATGTATCTGGGGGACAACACGGGTAATGCATGAGATTCACAAGTCCATATGTAACCCACACATTGTCTGTAAAATTAATAAGTGATGTTTTATTCTTTTCAAATATAAGTAGAGACTGCTGTAAATAACACAAACTCCTATTTAGTGGCATTACTGAATCCATTAGGCATGTATGCAGATACTTTATTACTACAAATTTAGCTATCCTATGAGTAATTTAACATTTCTGATGTTTTAAAAGGGCCCTCATGAGGCAATTTGAAAATATGTATCTAAAGCCTTAATATTAGGCAGGGCCCTGGGCTTTGAATAAAGACTCGTTTTGAGGTCCACAGAGAGGAGACACAAGGCCACAAGATGGTCCCATGGCTAGCAAGTGGCAGAGTCCAGATCCAAAGGATGTCTGTCTGACTCCAGACCTCAGGATCTTAACCCCCACACGATGCTAATGTTCCTTACTGACCAAGGGAGGTTCAGAGAAGGTACATACCTAGTGCCAACTTCACACTACCATTTATCGAGCACTTGCTATGTACTCAATAAATAAGCACTAAGAGCTAGGTGATTGTACAACCTTATTCAAGTCTCAGAACAACCCTACAAGTAGAAACTATTGTCTCCATTTTAGAATGAAAGAGGCTCTGGGAGTTTGATTCACTTGCACAAAGCCACAGAACTAGGAAAAGGAGGGTGCAGGGTTTGAATCGAGTCTATCTGACTTCAGCCCCCCTCACAATGCTATACTGCTGCCAGTCTCGGTGGGGCTTGGACTATGATGACGGCCCCAGAAATGGCTGTCGCTGTCGGATGCCCCCATGATCTCATGTCTCACCCAGCTCCTGCTTAGAAGGCGAGAGAGTGGTTGTGGAGGAAGTCCAGCCAGCCAGCCAAAGATGGGAAACCCCACTGGGACAGAATTTGTTTTCTCCAGTTCGGACTTGGCAGAGAGCAGGAACGCATGGGTCTGAGGTGGAAGAAACGGTCCTGTGGATGAGTCAGCAGCTGCCACAGCAGAAAGCATTTGTGGCCGCTCTGTGCAAAGACGCTGGGTATTTCTTTTGCTGTTATCTTATAGTTTGAGTGGTTTGGAGGAAAAGGCAGAAGCATGTGGACAGCAGCTCCTCATGATTACTTCATTCGGGGAGGCAGCATGCTGTGCTGAAAAGTGTTCTGGCTTTGGTGGCAAAGAGATCAGCTTTGCCATTTACCAACTGCTTGATGTGGGACACATTTCATCTCTCAAAGACCCAGTTTCCATGCATTTGAAATAAGGATACAATATTTACTTCAGAAAGCTGTTATGAAGAGTAAATGCAGATGTGAAATTTACAGATATTTCCACCTCATCTGCTCCAGCCAGTACTGCAGTGGGAAGGTCATGCACTGCACAGTGATTGCCAGTAGATGGCGCAATGGGCCTGCCGCCATCCCAGGCTTTGTTTCTGAACCCAGCGGGAGAGGGAGATGACAGAAATCTTTATTGCAAACTGGGGGACACCATTAGCTACAGTGGCCTCCTGGGATCACCATTTGCAATATAAGCCCAGTGACTTAAAGGAGAGAGTGGAGAGGAATCATGGTAAGGTAAGCAAAAGAAAAAGACATTTTGTTTATTTCTCAGTTTCCTCATCTGTAAAATGTGGGTGCTATAAATCCACACATCATAAAAAGCTCTCAAGATTAAAAAAAAATGTATTTGAAAAGATCTGAAACAAAGCGGGTGCTAAATATGTGTTTCATTCATCCTTTTCCCACTCTGGGGGATTCCAACTTATTACAAAAGATTGCTGAAACATTCCTCCAAACAAGTAAATATTTCACAAACGTAACTGAGGTTTTTTTTTTTTTTTAATGTATGTGACTTAAAATTGTAAACTCAGATGAAATTACACCTACTGTCAAATAGTGAAAAATTAAACTATAGCCAGTATTTTGAGGTTGATCAAAACTTTTTGGCATAAAAAAATGTACCCTCGTAACAGCAATTTGGCAATGTATTTTTGGAGTTTAAAAAGCGTGCATGCTGGCCAGGCACAGTGGCATGTGTCTGCAATCCCAGCTACTTAGGAGGCTGAGGTGGGAGGATAGCTTCAGCCCAGGAATTTGAGACCAGCCTAGGCAACAGGGATTCCTAATTTTTTAGGGATCTCTAAAAAATTAAATAAAATTAAAATGTAAAAAATGCATGCATTTTCACCTAGAAACACTTCAAAGAATATTTCCTGATGAAACAATCAACTGTGCATGGAAAGATTTCATTCTAAGGAATCTTTTGAAGTCTAAATATCTATTGGTCAAGAATTAGTAAATAAAATATGGTATATCTACATGGTGAGAATGATGTGAAACCTTGGGGGGAAAATGAAATTGTAGAAATACATCCACTGACAGGGAAAGCTGTTTACTGTATATTGGTGAGTGAAAAAAAAAAGAAGAGGTCCAAAATTATGTAGAGTGTGATGCCTTGATTATTTTGCACACACACCCCATGGATCAAAGTATGAAAGGACGTGACAAAACATGTAACTATATTTATCTGCTGGTAATGAGATTATGAGCAAGTTTTACCATCTCTTTGTTCTATATATCTGACTTCACTATAATGAATATCTATTCCTTGGGAAATATGAAATGATTTTTCTTTTCAGGATTCTCATACTTGAAAATGTGGGGGTAATGGGTCTTAGGATCAGCCCTTCCCTCAGGAAGGGTGAGAGCAGAAGGAGCCCTCAGGCCTTTGGGGACATTTCTGTCACATTTGTGGGTGACCGCACTACTGTGAAAATCCAGGTATCACCAAATCTTTAATCAGTCTCGGTCAGGCCAGGTGGGGAGAGTCAGGACTCACCTGCTTGGGGATGAGGTTTTGGGGAGGGGGAACAAAGATGTGCCAGCAGCCCTTCCTGATGCAACATTTTCCTTCCTTGTAGTCCCCGTCTTTTCTGCATTGGTGCACACAGATGCCTGACCAGAGGAGAGACCCAATTAACAGCTTTCAAGTATTACATATAGAAAATAACATTTTCAAATGCCCTTTAAGATATCGTCAAAACCATCAATTACCTAGAGATAAATCTAACAAATCTTGTGCAGAAAATTACACGATATTACAAACAAAAATTTGTAGGTACCTTAATAAATGGAGGGATGTGCCGTGTTTGTGGATTAGAAGATTCATTATTATAAAGCTGTCAGTTTTCCCCAAATTCAACAATAAATTTAATACAATCTCAGTCAAAATCTTAGAAGGATTTTTCATGAAAATTGATAAACTGATTCTAAAACTTATATGAAAATTCCAAAAGGCAAGAATAATCAAGACAGTCTTAAACAAAGTTGAGGGACTTAAGCTACCATTTATCAGGATTTATTATAATGTGGCAGTAAATGGAACAGCAGTGCAAGATACCAAATAGATCAGTGTAACAAAAACACACCATCTCATAATTTATGACAAAGGAGCCGCTGTAGTTCAAAGAGGGAAAGAATGCTTTTTCAGTAAAGGTAGCTGGCTTGATTGGCTTATTCATGTAAACAAAAAGGAACCTTGACTCCTACCCCACACCACACACAGAAATCTCTTCCAAATGGATCATGGACTTAATGTGAAAGAAGAAACAATAAAGCTTTTAGAAGATATTGTAGAAATAGTTTCATGATCTTGGGATAGGCAAAGATTTCTTCTTCTTCTTGTTTTTTTTTTTTTTTTTTTTTTTTTTTTTTTTGAGACAGAGTTTTGCCCTTGTCACCTAGGCTGGAGAAAATGAGCTGGGTTGGCCTTATTCTCCTTTTTTCGTATGAATGTATGGGGTACAAGTGTAATTTAGTTACATGCATAGATTGTGTAGTGGTGAAGTCAGGGTACCTGGATAATGTACATTGTACCCATTAAGTAATTCCTCATCATCTACCTTGTCCTACCCTACCCTCCACCACTGTCCCAAGTCTCTACTGTCTATCATTCCACATGCTATGTCCATTGCATGTTTGTGTTCCCCCCAAATTCATATGTTGAAACCAAATCACCAATGTGATTGTATTAGGAGATGATGGAGGGGTTGTGGAGGTGAATAGATCATGATAATGCAGCCCTTATGAATGGAATTAGTGTCCTTATAAAATAGGCCCAAGGGAGCTAGTTCACCAGTTCTACCATGTGAGGTTGCAGCAACAAGTTGGGATTCTGCAACTCAGAGGAGGGCCTTCACCAGAACCTGGCCATGCTGACACCCTGATCTTGGACTTTCCATTCTCCAGAATGGTGAGAAATAAATTCCTGTTATTTATAAGCTATGGTATTTTGTTATAAAAGCCAGAATGAACTAAGACAGAAATAAATGAGTTAGAGAAAGGTGGCTCCATTTTCAAGCAGAAATTAGATTATAGAAAAGCTGGGGATTTCTAAGTGGGAAAATTAAATTATTTCTCACCTGTAGTCTCTCAAGCCATTAAAGGAAACTCAAAGTAATATATAGTCTCAGTGGTAAAAGTCTAATAAAAGGTATGGCTGTAGGACACTCTGTTAAGAGCTCTGTAAGATTGAAAGTCGTGCTTAGTAGATACTTTGAGCTAGACAAAATGGCTCCTAAAAATTTTAGGGTTCTTGTCCAACAGATGCCTGCAACTCTCAAAGAAGAGAAAGACCTGTTCACAAAAGAATTGTGCTAGAGACTTTTGGGTCATGGAGATCTGAACCAGTTTCACAGGAAACCTTTGAGGTTCTTAAAAGAATTGTATTGTTAAAAGCACTACTGCTCACACTATGAGGGACTAAGACAAAATCTTTAGAAAACTGTTGGCCCTCATATTTCTGCAGACAGGCAGCAGGATGAAATACCTACTGTGTTAAAGGTTCCCAAGACATTTTTAGGCTCAAAGTTTTGCTAGGAGGACTCACAGGACTCAGCATATAGTCATATTCATGGTTCTGATTTATTACAGTGAAGGATACAAAACAAAATCCACGAAGGGAAAAGGTATATGGGCAAAGTCTGGAGGAAACTAGGTGTAAGCTTCCAAAAGTCCCCTCCCTGTACAGTCACACAGTAATAACTTAATTTCTTATGCATCGAGTTGTGACAGCCCATGTGAAATATTGTTCACCAGGAAAGTTTGCCTGAGCCTAGGAGTTGAAGATTTTTACTGGAGGCCTGTCGTATAGGCACTCCTTCTACCCAGCATGTGCCAAAATTCCAGACTCCCAGAAGTAAAACATGTATTCAGCATAAAGCATACTGTTTGCACAAAAAGTTTAGGCACAGTGAGGCACTCTTGTCATTTAGGGAAAATTTTGTATCAGTGTAGAGAACTGTTTAACATTCAAGCTCCCAGATGTCAGCCAAGGGCCAACTTTGCAAGCAGGCCTTTCTAAGGACTATATTCTCAGGCCGGCCATGTTATCTCTTCTGCACAGCTAATCAGATGCAAGTGCAAACTTGATGGTAACAGAAATTTCAGTGATTCCCCGGGATTGGTTACTATGAGGTGAATGTTTGTGTCCTTCCCAAATCCATAAGATGAAATCCTAACCCCCAGGATAGTGGTGTTGCAAGCTGGGCCCTTTGGGAGGTGATTAGGAATTAGGGGCAGAGACCTCATGAATGGGATTAGTGCCTTTATAAAAGAAACCCTAGGGAGGTTGTTTGATCCTTTCACCACATGAAGACACAGCAAGAAACTGCCATCTATGAATGAGGAATCAGGCCCTCACCAGATACTGAATCTGCTGCCACCTTGATCTTGGACTTCCCAGCCTCCAGAACTGTGAGAAATAAATTTCTGTTGTTTATAAATGACCCAGTTTATGGTATTTTATTACAGCAGCCTAAATAGATTAAGACAGCAGCATTACTTTTAAATTACTATTTAAATTACTATTAAATACTATTAAATTACTTTTAAATTACTCTTTTGGTCATAGTGGTGGGATAGTTCCAAGGGGGTTCCTCTTGACGTATTCTATCATAATAGCCCTCACCCCATCCATCAGGGAGCAAATGTGAAGTTTTTCCCAGTGTTTAAGATAACAATTACAACTAAGCACTCAAGACCTGAGAAAGTGACCACAGGAAGAGTTTGTGGAACCACTGGGCTCACTGTGAAATGGGCAGAAGCCAAAACTCCATTCAACACCTGACTTCGAAAAGCCTGCACTCTGATCAATGCAGGGATATTTTAGTTCCCAAATATCAGTGTCAGATCAGAGCACTGTCCAGTCATTGCCTCAGAGCCTGGGTAGTTCCCTCTCTCCAATGCTATGTCACCAGTGAATGATTGCAAGTCCCATTAGATAAGCATAGAAGGAAACTTTACAGTACTCACTTGTGGCAATGTCCCATGGTCCTCTCTTAGTGGGAGCTGACTTCCTCCTAACTCAAAGGGTTCTGGTCTGTAAACTGGTTGGTTTTGGTTTTGGGAGGAGAAGCCATTCCTTTCCAGTATGGTGTTCCTAACATATGTCTGTTCCCTAGGCCAAGAAGTTGTGTGCACTCTCTTGCTCTCTCGCTTTCTCTCTTTCTGTCTCTCTCTCTCTCCCCTCCTTCCCCTCCTCATCTCTTTCTTCCTCTGTCTCTCCTTCTCTCGTATAGATCCACAAAGGCCTCAGTAGTTTGCCCATATCTTCCATCCTAAGAACACCATGCCTAGTTAGCCATTGCCAAAAACATACACATATTCCTTAGATTAGTGCTGATATAACTTGGCAAAATATTTTAGTATTTGAGCATGTATTCTATCTCCTCCCAGGTCAGATTTTGGACTTCACCTTTGGAGTGCAGCTGGATTATGACTCTTGTCCTCCCAGTATTCTGAGGCAATGAGAGGCAATGGACTATAGCTCTCCAAGACATTCAGTAGAAATTATTATAGAAACTTCAGGCAAGGGGGTGGCAGCTTCCTCAGGGGAGCTGGGGCTGTGACTGCTGGTAGAGAGAGTCAGCGCAGCTCTGGGAAGTTAAGGTGCTCATATTTGTCAGAATCATTGCAATCTGTAAGGCCCTACTTTCCCCTCTTCATGCCTTAGTTTAAATATGAGAGACCTGGCAAAGCTGAGATTCAACTTGCTTTGTAATTCATAGTCAACCTGTCAAATTTGGTTCTCATCTCAGATAAAATGGAAACAGACTTCCTTAGGGCAGAATACATGTTAGCTGTTTCTCTGACCTTGTCTTCAACTAAGGATTGAAAGCCCTGAGCTTATGTTTTCTGTAAACTCTCCAGTGCAGTTAGAAGGTGGCATCCCACTCCATGTAACCACCATAATGTTCTATTTTAAGAGCTCCTTGGGTATTCTAAAGACTTCCCTTTAAAAGGCATTTCATCGAAGCAACTATAGGTGATAATTTCAGTATCTATCTTGCCAATCTGTGACCTGGACTCCTGGGATCCTACTTTCCACCAGCAATGTGGCCGTTACTGCCTTTAAACACAACCTGCAGAGATAACCAATCCCAGATTTCCATCTTTAAGGTGTGGTTTCCTGGAATCTTGTTCTCTGTCTACAGCACCTGCACTGGTCCAGAGCCAGGTCTCTGTATTGTCAGTGAATTGGTGCTGGTTGGGAGGATGCTGATTTTTAAGAATTGCAGGCCAGGCGCAGTGGCTCACGCCTGTAATCGCAGCACTTTGGGAGGCCAAGGCGGGCGGATCACGAGGTCAGAAGATCAAGACTATCCTGGCTGACATGGTGAAATCCAGTCTGTACTAAAAATACAAAAAAAAAATTAGCCGGGCTGGGTGGCGGGTGCCTGTAGTCCCAGCTACTCAGGAGGCTGAAGCAGGAGAATGGCGTGAACCCGGGAGGCAGAGCTTTCAGTGAGCCGAGATCGTGCCACTGCACTCCAGTCTGGGCGACAGAGCAAGACTATGGCTCCAAAAAAAAAAAAAGAATTGCAGCACGCACATTTAATAGTAAGAAGGACCCAGACTTTGTAAAGATACATCAAGGGCTCATTCAGGAAAAATATTCTAGAAATCAGCCACTCTAGTATTCCCCTTGAAATCTTCAGAAATCAGACTTTAGCCTAGACCCATTGTGGAACTTTTCCTTCTAGTGTTGTAGTTCCAGGGTGCAGAGAACAGCCAGGAAACCCTGTGGAAAGCCTTGTATTATCAGGAAGCTAGAGGCCCATCCTTGGACTTGGCACTGGACAAAGGAAATAACTCTACACACTTTATGACAATACCACAGTATCTTGAGTAGTGTAGCTTTATAGTAGATCTTGAAATTAGATAATGTGAATCCTCTAAGTTTGTTCTTCCTTTTTTAAGATTGTTTTAGCTAGTCTAGATCATTTTCATTTCCATATACATTTTAGAATAAGTCTCAATCTTTAAAAGAAGATTACTATAATTTTGATAGAGATAAGTTGAATCTATAGATTAATTTGGGGAAAATGAACATTTAATACTATTGAATCTTTCTGTCTGTCATTGTGGTATAAATCTCCATTTATTTAGGTTTTATTTATGTGCTTACAAACAAGTCCACTCAAGTCCTTCTCATATGGCCTCTCTGCAAAGCCACTTGAGCCCAGAGACCCATCACTGCCCCCACTTCACCTTTGCCAGTGTCCTCATAGGAATGCCGCCCTGTGCAGCAGGACATTCTCTCCAGCCCAAAGCTGAGAGTCTAAGTGACAGGATGGTGCTGTGTTCCCACTAGCATTTACTCCATTGGTCACATCATGTTCTGGACAGCAATGGGGAGACTGCTTCTCTCCTCACAGGGCTCAGAAGTCCTGTGAGATATTGGCTGGAGAAGACAGGTAGAAAGCCACTTCCTCCATTCCTCCTGCCTCTGTCTCTGACATGGGTACCCCAGACTTCCTGGAAGGTTATCCTCACCCAATTCATGTTACTAACTCATAGGAGGGACATTTTTAAACTTGAAAATTCATATTTCATAATTACTTTTGGTTCTTTACAGTATTTTTCAGCCACCTCTTATGTAAGGACTTTTTTTTCCTTTTGCACAGGTGTTGATGGGAGCATTCATATCTTGTGAGGCTGACTTTGTGGAATGTATGACCTCAACTTTGACCACGGCTGGGAGATGGGAGGTTGGGTGTGGGGTGACCTCCTAACCATCGTTCCATCAGCCATGTGGGTTTCGTAAAATGAATGTGATCCCTACTCCTCCAGGCCACCCTCTTCCTTTCCAGCCCTCACGTCTTTCATTCCAAGAGCAAAGGGGCCATTTCTGTGAGATGTCTAATTTTTGAAGGTGCTGTGATTTCTCTTGATCATCAGTATAGAAGGGGCTGTTGCATCTTGTTCAGCTATCTCTGAACAAGGTGGCGAAGCTGAGATTCATCTTGAATCTCGGTTGAGATTTAATTGATTTAATTGATGTTTACATGCCATTTTAGATCTCTGCACAACATGGAATACAAATACAACAACTATTCTGTCTGGTTTAAAAGTACCATGCACAATCTGTCTTGATAATGACCTTCCTGATGTAAGTGGATTTGGACCTCTATAGATTCTATTTGTGATTTTAAAAAATGAAAATGTATGTGAAGGGATGGGTTGCCCCTCCACACCTGTGGGTGTTTCTCGTGAGGTGGAACGAGAGACTTGGAAAAGAAAAAGACACAGAGACAAAGTATAGAGAAAGAAATAAGGGGACCCGGGGAACCAGCGTTCAGCATATGGAGGATCCCGCCAGCCTCTGAGTTCCCTTAGTATTTATTGATCATTCGTGGGTGGGTGTTTCTCCGAGAGGGGGATGTGTCATGGTCACAAGACAATAGTGGGGAGAGGGTCAGCAGACAAACATGTGAACAAAGGTCTTTGCATCATAGACAAGGTAAAGGATTAAGTGCTGTGCTTTTAGATATGCATACACACAAACATCTCAATGCTTTACAAAGCAGTATTGCTGCCCGCATGTCCCACCTCCAGCCCTAAGGCGGTTTTTCCCTGTCTCAGTAGATGGAACGTACAATCGGGTTTTATACCGAGACATTCCATTGCCCAGGGACGGGCAGGAGACAGATGCCTTCCTCTTGTCTCAACTGCAAGAGGCATGCCTTCCTCTTATACTAATCCTCCTCAGCACTGACCCTTTACGGGTGTCCGGCTGGGGGACGGTCAGGTCTTTCCCTTCCCACGAGGCCATATTTCAGACTATCACATGGGGAGAAACCTTGGACAATACCTGGCTTTCCTAGGCAGAGGTCCCTGCGGCCTTCCGCAGTGTTTGTGTCCCTGGGTACTTGAGATTAGGGAGTGGTGATGACTCTTAAGGAGCATGCTGCCTTCAAGCATCTGTTTAACAAAGCACATCTTGCACCACCCTTAATCCATTTAACCCTGAGTTGACACAGCACATGTTTCAGAGAGCACGGGGTTGGGGGTAAGGTCATAGATTAACAGCATCTCAAGGCAGAAGAATTTTTCTTAGTACAGAACAAAATGGAGTCTCCTATGTCTACTTCTTTCTACACAGACACAGTAACAATCTGATCTCTCTTGCTTTTCCCCACAGTATGAATTTAAATATAAATAAAAGTTTACAATGAAAAGTAATAATTTTCTGGCTGGGTGCAGTGGCTCACATCTGTAATCCCAGCATTTTGGGAGGCCAAGGTGGGCAGATTGCTTGAGTACAGGAGTTCAAGACCAGCCTGGGCAACATGGTGAAATCCCATCTCTACTAAAAATACAAAAAATTAGCTGGGCTTGGTAGTGCATGCCTATTGTCCCAGCTACTCAGGAGGCTGAGGTGGGAGAATCACTTGAGCCCAGGAGATGGAGGCAGCAGTGAGCCAAGATCGTGCCTTTGCACTCCAGCCTGGGCAAACAGGGTGATACGTGGTCTCAAAAAAAAAAAAAAAAAGAAAAGAAAGAAAGAAAGAAAAGAAAAGAAATTTTCCTCCCCATTTTGACTTCCAATACCTCCCACCCCATTATCTTTCCAGGAAGAACCACTATTATAATTTCTTGGGTTCTCTTCTAGAGATATTGTATATCTATCTATCTATCTATCATCTGATCAATAGTGATATGCATTTTTGTATATGTGTGTTTGTCCTGATAATATTCTGAAAATATTTCAATCTGATGCTTGGGTTAAGGTCAAGATCATTTGGAATGTATATTTGGGCTGAGACATATTTGAATTAAAGTCAGGATACATATTTGGGCTGTTTTCTGATCTCTGACTGACTTTTTGTTTGTTTTGTTTCCAGAGTGACTTTTTATATTTTTTAATTATAAATTTTTTTGTGGGAGGAAGGGAAGGATTAAAAAATGCTACTGGAGATAGAAAACCTATTTATCCATTTGTGTTATATCATACAATGTAGTTTTCTGAAATTATATCTTTTTTTCATTTTCTGGATCTAGACTAGGGGTCAGCAAACTTTTTCTGTGAAGGGCAGGAAGTAGATATGGCTTTGCAGGCCATTCAGTCTTTGTTGTGACCCCTTAACTCTGACATTGTGACTTGAAAGCAGCCATGGACAATATGGAAACTAATGAGTGTAGTTATGTTCAAATGAAACTTTATGAGCACTAAAATTTGAATTCCATATTATCTTACATATCACTAAATATTATTAGTATATGTGTCTCTTTGTATTTTAAACATTTTAAAATGCAAAGATCAGTTTAACTCATGGGATGTGCAGAACCAGGAGGTGGCTTGGATTTGGCCTGTGGGCTGTAGTTTGCTGATCCCCGGGCTATCTGAAAACTAATAAAAATCAGTATTCAGGCTGAGTGCAGTGGCAGCCTGTTACCCAGGCTGGCGTACAGTGGTGCGATCTTGGCTCACTGCAACCTACTGCTCCTGGGTTCAAGCAATTCTCCTGCCTCAGCCTCCTGAGTAGCTGGGACTACAGGCATGCACAATCATGCCCGGCTAATTTTTGTATTTTTAGTAGAGATGTGGTTTCACCATGTTGGCCAGGCTGGTCTGGAACTCCTGACCTCAAGTGATCTGCTTGCCTCAGCCTCCCAAAGTGCTGGGATTACAGGTGTGAGCCACCGCACCCGGCCGACTTCTTCATTCCTTCTCTATGACCCAGCTCTGACCCCCACTTTTTGGTGCTCCCTCAGTCTGCCCTACAGCCTACCCTACATCTTTGATATGGTTTGGCTGTGTCCCACCCAAAGCTCATCTTGAATTGTAGCTCCCATAATTCCCACATGTTGTAAGAGGGACCCAGGGGGAGATAATTGAATCATGGAGGTGGTTTCCCCCATACTGTTAGTGAATATATCTCATGAGATCTGATGGTTTTATAAGGGGAAACCCCTTTCACTTGGCTCTCATTCTCTCTTGCCTCCCACCATGTAAGATGTGCCTTTGCTCCTCTTTCGCCTTCTGCCATAATTGTGAGGCCTCCCCAGCCATGTGGAACTGAGTCCATTAATCCTTTTTAAAATAATTCACCCAGTCTCAGGTATGTCTTTATTAGCAGCGTGAAAACACAAATACAATCTTTCTCTTCCCGTGGAGGCTAAGCAGAGGGTAAGCCCCACTCACCCTTAGACAGAGGGCAGTAATTCAGAGGCCACTAAGGATGTAGGAAGGGACTTGAGGGACTTTGTCTTCTTAGAATCCCCAGAATTGCTTCTACATGCATGGGCCTTATTATTTTTATGCTATTTATGATGCTGCTAGTCCAGAAAGGGCCCCTTAGAGACCTTACATAGTATAAAGACTCAGATTGGATAATGCCAGAACAGTTTATTCTGGATAAGAGTTTTTAGGATCAAGATCTTCTGGTTAAAAGTTAGCCTGTGGAAATTTCCAAAATTGAATAATTAAAATAAGGCTATTTCTTCCAGGCTTGTAACTCCAAGGATGAAGAACAACCAGGGCTTGGGGATGGGTGAAGAATCTTCTGAAGAAGTGACCTGGCTACTCTTATAAAGGTCTGTGCTTCCGCCTGCACGGTCATCACTGCTGTTGACATAAAATACAGAATTTATCATGAGCCATTCCCTGCTTAAACACCTACTATGGTGCCCCATTCGAATCCAAGCAGGGTGTTTAAGGTGCTTCAGACTCTGTCTTGATCCTCCTCTTGCAGATTACTCCCTGCCACTACCCTATGGGGAGTCTCTTGCCACATCCTCCATGCTCTAAATCTCTATGGCTTTGGCTCATCCAGGGTGATGTGACTGTTGCTTCCTCTGCCTGGCTTGTCCTCTTCTCTCTGTTAACTCCTGCTCTTTGTCAAGATCTAGCTCAGATTATTATTTCCTCTCTGAAGACTCTTCTTGGTAAAGTTGCTCGCTCTGCACTGCTTCCTCAGATCTTTGTGCACTTGTTACGTGCTTTTTAATTTGTTTTATGGCTCTATCTCCCTAACTAGACTGAAAGCACTTGAGGATGGTGACCTTTTCATAGTCTTTTTGTTATTTGGGCACTTAACACATAGCAGCTGCCCCATGATTGCTGGTCCCTTTTCTTTCTCTCCTCGCCAACCACCCACCCTGTTGTCAGACTGAAATAAGCCCAAAAGTCCATGGAAGTTGGACAGCTGTATTGACAACTGAGCTATGTCCAGGATCAAGCTATCTCTTCTTAACTGCTTAGCATGCTTCTAAGCATGGTTCAGGGAAGCCAGGACAACAGAAGAGTTCAGATAAGGTGGCCAAAAGTCCTGGAATAGTCAAAACAATTCCTGCTTCCCTGTGGTTATCCTAAGGAAGACCAATGTGTCATTTTCCCCTGGGAGCATCTCAGGGGCTGGCTTTTACTTGTTTCAGGAACAACTTTGCACACATGACCACAGCCATTGCTTTGGCATCTCTTTCCCCTAGACAGGATTTGTTTCCTGGGCACATGTTGACACAAATACCATAGGTTCCTTTTGGCAGGTCCAGGTGCCTACCTATTTCAAAAGGTTGTTTTAGGAATGAAACTGGATACTGTTCAAGTTCCAACCACATTGTGACCTCATCCACTACTACCCACCTACCAGGTCCTCACATGTGAACTCTCCCTGCACTCATGATTGCCCTGCCACACGAGTGTTGGTTGGAGTATTGTTTAGAAGCAAATCAGCCTTCAATGTGTACCATGGGCAGCTATTAGGCATGAAAATCTGCCAGCTGCCCTATAATTTCTATGAACAAAGGGATCCCTACAACAAGGGAAAGCTGGATTCCCACAGAAAGAGACTAGGCAAAGGCATTTGGTCCATTTGTATTGTAAGGCCTAAAACTTCAAGAGCTGCCTTAAAGTGCTTTCAAGTTCTCACAGGGTCCAAAGGTCTAACCCTGAGTTCTCCTGCTCTTTGAATGTGCTCCCCCCTCCACCACCCAGTGGGAGAGGCTCCCCACCTGGCTAGTTCCTCTATTATCAGATCAGCTGCACCCACCCAGTTCTTAACCTATGAGTCTCAAGTCCCTGTCAGCCCACAAAAAAAGCTAATCACATCTTCCTGCAGGAGTACTTTTAATGGCAAAAACCACGATTACCCTTGCACCATCCTAATGCAAAGCCTGCCTTCCACAGCCTCTGCTGGTTCACCCTGCTCCCAAGTGGAACCTCTGTGGGTCACTGCATGGCATGCAGTATCCTCCTCCCTCAGGCTGTGAGTATAGGTGACACTAATTCTATGTGCTATTCATCTCATCTCTTCAGTGTCAGGTGTCATGGGTTCAGCCATCTCACACTATTTAAAGTGGGGGACCCGTCCTTCACTGATGGAGTGGACAGGTGATCAGAGAACCATCCCACCAAGAGAAAGACCCTCTTGAGGCCCTCCATCTCTGCATGTCAGGTTCACAGTAAGTCTTAACGGTGCCAAACATAAGCCCTTATGCCACTCTTCTCTTCTCTTATCACCTTTGCACCCTTCTCCAACCCACACACATGCATACACTGGGCCCCTGACTTCCCTCTTCCTAGCTTCTCTTTCTGCTATTAACTGGCAGTTGCTGCCTAAACTCGCCAACCACCTTGAGAGTTGTGAGAGGATAGCCCGGCAGCCTGTAGCTGTATGCTGGGGGTGGGGAGGGCTGAAAGGAAGAGGACGTCCACCCTCCCAATGTCAAGTTGCTGAGTGAAGTCTCCTTTGATGACAATGCAGTAGGGCTAAAGTGGACTAAAATTTGCTTTCTCTCTCTCAGGCTGTGAGACAGAGCATAGAACCTGTGTCAGGTCACAGGAGAGTGATCCCCCAACACTTTGGGCCATGTTCCAACCCTGCCTGCCCCAATTCCCATTGTGTAAAATCCATCTGCAACCTATGCCAGGTGGGTGGAGAATCTTCCCTCCAGGTTAATTCAACTTCCTAGGATATAGAGGCTGTGAGATTAAATAGGAGCCCCTAGTGAATGGGGACTCAATTGTACTCACCTTTTCCTTGGGCAGGCAGTTGGGGCTGCAGACACAACACTCACACAGCAATGTACTGGGAAGATCTTCTGAAGACACAGATTCAAGACAAATATGTATCTCTCTGACCATGAAGAGGGATGTTAGAACCCCAGAACAGAGATAATATGTTTTGCAAGGACACAAATACTATGGGGCCTGTTGTGGAGGTGTAATAATTCTTTTTCAAACATTCAAACATTCAAATAATTCTTTCTTCAAACATTCTTTTTCCTCTGTGCCAGGGCTCCATTCAGGCTATAAGATATGTGGCTACCATATGTTCCCTGGTGGAGGTGAATATGGTTAGGATGGGACCGAAGAATAAGGTTGGCAAATGTGTAGCTCCTAAAATTTCAAAAAAAAAAAAAAAGTTTTTTTTTTTTTTTTTTTTTTGAGATGCAATCTCACTCTGTCACCCAGGCTGGAGTGCTGTGGTGCAATCTCAGCTCACTGCAACCTCTGCCTCCCGGGTTCAAGCGATTCTCCTGCCTCAGCCTCCCGGGTAGCTGGGATTACAGGCATGTACCACTATGCCCAGCTAATATTTTTGTATTGTTAGTAAAGACAGGGTTTCACTATGTTGGCCAGGCTAGTCTTGAGCTCCTGACCTCAGCTGATCCACCCACCCTGGCCTCCCGAAGTGCTGGGATTACAGGCATGAGCCACCTCGCCTGGTGTAAAAATCCAAATTTAAGATACAAATATTTTGGGAGAAGATGCAATCGGGAGCAAGAGAGTGAGAAGTAATTGTAAGAGTGCTGTCTCCTGACTCTTGCCCCACTGGCCAGAGTCCTGGGATGGGGTATAACTAGACCCTGCCTTCATGTTTGGGGGTCTTGGAGTAGAAGATTCCAGGTTTTTTTTTTTTATTTATTTAGGCAGGACCCTCAATGATAGAAAGTCTTATAGATAAGTTCCACAGTGTAACCATGGAGAGGAGGCATCCCTATATCAAAACTGGAGGTGCAGTATGCCTAAACATGAGCAGGGCAGAGGCAGCTCTCTGATTTTCCATGAGCACAGAGTATCATGGGAGGATCAACTTAATCATCTGATTCCCCTGAGAGGAAGACCGAAGTTAATTGAAAAACAGCTGATGGACTTGTAAAAGGTAGCCATGACCAGTACAAAAGAGCAGTCTTTGCTTACGATTTCACCAGAGCATGCCTAAAGCCTGGAAAATTGCCAGCAGTCTAAAAAGTGGATGTTCTGTTGACTTAGCAACTATTCCCAGCTATAAAAGGAAATAGCACTACTGCTGTACAATGTAGACAGTGTGGAAAAAACAGTATGAATGGAACTCAGATTATTCCTGGGGTCTCTCCTTGCTTTACTGTGTCAGTGTGTATAAGCTCATGAAAGATGTCTATAACTCTGTACAGGTTGGGTCATCAAGGGCTCAGATCTCCTCCAGAATAAAAATCTGAGTCATTCCACCAGAAAAAATTGCACCAATCAATCGAGGGGGTGGCTGAAGGCAAAGGGAACATGGATTGGATAAGCGGAGGCAGGAATTTGTTACAATAAGCTACAGCCTCACAACCAGTTTCAGAAATACTCTCCATCTACCCATATTTCATTTTTTATTGTTGGGTATATGTTTCTGTATTTAATCTTCTTTTCTCTTTCTTCTCCCATTTTCTCACTATTATAACTAGGTGAGTTAGTGGTGGTTGACTTTTAGTATATTTCATAGGATATGAAATATCAGTACAGGATCACAAAAGAACAAGAGATGAAGTGGGCACTATCAGGAGATCCTGAACTTGGAGCTGAATGAAAATAGCAAGTATTGGGCTGTCTTTGGGGACAAGATGAGTGGATTTTCAGTAGTACAGGGGCATATGCAGCAGTACCTGCATTATATTAGGTAGGGTTTGAATCCAAGGGAATGTACGAATATGCAGGCAGAGTTTGGGAATATTCCCAGCAGTGCTGATGCAGCCAGGAGTCCAGCAGTGGTGGTGAGTATTCAGGGTATTAATACAGCATTGGCACATGTCAGAGTCTTCTTGCTGTATGGACATGTACATAGCTATATTCTGTATTGCCCGACGCCTTTGTTTGCTGCCTATCACACCTTCCTATCAATTTTCCATGCTACTCTTAACATTCCAATAAGTAGGGTCAGTTTCAGTTATTTGCATAAAAACCTTTTGCCTGGTTAGCTCCCAGAACTGTGAACTCCTACAAATGCTCAAAGGGTGCTATGTTCTCACAGTCCTCCCTGCCCCAGAATCAACTAATACTGGGAGTAATTGGAGAGAGTTCTCCTCTCACCACAGGACTTAGTATGGGTTGAGGAAGAGATAACATTGAGGCAGGAGTAAATACACAGAGACTGTGAGCAACCTATTCACACAGATCATTTCTGCCTTGGGGTCTGCTCAGGCCCAGTCACACTTTTAGCTTTTCCATTTGACGGGGTGTTGCTGGACATGCCCTACTTGATGGCTAAGTGGATCAGATAACACCCAGCTCACATGGGTGGTAATGTCACACATGAATGGTTGGGCATTCAGTCTTTTCAGAGTTTTAGCTAGTTCTACAAAAAAGAGTAGGTACTTTCCACAGAGAACAGGAACTTGCTCCAAAACCCTAGGGGCTTTCACTGTGATTCTTCTGTCAGGGTTTTCCGGTTCTATACAGCATTCCTGAGCAACTCCAGACATTTTGTGTATCAAAGACCTATTGGTTTATGAGGGCCAAGAGTCAGAGCTACACAAATTTCAGTTTGAGTCAACCAGAGAGACATTGGTTTTTCTTGACATAACTCAAAGCTAATATTTTGTTAAGTTTAGATCACAGGGATACTTCATCTCCCATGGGGAACCTCCATGAGATAGTAATTTCCTGAATTTTTATAAAATTTATGTTTCATCCCAAGAAATTAATGTGACCTGCCAAAACATCTAGGGTATCTGCCTCATCTGTCTCCAGGCCCTGTCAGCACAATGCCATAAATGTACTAGATCAGATGGATATTCAATGGGATGGTGAAGTGGTTAACATCACTGTAATCTAGATTCCGTCATTGAGCCACAGAAGTAACTGACCATGAAGCAAGATAGCGAAAGTATACTGATAGCCCTGCAAGGTGAAAACACTTAACTTTTTGCTTCTGATATTTAGGCTTAGAATTGCAAATATCCAGATGTATAGCTGGCAACATTCCAGATACCAGGAGATCAATTTATTGGCTCTAGTAAAGAGAACCCACCTTAAAGGGCAGCCGTCATTAAAATTACAAACCAATTAACATCACTCTTTCAGTTTTTGAGAGGGCCCAATAATAACACCATTTTATCACTGCCTGAGTTTTGAACCAAATGAGAAGCCTACAAAGGAGTCAGCAGAGGAGGGACAAAATATTACCTTTATCATTGATAAAAAATCTCACTTGAAGGACATAGCTAATACCTTTAGAAAATTTAGATTACAAATATTAAGAATCAGAATTAAACAGACAATCTCATTCAGCAGTGTTAGACTAAGGCAGGATCCTGTTCATTGAGAAAGAGAAGGGAATAATGGGTGCTCTTGTGGTCAGCCAGCCACCAAGTGGCAGGGGAAGGAAAGGGGCTTATGTAATTTACAATTATGTATGTTATAGGAAGAGTACGTAGGGAGGGAAGTTATCCAACTGCAGCCATATCTTGGAGAAATTGCAGATTCAGTTCCATACCACTGCAACAAAGCAAATATCACAATAAATTGAGTCACACGTTTTTTTTTTTTAGTTTCCCTTTACATATAAAAGTTATGTTCACACTACATTATAGACTATTAAGTGTGCAATAGTATTATATCTAAAAAATACTTTAGTGCTAAAACTGCTAACAATTATCTGAGCCTTCAGCAATTCTTTTTTTTTTTTTTTTTTTTTTTTTTTTTGCTGCTGGGGGGTCTTGCCTCCATGTTGATGGTTGCTGACTGATCAGGGTGGTGGTTGCTAAAGGTTGGGGTGGCTGTGGTGATTTCTTTTTTTTTTTTTCTTTCTTTCTTTCTTTTCTTTTTTTTGATGAAGTCTCACTCTGTCACCCAGGCTAGAGTGCAGTGGCTTAATCTCAGCTCACTGCAACCTCCCCCTCCCAGATTCAAGCGATTCTCCCGCCTCACCCTCCTGAGTAGCTGGGATTAGAGGCACGTGCCACCACGTCTGGCTAATTTTTGTATTTTTGGTAGAGACGAGGTTTTACCATGTTGGCCAGGCTGGTCTTGAACTCCTGGCCTCAAGTGATTGGCCCACCTTGGCCCCCACAAATACTGGGATTCCAGGCATGAGCCACCAGGCCCCACCGATGATTTCTTAAAGTGGGACAACAATAAAGTTTGCCACATTGATTGACCCTTCCTTTAATGAAAGATTTATCTGTAGCATACACTGCTGCTTGATAGCATTTTGCCTCCAGCAGAACTTCTTTCAAAACTGGAATCAATCCTCTCACAGACCCTGCTGCTGCTTTATCAACTAAGCTTGTGTAATATTCTCAGTCTTTTGTTGTCATTCCAATAATGTCGCAGCGTCTGTAACAGGAGTAGATTCCATCTCAAAAAAAAAAAAAAAAACTTTCTTTGCTCATCCATAAGAAGCAACTTCTCATTCATTCGAGTTTTATCAGGAGATTGCAACAATTCAGTCACATCTCCAGGCTCCACTTCTAATTCTAGTTCTCTTTCTATTTTTACCACATATGCGGTGACTTCCTCCACTGAAGTCATCCACTAGGGCTGGAATAAACTTCCAAACTCCTCTTAAAGTTGATATTTTGACCTCATCCCGTGAATCACAAATGTTCTTAATGGCACCTGGAATGGTGAATCCTTTCCAGAAGGTTTTTAATTTACAGCCCAGACCCATCAGAGGAATCACTATCTATGGCAGCTCTGGCCTTACAAAGTGGATTTCTTAAATAATAAGACTAGGAAGTCAAAATTACTCCTTGATCCATGGACTACAGAATGGATGTTGTGTTAGCAGGCATGAAAAGAGCATTCATCTCCTTGTACACCTCTATCAGAGCTTTTGGGTGACCAGGTGCATTGTCAATGAGCAGTAATATTTTGAAAGGAATCTTTCTTTCTGAGTAGTGGGTTTCAATAGTGGGCTTAAAATATTCAGTGAATCATGATGTCAACAGATGTGATGTAGTTTAGGCTTTATTTTTCCATTTTTAGAGCATGGGCAGAGTAGATTTAGGATAATTCTTAAGGCTCCTAGGATTTGTGAAATGCTAAATGAGCACTGGCTTTAACTTAAAGTCACCAGCTGCATTAGCTCTTAGCAAGAGTCAGCCTATTCTTTGAAGTTTTGAGGCCAGGCATTGAGTTCTTTCTAGCAATAAAATATTCCTAGATTGCATCTTCTTCCAACAGAAGGCTCTTTTGTCTTCACTGAAAATCTGTTCTTTAGTATAGCCACCTTCATCAATGATCTTAGCCAGATGTTCTGAATAACTTGCTGCAGCTTCTCCATCAGCACTTACTGTTTCACCTTGCACTTTTATGTTATGGAGACGACTTGTACATCTCTATCTTCTTCCCTTAAACCTCATGAGCCAATCTCTGCTGGCTTCAAACTTATCTTCTGCAGCCTCCTTACTTCTCTCAGCCTTGACAGAGTTGAAGACAGGTAGGGCTTTGATTAGGTTTTGGCTTAAGGGAATGTTGTGGCTGGTTTGATCTTCTATCCAGGACACTCGAACTTCCTCCATATCAGCAGTTAAGACTGCTTTGCTTTTGTATCATTTGTATATTCACTGGAGTAACACTTTTAATTTCCTTCAGGAACTTTTCCTTTGCATTCACAACTTGACTCTCAGGTGCAAGAGGCTTAGCTTTCAGCCTGTCTCAGCTTTCAACATGCCTTCTTCAGTAAGCTTATGCATTTCTAACTTTTGATTTAAAGTAAGAGATGTGAGACTCTTCCTTTCACTTGAACACTTAGAGGTCATTGTAGGGTTATTCATTGGCCTCATTTCAATATTTTTGTGTTTAAGGGAATAAGGAGGTCTGAGGAGAAGGGGAGAGATGGGAGAACAGCTGGTGTGTGGAGCAGTCCGAACACACACAGCATTTATGGGTTAAGTACACTGTCTTACATGAGCATGGTTTGTGATACCCCAAAACAATTACAATAATAACATCAAAGATCACTAACCCCAGACCACCATAACACATAATAGTAATGAAAAATTTGAAATATTGAGAGAATTACTGGAGACACAGAGTAAACACATGCTGTTGGGAAAAAATAGTACTGATGGACTTGCTCAATGCAAGGTTGCCACAAACCTTCAATTTGTAAAAAAGTGCAGTATCTGTGAAGTGCAACAAAGTGAGGTAGCAATAAAATGAGGTGTGCCTGTGTTTATTCTCTCAGCCGTTAAAGCTAGAGTCAACTGCAGGTGTAACCGTTCCTCCTGGAGAAGGAGGTCAGCAGTTAGCAAGGCCACTCTACTTCCATCGTCATGAGGTTACTCATAGCTTCTTTGGATATTCCCTGGAACCCCGAACAGTGGCTATAAAGATTGTGAGCAATCCTGGGGAGAAATCCTGGCATGTTTGTTTTGGCATAGGAAGGGGCACTAAAGCCTGGAGCAGGAAAGCCTCAGGGTACCACAGACAGAGGCTGGGCTGTTCTGTGGTATGCCCCATCCCCCATCAAAATTGCCAGGAAGGGCACAAGTAAGGACTTCACTTATTTTAGCCTTTCCCCTAAATTACATTTGAGTAGCCACAGAAGCTGCTATCTCCAGGGGAGCATGAGCTCCTGGGGGCTTCCAAGACATCTGAGGATCATAACTGATGTCAAAGAAAGATACAAACTTCACAAGATAGTCTGGATGAATCAGATTTAATGAACCAAATAGAGCAAGACATAGGACATTGGGCTATAAGATGGAAAGCTTTTTGGTTGTGCTCTGTTCCTTCCTCACTAAGTCCGAGGAAGACTTCGGCTGTAAGGAAGACAGCAGCTGTGCCTGTCCTGCAGAGTCAGAATGATGCGATAACGTCATGGTGGGCTGGAGAGACCAGCAATACCAGCATGCTGATCTGCTGGCCAATGAGGAGCCCTCACTGTCAGCAGGAGTCCCATTTCTTCCTTCACGCTTCTGTGTTCTTCCCTCAGCTTCTTCAATTCCACTCTCACTCTAAGTTCCCCATTTTCACAGTCTGGCCCTTGGGAGAATATTCTCTCTGCTCTGAAGTCTGTAGAGTCTTGGCAGGAATGAAATTTGCGTTGTCATAACCCCCTTCTTTCCATCTCATAAGAAGATATTATAAAATCTCTGCTCAGAGCAAGCCATCTTCCCACCCTGCACATACCTTGTGTTCACCTCAGAGCTGCTCCCTCTTGGATTCCCACATGGAGGGCACATCCCCCACCTAGAGGAGTGACCCTACTCTCCACATCCAACTTCGGTCAGACCCAACCCAATCTGATGAGAAGGATGGAAAATGCAGGGTGATCCCTCTTGTAGGTCAAAGGAAGTGGGTCTGATGAATGCAGTGGGGACACAGCCTGCCTCTGTGTCAGATGATCCCCAGGCCTACGGCTCGGCCTGGAAACTTCTCTGCTCCCCTCGATCCTGAAAGGAGGACTGTGAGCACAGGTCACCTCATCCTCATGGTGATAAAAGCCACCAAAATGAAGACTGTGCCTTCTTCCAGTTAGGCTTTGATGTGCTGCACACACCTGGAACAATTTGTACCCTCAATGTCACCAGAAAGGAAGGCAGAGCAGAAACAGTAGGGCAGGAAGTATACACAAATACGAGGTCTCCAGGGAGTGCCCCCAGGTGAGCCAGTTCCTGTTCTATCTCACAGCTGGTTTCTCTCTAATTACAGTAGTGGTTTCTTGGAGATGTAATCGCCAAACATGAGACATTTAAGAACACTTTTTAGCACTTTGCTAATCCCAACAAGGCATGGATGTTCCTGGTACCTTTAGGAAAAGTGGCCAAAGAAATGAATCGTCTCTGTGTCATTTAGAAAATCAGAGTGAATGCGTAAGCTATGAAGCCAGGTGTAGTGTGCTGGGGGCCATCTGGGGCCTCCTGGAGGTTCAGTGACAAGAGGATTTGAAGAGCTTCTGGGAGAGATGTTGAAAGTGTGCTTGGAAGCCGCTGACCAACCCCCCAGCTGAGATCCCTATGCAGGTATGAAATTCGGGCTGCCGCTTAACTGCAGGGGCAGTAACAGGTGGGTAGTGAAGTCACTCCCTGAGAAGATGGGTGTTCAAAGGTTGCAAGCTGGCTGAGGGCCTAGAAGGTTGAGAGACAGAGTCTACCCTGATGCCTGGTGGTCTCTGACCTCTGCTTTGTACTCAGAGGTTCCTAGAGGAAATGCTGCTTCAGTGAGCTAAAGAGTGAACAAAATAACAAGAGAAGAACACTAAATGTTCCACACAAGCCTGAGTAGGATGCCTGCCCTCTCTCCTCCCCAAATTACAGAATCTCAGTGAAAGAGATGTGGAGGTAAAACCCCAATGACAGTCAAAGGAGGTGAGGCCAGACACGGTGGCTCACGTCTGTAATCCCAGCACTTTGGGAGGCCAAGGCAGGTGAATCATGAGGTCAGGATTTCGAGACCAGCCTGGCCAACATAGAGAAACCCTGTCTCTACTAAAAATACAAAAATTAACTGGGCATGGTGGCACACGCCTGTAGTCCCAGCTACTTGGGAGGCTGAGGCAGGAGAATTGCTTGAACCCGGGAGGCAGAGGTTGTGGTGAGCCAAGATCGCACCATTGCACTCCAGCCTGGGCAACAGAGCAAGACTCTGTCTCAGAAAAAGAAAAAAAAGAAGAAGAAGAAGGAGACGAATACAAAGCCTGCTTTGTCATTGGTGGTTGGAGCTGTGACAAGCACTCATGACCATCTATGGGGGGCCTGGACAAGACAATATACCCTAGCAGCAAAGAAATACTAGGCAAGCCAAGAGAAGGGCTCAGACTGAACACCCCTGGTAGTTAGTTCACATTGGCATCTCAGAATCTTTGGAGGTGCTAAATTTGCAAGCACCCAGGAAGGATGACTCAGTCTGAAGAAGGGACCAGGGCACCTGGAGATGGAGCAGTGATAGCTACAGGAGGCAGACAAATCCCTAGGCAGACAGGGGTGGGTCCCCAGTGAAACCCCGTCTTCAAACCAGAGACGGTTTAAAGCCTGAAAGCCAAGCTACGAGTCTTAGATAAATCCATAGACCAGACTGGGAACCTCTCTTCCCATTTGGCACACTTTCCTCTAATTGATCCCCACCCTTCACCTATTTTACATATACCTACACTTCCCTAATTGATTTTTTACACTGCTGTGCCCACCTTTGAGTGGTGCCTTTGTTTTAGCCTTTCTTGCATACTCACAAACCAATCAGCACACACTACCCCATTCTGAGCCCATAAAAGCCTTGGACTCAGCCACACTGGGGGACTGCCCACCTTCAGTCAGGAAGAGACCATCCAACTTTGGAGAGGGGACTGCCCTCTTAGGTCCTCTCTTTGCTGAGAGCTGTCACTCAATAAAACTCTCCTCATCCTTTGGTTGTCAGCATAACCTCATTCTTCTTGGATGTGGGACAAGAACTTGGGACCTGCCAAATGCAAGTACAACAAAGGCTATAACACTGTGGTTCTCTGCCCTCTGCTGGTGGAAGGCAACCGCCCCATGTGACAGGAAGCAGTGCTGGAGCCAGGCCAGCCCTGGAGCCATGGATTGGAGTGGGACAATGGGACTAAAAGAGCTGTTAGCCTGCTGTAACACTCCCTCTGGGGCTTTAGGGTTGCTCGCATCCCCATTCATGCACCATTGCATTCCTCTCAGCCAGACATTGGTGCCCAAGGTGGAAGCAGGTTGTGGCAAGCCAAGCCCACCTGCAGGCTTAGTGTGGATCCTGCGGTGAGCACAGGATCCAAGCAGGAGCACAAGCCAAGCACAGCCCGCTGGGCCGAGTGGGTGAGGTAGCTCCTGTGGTGAGCCCGGGGCCAAGTGAGGCCCAGGCAGGGGTATCACCAGCCATGGAGGTCTCCAGCTGGCTACGCAGCTCTGAAAAATCCTGTGTCAGCAACGCAGTACAGGACGGAGGGCAATGTCCCCAGACAGCACAGAGGACAGCAAAGGGCAAGCCCAAATCCAACTGCAAAGTGGCTGCCTGGATTCTAGGCTGATGAGTAGCCTGGCCTTGGTGAGGGAGTGGGGCCAGGCAGAACAGCCCCAAAGAGCCTGCAGGAGGACCCTCTGGAGCACTGTCAGCCAGGGGAGGGCTCCCATGCCCCTCTCTAAAAGTGACCTAAATAGGATCATGTTAACTTAGGTAACATAATCTTTAAAAGTTAATTTTTATACAAGAAACACATCAATGAACTCGTGTGATGAACAATTCAAACAATATAGACATGCAGAATGACCTACTGGGAGGTCGTTAATATTATCAGTATTAGCAGTTTGCTGTGTGTTTTTCTAAGGCCTTTTCCTATGCTTTTACATGCACACATGTGTGTATACAAAATTTACTTTTTTTGCATAAATGAAGTTATATGTATTATTTTGCTTTATTTACTTAATGTTATATCTTGGAGAACTTTCCAGGGTAGTGTCTTTTTTTTCCTTTTTAAAAAAATAAGTGCCAGCTCAGTGTGGTGACTCATGCCTATCATCCCAGCATTTTGGGAAGATGAAGCAGGAGGACTGCCTGAGCCCAGGAGTTCAAAACCAGCCATGAGGGCAACATAGTGAGACACCATCTCTACAAAAAATTTAAAAATTAGCTGGGCATGGTGGCACGCCTGTCCCAGCTACTTGAGAGGCTGAAATGGGAAGATCATTTGAGCCTGGGAGGTCGAGGCTATGTGAGCCATGATCATGCCACTGCACTCCAGTCTGAGCAACAACAGAGCAAGACCCCATCTCAAAAAAACCCTGTTATCTAAAAATCCCATCATATGAATGGCTCATATTTTATTTATCCAAGCTCCAATTCTTGCACATTTAGGTGGCTTCTAGTCTTTTTGCTATCACAAACAATACTATACTGATGATTTCATGCATGCTTCTTTGTCTATATACATCAGTATTTCCCCAGAATGCCTATATGTGAAAATAGAAAGGATGTACCTACTGTACAGTGGGAAGATATTGCCAAGTTGTTCTCCAGAAAGACTACATCAACTTACACTTCCACCCACAGTGAAGGAGACACCGATTTCTCACACATTAGCCCAATATATTTATTACCTTGCTTTCCCAAGTTAAATTTTTAGTGGACTATTTCTTGCTTTGTATTCTTGAAAGCTACTTCCCTTTTCCCCCTGGAAAAGGGAGTAGGCTTAAGACCTACCCCAATTGCGAATATCGAGCAAATAACTCTCACAACAATTAGATAAAGAAATTAATTAGCAGAAACTGTGTAAGACAATAGCACCTGGCGTTTGCTTCTCCAGCATTTGCAGTTTCCAATATGCAGCATAGGGTATTCATGGCCTGTGATAGTTTTGCTGAGGCATGCATTTCAATCACTTAGCTGCAGTATTGCTAAGGAGGGAATGATAATGACAACAGTTGACTTTTGTTAAGTATGCACTTGTAGGTTAGGCCCCCGGCTTGCATTTTATACCTGTCATCTCCCTGAAGCCCTGCTAGCCTGTGGGGTCATTTCCATTGGAATCCCCATGTCACAAATGAAGAAACTGAAGCTCAAAGGAAGTCCACACCTTACAAATGCTTCAAGCCCACCTCAGGCCCACTGATGTGGAATCTCCAAGGCTGGGGTTTGGGTAAAGCTCCCAGATGCTGTTCCTGCATGCGGGAATGAGCAGACGCTCTACCGACTTCATAAAAGCTCTATTTCTTTGTGAAAAACAAAACAGTGTTCCCATTAAAAGATTTCCAGAGCTCTGCTGACAATCACAAATTTGGGCATTTGGCAAGGTCTTATAACATATCATTTGAAAGGGCTAGGTATCCACAGCAGCCGTCACACATGTATAAAAAATTAAGAGAAGACTGAGCAGACGTTGGGAATCCCTGGATGTCCTCAGTCCACAAACCTCATCCTTCATATCTGGAGCCATCAAAGTTTCATTGCTTTTTTTTCAGGCTGGCTTGTGGGACCTTAGGCATGCAATGGCTTCTGTGTTTAGACTCCTGAATATGCTGGAATTCTATTTTTCCTGGAATTTTATATTGCAGATAATCACTTCCTATTCCTGTCAAATCCTTCCAACGCCTAACTGCACACCAGCCCCAGATGTTGATCAGATTACATCTTTGTCCTGTTTCATGAGAAAGTGAGGATGGGCACCAAGATATAGTGTCACCCAGCATGAGACTTTGAAAGGTCAGAGACAGTGAAATTTAAAAAGTCAGATGGCAAAGATCTGCCCAAGGAAGTCCTTTAACACAGGTGGGGCTGTTTGCCTTTCTGTGTTACTTAAAGCATGTGCCAGGTAATATTTCTCTCACTCTCCTACTTTCTTTTTTTTTTTTTTAGTTGAACTAACAGCGTATTTTATTTCTCAGTAACTCCATGTGCACTAATTAAACATGAGATGAATAGAGACATTATTAATTGGAAAGCAAGACAGAATTCATATCATCCCCAAGACTGGGACACAAAAGGAGGCTGGAAAAGGATTTAGAGAAAATTTTATAGAGCTGCATTCGTACTCTTTGTGACGGTTAATACTGAGGGTCAACTTGATTGGATTGAAGGATACAAAGTATCGATCCTGGGTGTGTCTGGGAGGGTGTTGCCAAAGGAGATAAAGATTTGAGTCAGTAGGCTGGGAAAGGCAGACCCACCCTTAACCTGGGTGGGCACAATCTAATCAGCTGCCAGCATGGCTAGAATATGAGCAGGCAGAAAATGTGAAAAGAGAGACTGGCCTAGCCTCCCAGCCTACATCTTTCTCCCATGCTGGATGCTTCCTGCCCTTGAACATCAGACTCCAAGTTCTTCAGTTTCAGAACTCAGACTGTCTCTCCTTGCTTCTCAGCCTGCAGATGGCCTATTGTGGGACCTTGTGATCATTTGAGTTAATATTGAATATACTCTTCTTTATATATATAGCTATTCCATTAGTTCTGTCCCTCTAGAGAACCCTCACTAATACACTCTTCTTCAGTTGCCTTTTCTGAGTGGAAACATTAAATCCTAGTGACTGGGTAAAGAGATATCACGGGGAGAACACTGAAATTGGAGATCGCCACATGCGTGCAAACAGGGCCTGCTCTCAGTGGTCACAGGGCACAGGGAGGTGGCACAGCCTGCTGTGAATCCCGGTGCTACAGCTCACCAACTGGATGCTCCATAACTTCTCTGGGCTCCATTTCCTCTCTGAAGCCCAGAGAGGCCCCTGCATCTCAAACTGCGTGGATCCTTCCACTTTTCCTGTAGAGAGCCTCATTGGAAGAAAGTCATTAGTGCAAACTTGCCAGTCATTCACAAGTGGTAAGAGCCTATTTACTGTAAATCTTCGAAACCAACTCAAGTCAAACCAAATGTCATTGTTTTCATTGGGAACTATGATTAAATAGTCATTTTCTTTTTTTTTTTAAATTATTATTATTTTACTTTAAGTTCTGGGATACATGTGCAGAATGTCCAGGTTTGTTACACAAGTATACATGTGCCATGGTGGTTTGGTTTGCTGCATCTATCAACCCATCCACTAGGTTTTAAGCCCAGCATGCATTAGATACTTGTCCTAATGCTCTCTCCCCTTGCCTCCCACCGACTAACAGGCCCTGGTGTGTGATGTTCCCCTCCCTGTGTCCATGTGTTCTCACTGTTCAACTCCCACGTACAAGTGAGAACATGAGGTGTTTGGTTTTCTGTTCCTGTGTTAGTTTGCTGAGGATGATGGTTTCCAGCTTCATCCACGTCCCTGTAAAGGACATGAACTCATTTTTTATGGCTGCGTAGTATTCCAGGGTGTTTATATGCCACATTTTCTTTATCCCTTCTATCGTTGATGGCAATTTGGGTTGGTTCCATGTCTTTGCTATTGTACATAGTGCTGCAACAAACATATGTGTGCATGTGTCTTTATAGTAGAATGATTTATAATCCTTCGGGCATGTACCCAGTAATGGAATTGCTGGGTCAAATGGTATTTCTGGTTCTAGACCCTTGAGGAATCGCCACACTGTCTTCCACAATGGTTGAACTGATTTACACTCCCACCAGCAGTGTAAAAGTGTTCCTATTTCTCCACAGCCTCGCCAGCATCTATTGTTTCTTGACTTTTTAATGATCACCATTCTAACTGGTGTGAGATGGTATCTCATTGTGGTTTTGATTTGCATTTCTCTAATGAGCACTGATGATGAGCTTTTTTCATATGTTTGTTGGCTTCATAAATGTCTTCTTTTGAGAAGTGTTTGTTCATATCCTTCACCCACTTTTTGATGGGGTTTTTTGTTTTTTTCTTGTAAATTTGTTTGAGTTCTTTGTAGATTCTGAATATTAGAACTTTGTCAGAGAGATAGATTGCAAAAATTTTCTCCCATTCTGTAGGTTGCCTTTTCACTCTAATGATAGTTTCCTTTGCTGTGCAGAAGCTCTTTAGTTTAATTAGATTCCATTTGTCAATTTTGGTTTTTGTTGCAACTGCTTTTGGTGTTTTAGTCATGAAGTCTTTGCCCGTGTCGTAAATAGTCATTTTCAAAATTAACATCAACCTTTGATTTTTAAATCAGTTTTGTGAGTCATTTACCACAAGCTAAATGTGTAAACCATGGCAAAAACAATCATTGTATTCCTCTTGCCTTTCTAAACATTCCCGATTTGTAACACTGTATAAATCCATCAATAGAAATTAACTTTCTTTTATTCTATTAGTAAAGTAGGCATAGATCTCTCCACAACAAATCCATCTCACAATGCTCTCCCTCCCTCACTGTGCTCTGTGGCAAGCATTCCCATTTTTGGCCCATTTTTATCAAAAGCCTAATACACTCATGGCTTTTCTTGGCAATATGTACTTAATAGAGCATATTTTGCTTTGCCCACACATAGGAAGCAAAGTATGTATAGATCAGAAATCTTCAAATTACAAATAACTTAATATTGCACTATTATACTAAATAACTTAATAGTACACTAAAATGACAGGGTTATTATACACGTAGCCTTTTAAAAAAATCTTGCACAAACAGCTTTGTATTTAGACTTGTTTAAAACTCTTGCTAATAATGTCTGTGTTAACAGTGCTCTGTAATTCACAATTGCTAACATGTAGAACCAACCTAAGTGCCCATCGACCAATGAGTGGATAAAGAAAACGTGGTATATATACACCATGGAATACTACTCAGCCATAAAAAAGAACAAAATAATGTCTTTTGCAGCAAGTTGGGTGTAGCTGAAGGCCATTATTCTAAATGAATTAACACAGGAGCAGAAAGCCAAAAACCGTATGTTCTCACTTATAAGTGAGAGCTAAGCTTTGAGTATGCAAAGGCAAACGGGTGATATAATGCACTTTAGAGACTCAAAAGGTGAAGGATGAGAGGGGGGCTAGGGAAAAAAAACTACACATTAGGTACAAGATACACTACTCAGGTGACAGGCGCACTAAAATCTCAGATTTTGCCACTTTATAATTCATCCATGTAACAAAAACCACTGGTATCCCAAAAGCTACTGAAATAAAAGAAAAAAAAGTCAGTGCTCTTGGCCAATGGTTCCAACCTTTTTGGCACTAGGGACAGGGTTCATGGAAGACAATTTATCCACTGATTAAGGGATGGGGGATTGTGTCAGGATGATTCAAGTGCATTACATTTATTGTGCACTTTATTTCTATTATTGTTACATTGTAATATATAATGAAATAATTATACGACTCACCATAATGTAGAATCAGTGGGAGCCCTGAGCTTGTTTTCCTGCAACTTGATGGTCCCATCTGTGAGTGATGGGAGACAGTGACAGATCATCAGGCATTAGGTTCTCATAAGGAGCGTGCAACCTGGATCCCTGGCATGCGCAGTTCACAATAGGGTTTGCACTTGTATGAGAATCTAATGCTGTGGCTGACCTGACAGGAGGCGGAGCTCAGGTGGTAATGTCAGCAATGGGGAGTGGCTGTAAATACAGATGAAGCTTCTCACTCGCCCACCACTCACCTTCTGCTGTGTGGCTCGGTTCGTAACAGGTCATGGACCAGTACCAATCTGTGGCCTGGGCCTGGGGACTGCTGTTCTAGACCATTGATTGTCAGAATCGGGAGTGCACAGTACATAGTCATTCAGTGGGTACCAGTGAGAATAGGAATAACAGGCTGGAAACAGCGCTCTACCCCATGTGTGGAGAAGAGGAGAACTCCAGAGGGAACCCAGACAGAGTTCTCTACCTGCAACCAGCCTCTCCTTCACAGTGGAAGAGGGACTCTTCCTACAGGCTGCTTTTTTTCACACAAAATTATACTCAAGAATAAACAAGCACCACTGTCACCTTACTTGAAAGAGAGCTTGTGTTCTATTTTTGGCTTGGAGCTGCTGACTCTGGTCTTTTTTTCCACTCAGGTGTCTGGAAGCTACAGCTTCATTTCCCTTTTTGGTGACCTCTTCTGTGGGCTCCTCACATAGCTCCTTTGCCTCCTTCGTTCAGTCAATGTACTGGGTCAGATGCATCGCTCTCCAAGTTGGCGTGGCCCTTCTGAAACTGGAGGCCATCCTGCTGCAGCTTGCTGTAATTCCTATGTAGCCTTTAGCTGGTCTTGCAGGATGCCTATGAGCCTCTCACCCAAGTGATGTTCTTCACAAAACCCCCTTTTAATCCTGGGACAGCTTGTCAATGCTCTCCAGCTAAAAGCTGTGGCTGGACTAGATTTGGCTGAGCTGATCTCATTGCTTTTCCTGCCCTCCCTGGAGCTTATTCCTTTTCAGCTGCACCACACCCCTCTCCACGGCCACCCTGCAGACCCTGCCTTCCAGCACCTGATCCACCCCTGGGGGTGGGGGCGGTGGGGGGCAGTTCACAATCTAGCAGTTGAAGCCCACGACAATGACACAGGCCACCAGGGAGGCCTGCACAAGGGGTAGCAACTTCATGCAGTGATGCCTATTTCCCAATGCCATCATCTGAAAATCAGCACTGAGAATCTCTCTGACATAGATTGAGAATTAATCATTTCTGTAAAAGCAGTAACAAATATTCAGTGCTTTCATATCACATTAGAAAGAACGTGGCTCTCATTATTCCCCAGAAAGGGTTTCTTGATTTGATTCTTAGCATGGGAAGTTTCCCCGCCTCCCCACCACCTTTGACAGAATTACTAATGACACCCAATAAAAGCCTTTCTCAGCAAAGCCAGAAACCCATTCTGGAGGTGAATGGGAATTCACCACAAGCAGCATCATTGCTCAGAGAACACCCTGGCAGCACAAGTGTCCCCAGTCCCTGGCTTTCTAACCTTCACTACCACTCCCCTGTTTTGCCAGCAATCATCATCATCCATGCTCACTGCCTGCAGGGGAGGGTGAATAGAGTTTAAACAAACAAGTCAGTTGAGTTCCTCAGTACTCTTTTTTTTTTTTTTTTTTTTTTTAACTCATAACAGACATAATCATTCTGAAAGTGCATTTCAGGATCTGGACTTTTTGAGAGGAAAGGATCTGAGTGTGGGAGGGAGAAGGTGCTCCTAAGGTTAAACCCCCAAAGACAATGGGGATAAGGATGATACCATTAGTAATATATGCATTTTTTGAATTAATGATAATTTTTAAGAACTAGCTTCCCACATACTGAGAGAAAATCAGATAGACATTCATGGGAGAATAAAGTGAAAGATGTGAGCCAGAAAGCTAGACATCTGAGAATGACCCCAATAGGGCGTCCATCCTGCCTGGGAAGAGGGAGGACTGTAGGTGCAGGGGAGCAGGAGGGAGGTGTGCCTGGGAACACCACCAGTCTTTCCAAGTAGCCCCTGGCCTGGAAGGCTCAGAGAAGCTTAGGGTGGGACAAAGGGGACAGAGTCACAGCCCTGACCCAGGAGGACATGGCAGGACAAGTGAGCCGGCAGTGACCAGAAAGTTGAAATGCACCTCATCAGTGGCTAGCAGGGGTCAGGGTCAATCATGAGTGAGAATCCTGCATCTCCTGACTGCTCAATCACTCTCCAGCCTTCCAGAATGCAGAGGGACCCTGGGAAGAGCTGGAGAAGAGAAGAGGAAGAAGGATGGGAGACGGAAGATTCTCAGTTGGAAAAAAAAACAGCAGCAAGAAACTTTGTTTACCTTGTTGGTCAGATTAAATTTCTGCCACCAAAAGAAATCGAGATTGAAAAGCTAAGTTTAATTATGGAGAAAATAAAGTTACATTTTTTTTTGCACAACAAAGTCATTGACTATGAAATTTATAAGCATCATATGAAACAGACAATCTTATGAAACTTACCAAGGATGTTTCCAGCAACCCCTTGTTTAGGGAACAGAGTAAAGGGGAGAAAAGGTAGCATTTTCAAATCTCAAGAAAGTGTTTTATGTCAGAATTCAATTTGTCCCAGAGCACAGCTGTCAAGAGCTTTGTAAATCTAGGCCTCTAGGAGGAGAGGGCTAAAGCACTTTCAGGATAAAGGCTAGAAGCCTAAGGCCCTGATCATTTGGGCAATCCTTGTTATTGCATTTGTTGTTCCATTCTCTGACACTTCTAAAAGGCTGTGGAATCTCCAGATGTGTTCATAAAATAGTGGTAGCAATTATTCATTGCTTCTAGGAAAGGGAAATGGATATGTTACCAACAAAGCCAGTCCCCATACAAATGGAGTCTTTCCCCGTTTAGTGCTGTGAAGCCAATATACAAAACCAAAAGTGAGTGTCAAGTAGTGCAGGCTTTATTCCATGGCCACTGTATTAGTCAGGGTTCTCTTAGAGGGACAGAACTAATAGGATAGATGATAGATAGATGATAGATAGAGAGATAGATAGATAGAGAGATAGACAGATATAAAGGGAATTTATTAAGTATCAACTTACATGATCACGAGGTCCCACAATAGGCTGTCTGCAAGCTGAGGAGCAAGAAGGGCCAGTCCAAGTCCCCAGACTGAAGAACTTGGAGTCCGATGTTCAAAGGCAGGAAGCATCCAGCATGGGAGAAAGATGTAGGCTGTGAGGCTAGGTCCATCTCTCCTTTTCACGTTTTTCTGCCTGCTTTATATTCACTGGCAGCTGATTAGATTGTACCCACCAGATTAAGGGTGGATCTGCCTTCCCCAGTGCACTGACTCAAGTGTTAATTTCTTTTGGCAACACCCACAGGCACACCCAGGATTAATACTTTGTAACCCTCAATCCAATCAAGTTGACACTCAGTATTAACCATCACAAGTCCACCCCTTGTCAACCTGAACCCATACACATCTCCTGAGATCATACATAATCTTCAAATAAAGACAATAATGAGGTCATAATTACATGTAACATAATACAACTATCCATTGTACAACTGGAAAGGCACCAATACCAACCCAAATACTATTACATAAAGTGAACAATACTTAAATGCTGATATGAAGCCAATAAATATTATGTCACATAATAAAGGAAAAGGAAATAAAATTAAGATATTTTCTTCGTACAAGTCTATACATGCACAAACATGTTTTTAACAAAAGAAGGAGGAAATGCTCATGACAGTTACAGTGCTCATTTCTGCAGCTGGTCTTGTGATCATAGCTGGTATTGATGACTACCTTCCTCTACTACCCATTCTGCATTCCCTTTGCCTTCAGCAAGCACCTCAGTAGGTCGTGTTTTTGTTTTTGCTTTTTTTTCCAGTGGAGTGACCCAAACCTTCATTCCTGAAGGGTCTGAGTCATTTGTAGTCCTGCCTGGATTGGCTGTTGCCCCAACCCTGCAAACTATTGTCACTTATTTGGCATTGTAATTGTGACTCCAAAAGGCCATTCCACCATTCTATCAATCCAGCTGCTTCAGGATGATGGGGAACATGGTAAGACCAGTGAATTCCATGAGCATGAGCCCACTGCCCCACTTCCTTAACCGCAAAGTGAGTGCCTTGGTCAGAGACAATGCTGTTTGGCATGCCATGACGGTGGGTAATGCATTTTGTGAGTCCGTGGATGGTAGTCTTGGCAGAAGCATTGCATACAGGATAGGCAAACCCATATCAGGAGTAAGTGCCATTCTAGTGAGAACAAACCTCTGCCCTTTCCATGATGGAAAAGGTCCAATATAATCAACTTGCCACCAGGTGGCTGGCTGATCACCCTGAGGAATGGTGCCATATCGAGGGCTCAGTGTTGGTCTCTTCTGTTGGCAAATTGGGCACTCAGCAGTGGCCATAGCCGGGTCAGTCTTGGTGAGTGGAAGTCCATCTTGCTGAGCCCATGTATAACCTCCATCCCTGCCACCATGGCCACTTTGTTCATGGGTCTATTGGGCGATGACAGGGGTGGCTGGGGAAAGAGGCTGAGTAGTGTCCACAGAATGGGTCATCCTATCCACTTGATTATTAAACTCCTCCTCCACTGAGGTCACCTGTTGGTGAGCACTCACAGGGGATACAAATATCTTCACAGTTTTTGACCACTCGGAGAGGTCCATCTACGTACTTCTTCCTCAAATTTCTTTGTCACCAATTTTCCAATCATTCTTCTTCCAAGTCCCTGACCATCCAGCCAAGTCATTGGCTACAGCCCATGAATCAGTATATAATCGCACACCTGACCATTTCTCATTTCATGTAAAGTGCACTGCTCGAAGTTCTGCCCACTGGGAACATTTCCCTTCACTGCTCTCCTTCAGGGATGTCCTAGAAAGGGGCTGTAGTGCTGCAGCTGTCCACTTTCTGGTGGCGCCTGCATATCGTGTGGAACCATCTGTGAACCTGGCCCTAGTCTTCTCTTACTCTGTCAACTGATCATAGGCCCATCGGTGCAGGCTGGGGGAGAGAAGGCAGAGTGGCAGGAGTGGAGACCATGGGCATTTGAGCCATGTCCTCATGTAACTTACTTGGCCTTCAGGACCTGCTCAAGCCCGATCACATATATACCACTTCCATTTGATGATGGAATGCTGCTGTGCATGACCCACTTTGTGGCTAGATGGGTTGGAAAACACCCAGTTCATGACAGGTAGTTCAGGTCACATGGTGACTTGATGACCCATAGTCAAACGTTCAGTTTCCACCAAAGCCCAGTAACAGGCCAAGAGCTGTCTCTCAAAAGGAGAGTAGTTATCTGAACAAGATGGCAGGGACTTGCTCCAAAATCCTGGAGGCCTCTGCTGTGATTCACCTATGGGAACCTGCCAAAGGCTCCAAACAGCATCCTTATCTACCACTGACACCTCAAGCACCATTGGATTTGCTGTGTCATATGGTCCAAGTGGCAGAGCAGCTTGCACAGCAGCCTGGACCTATTGCAGAGCCTTCTCCTGTTCTGGATCCCACTCAGAACTGGCAGCCTTTCGGGTCACTCAATAAATGGGCCAGAGTAACACTCCCAAATGTGTTGCCTCCAAAATCCAAACAGGCCCACTAGGCTTTGTGCCTCTTTCTCGGTTGTAGGAGGGGCCAAATGCAGCAACTTATCCTTTACCTTAGAAGGAATATCTCGACAGGCCCCACACCACTGGACCCCTAGAAATTTTACTGAGGTAGAAGTTCCCTGAATTTTAGTCAGATTTATTTCCCATCCTCTGGCATGCAAATGTCTCACCAATAAGTCCAGTGTGTTTGCTACTTCTTGTTCACTGGATCTAGTCATCATAATGTCATCATTGTAATGGACCAGTGTGATATCTTGCAGAAGCAAAAAGTGTTCAAGGTCTCTCTGAATAAGATTATGACACAAAACCGGAGAGTTGATATACCCCTGAGGTAGGACAGTAAAGGTATATTGCTGGCCTTGCCAGTTGAAAGCAAATTGCTTCTGGTGGGCCTTATGGACAGGAATGGAGAAAAAGCATTTGCCAAGTCAATTGGTGCATACCAGGCACCAGGAGACATGTTAATTTCTGGACCCTTCCCACTGGGATGATTAGGTCTAAAGTGACTAATCCACTCCACCATCCCAATCTCCCTAAGCCTTTGGATCCCTTCCTCTACATTAAACCAGGAGAGATCAGGCATTTCCAGCTGGCTCACAGTGGGCCATCTTTTATTCCATATTTCAGCTAACCAAGCAAATAAACTATTAGAATCTTTTGTAACTCCCCAATCTGCAACATTAAATGCAGAATCCCTACTTAGTGGGCCCAAATCAATAAATTCAGCCTGATCCAACTCTATGTTCCTTCCACCATTACCCCATACCCTTAACATCCATTCCCATGCCTGTTCTCCAGATTGCTGTTTTTATAAATTAGAGAACTCAAACAGTTCTTTTGAAGTGCCATGCACCTCCTCATGGGTCACACTCTCAATCTCACTTCCAGGGGCCCACTGGGACTTTAGTTACAGGTCTAGACTGTCATCAGTGTAATGGACCAGAATTTAGTGTAGTTACATGTCTAGACTGTCATCAATGTAGTGGGCCAGCAAACAGGGGTGTTGGGTGTGGCTCCTGAGGGGAATCAACATTACTTTGCCTGGCAACTGCCTCAGGGGAGGCCATCACTGTTGCCTCAGGCAGCACAGGGTTTATCTGTGGACAAAGGTGGAAAGGCTGATGGCAGCATGGGTCAGGGAGCGGATGTTGCCACTACTGGGGATTGGGAAGCTGTTCCTTCTGGCAAAAAAGGTTCATCAGAGTTTACAAACTCAGTGTCCCCAGCTTCATCTGGGTGCTCCCACATTTCCCCATTCCAAGTTGCAGGGTCCTATTCTTTTCCAATCAATGCCCCCACTTTAACAATAGACACCTGGTGAGGCTGTGCATGCCCCTTTTGTTGCAGGTCAGCCACTTGCATGATAAAAGCTTGTGTCTGTTTTTCTACAATTTCAGCTCTTTCTGTACAGGAGATAAGGTTCTCACTCAGGGCAATCTTAGCAGATTTGAAGCTTAGTATCTATTTCTGAAGCCGGGAGACAATCCCTGAGTTCATCATTTTCTTTCAACACTTTGTATACTGAACTTAAGAGCAACCAACCAGCTTCATTATGTTCCTTGGTTCTCCGCATATGGTCAAAGGTATTATGTATAGAGTCACTAAACTCCTTGCCTCTCATGAGCAGTGAAATCAGGAGTGTCAAATGCATTTATTTTGCCTAACTATCTAAACCGTTCACACCAAGGACTATCAGTCTTCTCCATACTATTAGACATACAGTCCTTAGCATTTTGGGGTCTAACCATATTAAGCAGCCAATTCCAGAAACCCCAAAACCAACGAAAGAACTCAATCCTTAATATTCTGTTTCTCTAGAACCACTCCTGGTACCAAAATCTGTATTAGTCAGGGTTCTCTTAGAGGGACAGAACTCATAGGATATATATAGAGAGAGAGAGGGGAGATTTATTAAGTGTTAACTTACACGATCACAAGGAAACATCCAGCATGGGAGAAAGATGTAGGCTGGGAGGCTAGGCCCAGCTCTCCTTTTCATGTTTTTCTGGCTGCTTTATATTAGCTGGAAGCTGATTAGATTGTGTCCACCAGATTAAGAGTGGATCTGCCTCCCCCAGCCCACTGACTCAAATGTTAATCTCTTTTGGCAACACCCACACAGACACAACCAGGATTAATACTTTGTATCCCTCAATCCAATCAAGTTGACATTGATTAACATCACAGCCAGGGAACTGAGAAGCAGGAGCCTGGCTCACAAATCAACTTCTTAGCTCAGAGAGCCGGGAAATCACAGATAATAGGATATATTTAATGAAGGGGTTGGGCATTAAAAGCAGGGGGAGGAATATTCATGTATTTTCTGAGAATGGGTGGAGAGCTTCTTGGAATTGGAGTTCTTGCCTTTCTTTTGGTCCTCTTATGGTTTCTTCAGTTGTTGTCATGGAGATTGTCAATTGTCATGGTGCTGGTGGGAGTGTCATTTAGCATGGACATTAGATTATAATGAAGTTACAAGTTCATCGGAGGTCAAGTGAGCTGCCATCTTAGACCCCAGCAGTCTTAGTCTGTTGGTCCCGAGGGGGAACTTTGGACCTCAGGCATCCTGTTTTCTGAAGATAAGCAGAGTTAAAGTGGCGTAGAAATTTACCTAGGTCACATAGACATTACCCTGGGTAACAGATATTTTGGTGACAGAGCTAGGAGGGAGATTTACTTTCTGGTTGGGTATCTTTTTATGCCTTTTGAATTGTATATAATGTCTACTGTTATCTATTCAAAAATTATTAATTTAAAAACCATTAAGTGCATGATATCAAACTCCTTGGTGGGCGCTCATCTGTCAGAAGTTCTAATGGGTGGGTAGGGCCTTGAATCTGCAGACTTCATCTGGAGTCACAGATATAATAACTTCCTCTACAGACAGCTTGAAAGATTCAGGGATTCACTCTTTTCAAGAAATGAAGGGGGAGAACAAGACAAGCCCTTCCAACCTTCCAAATCAAGGAGATATAGAAAGGTAGGATGGAAGGCAAAGAGGTTTACTATGCCAAGGTAGACCTGTTTAGGCAGGTTACAGAAAAGAAGAGCTAATATAAATCAAATAGGTCTGCAAAGATTACACATACCAGTGTCCTCACACTGTGGATCTACCTCTAGACCTTTCAGAGCCTTGGTTTTCTCATCTTTAAAATGGGAATAATAATATCTACCTTAGGTTTTTTGTCGTTGTAGTTGTTGTTGTTTTTGTTTTTTGTTTTTTGTTTTCCCCAGAGACAGGGTCTCACTATGTTTCCCAGGTGGAAATGCGGTGGCTATTCACAGGCACGATCCCACTACTAATCAGCATGCGAGTTTTGACCTGCTCCATTTCTGACCTGGGCCGGATCACCCCTCTTAAGGCAACCTGGTAGTCCCCTGCTACCAGGAGATCACAATGTTAATGCCGAGCTTAGTGTGGACACCAATTGGCATAGTGCACTGTAGCCCAGAACTCCTGGGCTCAAGCAATCTTCCTGCCTCAGCCTCCCATGTAGCTGGGACTACAGGCACATGCCACCATACCTGAGATTTTGCAAGGATTAAAAAAGACTATATATGAAACTCATAGCAGTATAGCACCTGGCGCTTTAAGGAGCTTGGTAAATGCTGGCACTTTTCCCCTTCAAGTCCCTAGCTGAAGGAAGAGAGGACCCCCTAAGGAAATGAATCAGGAGTCACTGTAAATAACCAACATCTCCTTGAGGAGCCCAGGGACATAGGGTCCCGAGATTTAGAAGCTGCTAACACTGCCTGAAGAAATTATTTCCCTGCAGCTGTGCTGGTCTCCTAGTAGGGAATGTTTCCGTAGAAGGGGATAGTCTCCCAGACCATCCTCCATCAAGTCCCATCAAGCCCATCTTCCCTGAGAGACATTAATTTTGATTTTCTGATTCCTTCTGAATATATATATTTTACACACTTATCGTATAGAGCCATCTCTTGATATCCACAGGGGATTGTTTCTAGGAATTCCCATGGCTTCCAAAATCTACAGATGCACAAATATCTCTGATATAAAATAGCATATTATTTGCCCATAACCTATGCACATCCTCCCGTATACTTTCATCTCCAGATTACTTAGAATACCTAAACAATGTAAGTGCTGTTAATAAATGTAAATGTAAATCATTGTTATACTGCATTGTTTTTTATTTGTATTTTGTTATTATTATTATTTAGTTTTTGAGACAGGATTTTGCTCTAGCGCCCAGGCTGGAGTGCAGTCACGTCATCTCAGCTGTCTGTAACTTCTGCCTCCGGGGCTCAAGCAATCCTCCTGCCTCAGCCTCCCAAGTAGCTGGGACTACAGGCATGTGCCACCTCACCCCACTAATTTTGATATTTTTTGTAGGATCAGGTTCTTGTTATGTTTGCCCAGACTGGTCTCGAATTCCTGAGCTCAAATGATCCACCTTAGCCTCCCAAAGTGCTGGGATTACAGGTGTGAGCCATCACATCTGGCCTGTTGTGCTTTCTTTCCCAAATATTTTCCATCCATTGTTGACTGAATCCACAGATGTGGAACCCACATATACGAGGCATTGGCTGTATCCAAAAATGAAACTTATTAAAAGGTAGAAAAATGTGCCATGATTTTGTCTCTCAATTCTTTTCTTCCATTTTCCTGTATGCTAGACTCAGTGGGAACCCAAGAGAGAAGGAGTTTAGAAGGGAGAACAGGTAGAGATAAGTGGGAAAGAGAGGGCGCCAAGACCCTCAAGTCTGTAAAGGGTGAATGCAGACTGCAGTACAGGACTGCCACCTGGTCTCTGGTCTCAGCCTCGAGGAAGAGCTGTGGCTATGTCACCATCCTCAGCTCATCTTGCTCCCTTGATCCCTGCCTCTGCTTGCTCGGCTCCTGGCCTCCTTGGAGGAAAATGCCTGTGTCAATGGGAGCATGATGGAGGGTTCCAGGTTGAGGTGGGATAGGGGGATGAGGACATGTTTGCATGAACATGTCCTAAAGGAACATGTACATAAGGAAATGGACTCCCATCTGGAGAGTGAGCTGGGGGAGGTGGGCACTGCAAGGAGTAGGAAAACAGGCCGGATGCCTAGAAGTTGCTCCATAATCCATAGTTCCTTTCGAGTGTCCTGCTTCATCTGTTCTGGCTTCTGTCCCCACCCGGAAACCTGGAGAAACCTCAAATGGAACGTCAAGTAAGCAGATTCCAGCTCTCTGGGCCCAGGGTGAGAAAAGGAAGTTGTATGAAAAGAGGAGAAAGGAAAAAAACAGTCTCATATTGTGCAACAGGTGAAGTCCCACATTGCCCCACTTCGAGGATTCCATTCTGCTGTTTGTAATTGCTGGTGAAGCATTTCTTCATGAGGCTGCCCAGGCCTCCTGCAGCCTTCCCTGGTGGTCTTGCCTCTGTGGAGCTGAGCTCCTCCCTTTCCATTAGCTGAGGGGCAGGGAGGATTGGGAAAGGGACTCCATCGTGAGGGAGAAGACCCAGATTCTGGCCCTGACCTTGCCTGCTCAACAATGAACCAGAGACAGGTCATGGCTCTGCTCTGGGCTGCATCTGACAGATGAGAGGATGGATTCTTTCCCGGACAGGAATCCAGGACCCCTCAGAGCACCCTAGATGTCTCAAGAAGAGGCATGCTTCCTAAGGGTCTTGGACCCTGGATCAAGCCTCAGCCCCAGAACTCAGTTGCTGAAGCAGATCTCCTCTTGGGATGCCTCTCCTCATTATAGTTCATCTCCTTGAGGTGTGTCCCTCTCACCCTGGGTTCCTCCTGCAGGGAGGTTTGGCTCACCCTCTAGAATGCTCCCTTTCCTGCCACACTGAGCTATTGGGGGCCGCTATCAGTGACGCGTCAGTTGGTGGTTGTATTTGTTCCTATTGCTGCTGTAAAAAATTACCACACACTTAACATCTTATAACCACATATTTATTCTCTTAAAGTTCTGGAGGTGAGAAGTCTGAAATTAGTTTCACTAAGCCACACTCCCTTTGGAGGCTCTAGGGGAGGAAAAATTTCCTTGCCATTTGCAGCTTCTAGAGCTGCATCCTAACACTTCTTGGCTCCTGGCCTCTTCCTCCATCTTCCAAGCCAGCAGCATAGCATCTTGCTTCTGTTGTCACATTGCTATCTTCTCCTCTATTACCAAATTCTTCTCTTCCTCCCCCTTATAAGGACACTTACAACTGCATTTAGGGCCTGACCAAATAATTCAAGGTAATCACTCATCTCAAGATTCTTAACTTGATCATATCTCCAAAGTCCATTTTGCTATAAAAGTGACATTCACAGGTTCTGAGGAATAGGATGTGTGCACCTCGGGGGCCATTATTCAGCTACCGTAGTGATCTATACCTTGTCTCTGGCCTGGAGTCATCCATTCTCTCTCCCATCCCGTCGCCTCAGAATAGAATTGCATATCTTTCTCAAAATCCACACTCTAATCTTACAGGCCATCCCAACTCCCCTTCCCTTCACTTTCTTTAGGCTCTGAGAACATTCTAGGAGACTGCTCTCCAACAGAACTTTCTGCAATGATGGACAGAAAGCCCGTAATCCGTGCTGTCTAACATGGGAGCTAGCCACATGGAGCTACTGAGCACTTGAAATGTGACTAGTGTGACTCAGGAACTGAATTTTAAATTTTATTTCATTTTAATTAAATGTAATGAAAACGTAAATAGCCACTTTGGCCAGTGGCTAACATATTAGACAGCTCAGATCTAGGCAAATGAAAGCAGAAACTATGGCCAGGCACATTCTTTGCTGCTAGCCTCTTCCTACACCTGTTTTGGATCAGCTCTGCCCCCTAACCTCCTTCTCTCAGTCCCCGCAGAATCTGAAAGAAGTTTCCACTGGGGCTCTGGAATGATGAGGGTGACTAAGGGCAGGACAAGGAAGGGAATTGTGTCTGTTGACCCCAGAGAAGTGCAGGGCCCCAATTCTGCTTTTGCATAGGACTAAGAACACTCAAATGATTTTCAAGATAGTCTCCGCCTTGTTCTTACTCAACCGGTCTCCCTTTTGAGGACCACAGAGATGCGTCACTAGGGAAGGTGTGCAGGAAAGGGCCCGAGCCTGGGAGCTGGCATTGGCCAGGCTCCTGCTCTGCTATGCACTCGCTGAGTGGCACGTGGCAAGTTACTTCCCAGGCCTTGGCCCTCAGTTTCCATAAAATGAGAGGGTTGGACCAGATGGTCTAAACTTTCCTTTTAGCTTTAGTAGACTACGAGTCTGTGTCCCATGGATCAGGCTTTATTGTGCATGTAATTCTACTTCAGAGTTGTGTTGTGTCTGACCCATGGAATAGGCAGTTCTGATTGAAGGATAATTAAGTAGAAGTGGCTTTAGGTTACTCCTGCAACACTTCCAAACAAAACCTCCATCCTGCTGTCCTCATGACAACACTTCACAGTAGATTGGGATTTAGAGTGCTGATCTGTCAACTAACTAATCTAATCCTCATGATGATCCTGACAATTGCTAGGTCCATTTTAAGTGAAAAGGCTGAAGCTCAGAGAGGGAAGGAGAGAAACTTCCAGGTGCCTGGTCCTATGATGGGTGCTTTATACATCACCTTATAACAGCCCTTCGAAGTGGTTAATATTATCCCCATTTCACACTTGTGAACACCGAGGTCTAATAAGGCAAGATGACTTTCCCAATGTTATAATAATAATAAGATGATGAAGTCACTCTTCTCACTCTTCTTCCGCCTTTGCTGTGCTGCTTCCCCTCTTTACAACTCCCCCCACAAGATGTTGAAATGATAACCTCCTTTTCTGGGGCATTCTTTCATGACACTCCCCAAGCAGGCCTACAAGCTTCAGCAAGTCACTTCACCTCTCTGTGCCTCTGTTTCCTTAACTGTGAAACTCGGTGCAACAGTCCCTAGTTCATAAGGGTGTTAAAACCCTTGTTGAAAGTACGCAGTGAGATCGTGTATTAAGAGTGTTCAGCCCAGAGCTCATATTAAGGACTCAGCAATTGCTCATTCTTACTGTTTTGGGAAACTGTAGTTTGTCCCTCCCAATGGTACCAGGCAATTCCTTTTACCCCCAAATCAAATTAAAATCACAAAGAAACTGTCTGCATTTTATTTTAAAGTTTTATTATGAAAACACACAGAATCAAATGTGTTATCCATGTATTTGCAACAGCAGAGAAACAGTGACAGTGGACCATCCCCATAGGGGACACTTATCCTTTGGCTAAACTAATATAAATAATGGAAATGACACCTAATACAATAACACGGCACATAAAAAAGATTAAATTAAGAGAAGGGACAGGAACTGCGGAGAGGAGTCCTGAGTATGGAGGAGATGTGTCTCATGGAGAAGCATCCGGGCTCAGGTGACCTTCCCTGAAGACTTCCTGTCTCTGAGCAGCTCAGTTCAGTTCCAGGTCATACACGTACTCCTGGACCCAGGATTCACTGGGATCAGCACAGACTTGCTTGCTTCTTTTGGTTTGGAATCTGTAGAACAAGGAGCGGACAGATTAGAATCTCATGAGACCTTTGAGGTCATCTGGCTTTATCCTTTGCATCTTCCTCTGCCTGACCATGGTCCATGTGGGGCAGCTCTGGTGGATGGGATCCTTCCTGGAGCAGCACTGGAAGCAGACTCCCTGTAACTTCCACCCACTGGATTTAGCTGTGGGCCCCAGGAGTTGCCCAGATTAGGAACCAAGGGGCATTGCAATCAATATGAATAGATCTCCCCATTCCCTGCCAGCCTGGCAGTGACTTTTCCACATGTCTTTCTAGCACGGTTTAAGGAATCGGTCCATATCTCATGGGACCTGTCTGCCTTCCCCTGCTTCCCTGTCCTCTGAATAACTTCCTCCCCAGCAACCCCCTTCTCTCTCGGCTCCCACTCTGCCGCCTTCAGCACTTGAAAAGTGAGTTCATGACCTGTGTCCTCACTGCTCTCAGGGAAGGCTTCAGCCCTGGGAGCTGCCTCCCCAATGCTCAATCACCCCCTCCCCAAAACAGGCCCTCTTTTAAAATCCAGCCCTCACCCTTGCCTCCCAGGGCAGCCCAGGGGTTGATACTCACACCACAGCTGGCTGGGAGCAGAGGCTGCTGGTCTCATAGTAATCTACCACAAAGTTGCGAGGAAGCTTCCTCGCGGTGTAAGAAAAGCAGCAGGCGGTGGGAGGGTCTGAGCCCACTGAAAGGAAAGGCCAGGGTGAGATCAACACTGCCCGTGGGAGCTGTTTATTTTGACTTCTAATTTTGTATCTTCATTGAGCATCCCTGTGGAGCTACCAGAACCCCAAATATCCATTCCCACCTAACATGAGCAGGAGTCTTATTTTGAATAGTGGATCTTCAGAGAAGAACGAGAAAGAAATCTAGAAGATTGGAACTGGATTCAGTCTCAGAACACATCGCACTCCCTTCATATGACAGATGGGGAAACCAAGGCACAGAGAGGGACAGGGGCTTGCTTGAACAAATAATTAAAGGCAGAGCCAATTCAACAGTCTGACTTCCAGCCCATCGTTTTCCTCTGCTGGTTGCTAATTCTTAAGAAAATAGGAACTTGAATGTTATTGAATATCTACTAGACTCTACATTTAGCAGCAGACTACATGGCAATCTTCCTAGCTGCCTTTTGTCCCATCCCCAGATCCCACTGTTTGCCAGCCATGACTAGAAAAAAGGACTCTGCCTACACCTTGACTCGAAATAGCAGCTGCAAAAGTAGACTTACTTGGTGCTGAGAGCGCTGGAGAGCAGAAGGCAGCTACTAGCATGAGGAGAGACAGGACAGTCACGCAGAGCTTCATGGTATTGGTGGAAAAGAGGTTTTCTCAGAGGTGAGGCTGCAGAACTCAGAAGCTTCAGAACCCAGCTGTGTCCTGTGCTGATACTGACTTGGGAATCTCTCTTTATAGGGACTCTGAGGCCTAGGACAAATGTGGGGGCACAGGAGAGTGAGTGGAATTTCCATGGTAGAGATGACGTCATGCTCCTGAAGCTAGCTGAGTGAGGAGTTCCTCTCAGCTTCTCTTCCCCAGGGCGATGTCATCATAGAGGAAAGATGAGGGAGGTGCAGGCGAGAAGAAAAGGGAAGTGGTACAGCCAAAGGCAGTGACCGAGACTGGGGAGAGAGTTGCAAACCCCAGAGGAAAAGATGAAATGTTCACACCTGCTACAAGTGGCTTGTAGACAAGAACTGTGCTGCTCTTGGTGGTTGGCACCCTCAGATGCTGGAGGGTTCATGTCAGTCTTTCCAGGCTGGCCACAAGCCTGACCCCAAGAACAAAGTGGGAGCCAGGACTCCCCCATCCCCTTCCTGTGCCTTCTTCTGCTGAGCTGAGTGCCACTGACTTTTGTGCCTTATATGTTTCCTTGGGCATGAAGAGTCCAGCATTGGATGTGAGGAGGGACCCAGTAGGGTGGCTCAGGAACATTTGTAACTTCTTATTGGACACTTACCTTGTACCAGGCACTGGAAAAGCTGTGTTACACACATTATATATAATCCTACCATAATCTTGAGCAGGGGTGTCTAATCTCATTTTACAGACAAGGCAATTGGGGATCAGAGAGTGGTCCACTGATGCGCTCAATGCCACAGAGCTGATGAATGGCACTGCCAAGATTTGAATCAAGATTCACCTGACTCCAAAGTCCATTTTCTTTCCATGCTGTAGTCTCCTGAATAAACATAGAATGTGACCACAAAGAGAACCCGTTGACTGATAGACTGCTAGGAGCTATTCCACACTCAAAGACTGACTATATTCGGACTTAATTCAGGAAGGGGATAGGGCTAGTCTGTCCTAGGACAAGGAGGAAACGGAGAAGAAATAAAGATTTCAGGATATTTTCTTGGACCAGCAAAAGAACAGGACAAATTAACCAGTAAGAATCAAGTTTGGAAGACCCAGATAGAGAATGTTCTTCTAGTATAAAAACAGGATTGAGCTGGGTACAGGGCCTCACACCTGTAATCCCAGCACTTTGGGAGGTCAAGGCAGGCAGATAGCTTGAGCCCAGAAGTTCGATACCAGACTGGGCAACATGGTGAAACACTGTCTCTATAAAAAAATATTTTGGCTGGGAGTGGTGATACACACCTGTAGTCCCAGCTGCTCAGTAGGCTGAGGTGGGAAGATCACCTGAGCCCAGAAAAGTCCAGGCTGCAGTGAGTGGTGATTGTGCCACTGCACTCCCGCTTGTTTGACAGAATGAGACCCTGTCCCAAAAACAAAACAAAGCAAAACAAAACGAAACAGAATTATATACCTAGTAATTAGTTTATCTATGTTACAGGCAAAATGTGTAATCTAAGGATGTGGGTGTGTCCCAGCCAGTCCATAGGGAATGCCCATGCTCATGTTAAGCCCTGGCTGGTTTGACAGTTGCTGGGCACCTGTACAGAAGGTGAAGCTTACAAAGGCCCTGCATACAGGAATGTGCAAGGTTGGACAAATGAAGGGAATGAGGATAATTGGATCAAGACCTCTATCTGCCTTTAGCTCCACTACTCTAACCCACCTGCTCACCTTTAACCCCACATTGTTACCTGCTCTTCTCTGAGAAAGAAAAAAGAAGAGTAAAAAAAGGGAGCCATGACTTCAAACTATACCACAGGGCTGCAGTAACCAAAACAGCATGGCTTTGGTACAAAAACAGACTCATAGACCAATAGAACAAAATAGAGAGCTCAGAAATAATGCTGCATACCTGCAACCATCCGAACTTTGACAAAGTTAACAAAAACAAGCAACAGGGAAAGGACTTCCCAGTCAATAAATGGTACTGGGATAACTGGCTAGCTGTATGCAAAAGATTGAAACTGGACCCCTTCCTTACACCATCTGTAAAAATCAACTCACAATGGGTTGAAGACTTAAATGTAAAACCTAAAATATAAAACTATAAAAATATGATACCTGTAAGATAACCTAGACAATATGATTCTGGGCATAGGATCTGGCAGATATTTCATGATGAAGATGCCAAAAACAAATCACAACAAAACCAAAAACTGACAAATGGGATCTAATTAAACTAAAGAGCTTCTGCACAGCAAAAGAAATTATCAGCAGAGTAAAGAGATAACCTACAGAATGGGAGAAAATATTTACAAACTATGTATCTCACAAAGGTCTAATATCCAGAATCTATAGGGAATTTAAACACATGTACAAGCAAAAAACAAACAACTCCGTTAAAACGTGGGCATTGAACATAAACAGACACATTTCAAAAGAAGACATACACGCGGCCAAGAAACATACAAAAAATGCTCAGCACCACTAATCATTAGAGAAATGCAAATTAAAACCACAATGAGATACCATCTCAAACCAGTCAGGATGGCTATTTTTAAAAAGTCAAAAAATAACAGATGTTGGTGAGGCTGTGGAGAAAAGGAACACTTATACACTGCTGGTGGGAATGTAAATTAGTTCAGCCATTGTGGGAAGCAGTTTGGCGATTTCTCAAAGAACTTAAAACAGAATTACCATTCAACCCAGCAATCCCATTATTGGGTATATACCCAAAGGAATATAAATCATTCTACCATAAAGACATGTGCACATGTATGTTCATCGCAACAGTATTCACAATAGCAAAGACATGGAATCAACCTAAATGCCCACTGATGGTAGACTGGATAAAAAAAATTTGGGATATATATATATATATATCATGGAATACTTCTCAGTCATAAAAAAAAAAAAAGAACAAGATCATGCCCTTTGCAGCAACATGGATGGAGCTGGAGGCCATTATCTTAAGCGAACTAACACAGGAACAGAAAACCAAATACTGCATGTTCTCACTTATAAGTGGAAGCTAAACATTGAGTACACATGGACACAAAGAAGGGAACAGCAGGCACCAGGGCCTACTTAAGGGTGAAGGGTGGGAGGAGGGTGAGGATAAAAAAAACTACCTATTGGGTACTATGCTTATTACCTGGGTGATGAAATAATCTGTACACCAAACCCCCCGCAACACACAACTTACCTATATAACAAACCTGCACATGTACCCCTGAACCTAAAATACAAGTTAAGAAAAAAAGGGACCCACAGCATCTGGGAGCCATAGGAGAGGTTGGAGCAGCATCCTGGGGTACTTCAGGGTCATTAAATAAAGTACAAGGTCATCCTGCCTCAGCACTCTCCCTCACTCCCCACCCGCACACACAAGCTGCACTTCTCTCATCTGTTCTCTCCCCCTTTTCTTTGTACAGCTCTTTTTTCAAATGTTCTGATCTTCTCCAAGACCCTCGCCCCCAGCTGTAATGTTCCGAGTTCCCTGATAGCAGATGTGTTAGTACCTCTCCTGGCCTTTCCTAGTTGGTGCAGTTTCATCTTCATGCATCGAGGACCTCACTTTAAGGGAAGCAGAATGTGTCTCATGTCCTCTGGATTAACACAGACTTCGTTATCTATGACATTTTTATTCAACCCAATGTACTAACCATCTGCTCTTTGCCAGGGCAGACAGAGCTGAATGAAGCCCCATCCCTGCCCTCGAAGAGTTCCATGTCTAGTGATGGCATTGACAGTGACAGAAATAACTATCCCATGAGGAGGAATAAGCTAAGTGTCATGTCAGAGGAAGAAACAAAGTGTCAGGAAGGCTGAAGGATGGAGAAGGCTGTCTATTAGCTGTAGATGAGTAGTTTCAAGTTAAGTCTCAATCCCCACTAAAGCAGCTGTCTGAATGAGCAGGGTGGAGGGGTTAGGAGGAAGCCTGTTCTGGGGCTTCAGGAGAATAATGATTGATAAAATGGGTGATTAGTCATCACTGAGCCATACAATGAGTTTGTCTGTTGACTTTTGTTTCCTCGCCTTGATCTGATCTTTGGCTCATGGGGGTAAAAGGTTTTGAGAGATCTTCATGAAGATCCTAACAACAATACTATGTCTGCACCAGTGGAAGTCCACACTGAGAGTAAAAAGGACTTGTATCATTTCGTTTAGCCATATTAACTTCCCCCACCCCAAGATTTAGGCACTGGTGCCATTTAGAACTCCTGGAGGGCAAATGTGGAGACTGGAAAGCCAAGGAGAGCCAATAATCAATGATAACAAATGACTCTCAGATACATGACGAAAAAGATTCCCATCTTCCCTAGAGAAACTTTCCTGACCTCTTTCCCAAGTAAACTCTGTATCCTTCACTGTGCTCCTACAGTCTCCTGAACTATTTCTTCTTACCACCTATGACATATTTATCTATTCCTGTGGTTGCCTCCCCAACTAGAAAGTGAGCTCCTTGATGCAGAAACTGTTTATGCTTATCTCCATGGAGGGAATGTGATGAGTAACATGGACTCAAGATGTGGACCCCTATATAGCCAAATGAGTAAACCAAGTATGAATGAACTGGGTGTTCTGACATTCCACCCAAAAGGTGATTCCTCAGCCCTGATAGTGTGGTACTTCCCCTTCTCCCCCACCCTCAACCCACGCATCCAGTAGTTTTATCACAATGGATACTATTCTTGGACTCAACTGTTTTTAGCTCAGGGTTGCAAGAAGTGACAGCAAGGGTCATCCTTGGTTCCAGGGAGCTCCATTCAGAGGTCCACCCCCTCACCCTGAGCAGGGAAGCCCTTCTTTCCCCCTCACTTGTGGTCATTTAGAGGTTCCCCCTCCACATCCTTGACCACCACTATATTCATAACTCCATTCTGGGCATTTTTACATTTGTCTTGTCATGTTGTCCTCAACCTCCCAGGCTGCAGACAGGCCCAGCAGCCACAGCAGTAACATGACCTTGAAAATGTCCTGGTATTTTTTCATTTTCCTCAGTATATCCATGGCCTGTGGTTTTACCTGATCCCAATCTGTTTTGCCACGGTACAGAAGAGGAAAGCAAAACCTAGAGAAGTGAAAAGACCCGATCAAGGTCACACAGGATGCATGTCAAGACCCAGGGTCTTCAACTCCCAGTTCAGTGATGACCAGAGTCCCTCTACAGGTATGAGCCTCTGAGATTACACATAGAGGCAATCTCTGATCATAACACACTCAGTCAATCTGGACATCCTGGCTTCTCCTAGAGTGTTGAGGAGACCACTGGGTGTTGGGGCCAAGAGGTAGCCTCTAGGAGGTGGGATGCATAGAACTAGAGAACCCCTGGAGGGCAAATGTGGAGACTGGAAACCCAAGGGGAGCTGGAACATAGGGTCATTTTGCCAAGATAATAAACCAAGAAGAGGCAAATCCTGTAGTTTTGCCAATATGGTGTCCAAGTCACTTTGGAGGAAATGGGAGCAGAAGCTGGATTGTGAATTGAAGAAACAAATACACAATTATCCAGAGTGCAGAATTCTTCAGGATGAAATCTGTAGGACAATGAGCTGGTTGGAGCAGCTCATCAGTGACTGTCACACTCTGACTACGGAGCTGGCCAGCCCCACGCTTCTTACCATGGAAATGGACCTTCGTCGCCTGCCACAACCTGCTCTTGCTTGTGAAAGGCAGAGGTCAGGAACTTCAGGCAATGCTAAATTCCTGAGAGAGGGATAAAGCCTCACCAGCATTCATGAGGTCAAGAAAACTTTCAGTATTCCTTGTGAAGCATCTTCCTTCAAATTGTTTCTGGCCTCTTTCCATGCAGGTCATAGGGAATACTCCAGCAAGAGATGAACATAATTCAGTAAAGCTTTATTGAGTAACTACTGTGTGACAGGCATTGTGTCTGAGGGTGAGGGTATGCACTTTAGATGGTGGTAGTGTAGTGTTAAGGAAGGCCTCCAAAAAATGTGAGACCTGAATTTTTTTTTTTGAAAAAAATTTATAGGCCAGGCATGGTGGCTCATGCCTATAATCTCAGCACTTTGGGAGGCCGAGGTGGGTAGATCATCTGAGGTCAGGAGTTTGAGAACAGCCTGGCCAACATAGTGAAACCCCATCTCTACTAAAAATACAAAAACTTAGCTTGGCATGGTGGCACATGCCTGTAGTCCCAGCTACTCAGGAGGCTGAAGCAAGAGAATCTCTTGAATCTGGGAGGTGGAGATTCCAGTGAGCCGAGATCGCGCCACTGCACTCCAGCCTGGGTGACAGAGTGAGACACTGTCTCAAAAAAAAAAAAAAATTATATTAGTTTGGTTTTCTTTTATAGAAAATATACATGGTCATTGTACAAAATTGAGAAAATATAGGGAGGCATAAATAAGAAAATTAAAATTGCCCTATCATTCTGTACCTAGTTTTATATTTTATTATTGGTACTTAATAGTCTTTTATGAACCAGTGTATCTTATTATTGTTACTTAATCTTCTTCTGTGTCATTACAAACTTAAATATTACTCAAAAATGGCATGAATATATGCATGGTATTTTATTGCATAGATATACCAAAAGTTGTATTTAATCACTCTGCTATTCACATCTGTCCATTTATGTTGCTCTAACTTTTCTCTATTGTAGGTTGAACTGAGATTAGCCAGGCAAAGACAGGCACAGGGGTATCCAGGCAAAGAACAAGAGACCTGCACTTGTTTTTGATGTAAAATGGATATATTGAAATATTGCAATAATAATAAAATAGTAATAGTAATAATAGTAGATAGCACTTAACACAGCACTTTTTATGAACCAGTAATGTTCTCTGCCTTTCATAGATATTAATGCATTTAATCCTCACAGTGGCCCTCTGAGGTAAGTGCTGTAACTATCCCCTTTCACACACGAAGAAACTGAAGCACAGAGAGGTACGTAACCTATGGAAAAACACACAGCTGACATACAACAGATTTGAAGCTGAAGCCAAGAAGTCTGGCTCTAGAGCATGAATAAATCACAAAAGGGAAGTGTGCTGTATTATAAATTTATGTTAAAAGCACAACAGCCAAAGTTTCTGTTATTCTAATGTAAAATGTCTTTTCTGTTTTGCATTTTGCATGTCTTTGAACAGCAAGATCCATGGATTTCCTCTTTTCCTTAGAAAATGTGGGGAATTACAGGCCAGGCTTGGTGGCTCACACCTATAATCCCAGCACTTTGGGAGGCCAAGGCAGGCGGATCACTTGAGGTCACGAGTTCAAGACCAGCCTGGCCAACATGGTGAAACCCTGTCTCTACAAAAAATATAAAAATTAGCCAGGCGTGGTGGTGCACGCCTGTAATCCCAGCTACTCAGGAGGCTGAGGTGGGAGAATCACTTGAACCCGGGGAGAGGGGTAGGTGGGATCGGAGGTTGCAGTGAACCGAGATTGAGCCACTGCACTGCAGCCTGGGCGACACAGTGAGACTCCATCCAAAAAAAAAGAAAAAGAAAAAGTAAAGAAAATTTGGGGAATGATGTAGTGTTTTTCCTTAATTGTTCTAAATATTAATCCCTGCAGCTGTCATGGGATGTGCCCACTTTTGTAGTATTACACTCTGCCTTGTGGCTTACAAGAAGGGGAAACTGTGCTCTACCAAGTCAACACCTCCTTCATTAAAAGCAGGGAAGAAAGCTGCACATTTAAGGAACCACAGGTAGTGCAAATAGGCTGTCTTGGTTTTCAGGAAGTCTCAACTTGGCAAGCCACAAGGCCAAAGAGGTAGACAGGGGTCAGGTTACAGAGAAGCTTCCATTTCATGCCAGAAGCAATGTAGAATGTTTGCAAGATTTTAAAAGGAGAGAAACAGAGACTGATTTGAGCTTTAGCAAAATTATGTTGGATGCTGTGTGGTGGGATAGATTAAAAAGAGACAAAACTAGGCCAGGCGTGGTGACTCACTCCTATAATCAATCCCAGCACTTTGGGAGGCCGAAGCAGGCAGATCACTTGAGGCCAGGAGTTCAAGACCAGCCTGGCCAACATGGTGAAACCCCATCTCCACGAAAAATACAAAAAAATTAGCAGGGCATGGTGGCACATGCCTGTAATCACAGCTGCTAGGAAGGCTGAGGCACAAGAATTGCTTGAGCCTGGGAGGCCAAGGTTGCGGTGAGCCAAGATCGAGTCACTGCACTCCAGCCTGGGCCACAGAATGAGACCTTGTCTTGGAAGAAAAGAAAGAAAGAAAGAAAGAAAGAAAGAAAGAAAGAAAGAAAGAAAGAAAGAAAGAAAGAAAGAAGGAAGGAAGGAAGGAAGGAAGGAAGGAAGGAAGGAAGGAAGGAAGGAAGGAAGGAAGGAAGGAAGGAAGGAAGGAAGGAAGGGAGAGAGAGAGAAAGAGAGAAAGAAAGGAAAGAAAGAAAGAAAGAAAGAAAAAGAAAGAAAGAGAGAGAAAGGAAGGAGGGAGGGAGGGAGGGAAGGAGGGAGGGAAGGGAGTTGCTAAGACCATCTTCTAGTTGTCATGGTGAGAAACCATAAGAACCTGACCTAAGACAGAGGCAGTGGGAATGGTGAGAGACAGATGCACGTAAAATTGAATGTAGACTAGAGTTGGTGATTGAATAGGTATAGGAAATGATAGAGAAAGAGGAGACAAGGGTGACTCTCAACTTTCCGGCTTGGAATATTGATAGGAAGAGGCACTTTTTATTGCATAGAGAATATGGAAGAAGGGGCAAGGGACCGGGAGAGGGATCAGATCCAGTACCAAGACATACGCCCTGACCTACTGCACACATGCAAGAAATGGCTAGAGAAAATAACAAGGACTCAGGACAGGAAACAAAGGGCTGGCTGCAGAAAGAAGGGGCTGTGTCAATGAGACATTGTCTGTCTAAGATACTAGACAGGGGACTCCAGGCTGCTGCTTCTGCCTGCATGAAAGGTGGGGCCCACACCTGCTGCAACCTGACCACGCAGACCACATATGAGGAAAGGAGGCCAAAGCTGGGCCAAAGAGGGTGTCATCATCAGTGAACGCATCCCTGGGGTGCCTGCTGCCAAAGGAGATAGCAGAGGGTGACACTTGGGGAAGTGGGGCCTCGGGGCCAGAATCTGAAGGAAAGCAATGCGCCGCACTAGAGAGCATGGGCAGCAGCACGCAGTGGGGAGGCAAGCTGAGCAGTGCAAGGCAAAGACGCCGCAGAGGACAAACTGCCCAGCCAGGATTCCCCGCACTGCGGACTGGGACGCTCTGCTGGACTGAGGTGGGGCCTCGCAGAGGCTGAAATGAGCCAGAACGCTGGGACACAAATCAAATCCCTCCATGCTGAAGGGTCCATGGTGTTGACTGCTGGCTACTTTCTGTCACCACCACCTAAGGAATCTTGGGTGGTCAGTTTCCCAAAGATCAAGACTGTGACACCATGGTCTTTCTTTCTCTCTTTCTTTCTTTTTTCTTTTTCTCTCTCTTTCTTTCTTTTGCTTTCTTTCTTTTTTCTTCCTTTCTCTCTTTCTTCTTTCTTTCTCTCTCTTTCTTTCTTCTTTCTTTCTCTTTCTCCTTTCTTTCTCTTTCTTTCTTTCCTTCCTTCCTTTCTTTTTAAAGCAAATCATAACCTTTTAGATCAAGTTACTGAAAACTTCTTTATATAAGTTTACATTTCTCTTTCTAATTGCATCTTTATCACGACACTCAATTCTATTTTTTTTTTTTTTTTTTTTTTTTTTTTGAAACAGAGTCTCGCTCTATCACCCAGGCTGGTCGCAGTGGTGCGATCTTGGCTCACTACAACCTCCCAGGTTCTGGTGATTCTCCTGCCTCAGCCTCCCAAGTACCTGGGACTACAAGCATGTGCCAACACGCCTGGCTAATTTTTTGTATTTTTAGTAGAGATGGGTTTCACCACGTTGGCCAGGCTGGTCTCAAACTCCTGGCCTCAGGTGATCCACCCACCTCGGCCTCCAAAAGTGCTGGGATTGCAGGCGTGAACCACCATGCCCCACTTCAATTCTCATTTTATTTAAAGATTCTTCCTTGGCTATGGAGACCCATCACACTTCTGACTCTCTCTCCTGATTCTGTGTGTGTGTGTGTGTGTATGTGTGTGTTTGTTTTATTTTAAGTTCAGGGATGCACATGCAGGTTTGTTACATACGTAAACTTGTGTCATGGGGGTTTGGTGTACAAGTGATTTCATCACCCAGGTATTAAGTCTAGTACCCATTAGTTATTTTTCCTGATTCTCTCCCCGTTTCCACTCACCATGGCCTTTCTTATCCTACCTTTCCCATTAGTATTTCAACTCCATAGTGAGAGTTCAGGCATAACACATATTGTTAGTCAAATCAGTGATTTATTTATTCATCAAATAGCTATTATGCTTCACTATATGTCAAGCATTGTGATTATCACTGGAGATACACTGGTAGCTAACACAGATAGTGGAATATAAAACTGACCAATTCCATCCACATGACCATGGGTACGTCATTTCAACTGGGAACATCAATTTACCACCTAGGAAATGTCTAAGACCCTCCCAACTCAACCCCGTCCTACATCTCCCTTATATTATTCATTCAATGTATATAAATTAAGCACATGCTGTGCATGTAACTATATTTCAATCCAAGCAAAACACATGGCAAAGGGATAGTTCCTGGTTTGGGGATTGATAGAGAAAGTCTTACAAATATATAAACACTGAGATAGAATTATATATTCAATAAATCATCTTTATTATAAAGAACACAATAATAAGAGATAGAGACTAGGTCACGAGGCTCATCATGTTATAATCATCATGTGCTAGGATTTGGTTTAAATCAACCAACAAGACATGGTCTGGAGTTGGTTTACAATCTGAGAAGACACTCTAAAAAATCTACCATTATAGGAGTGTTGTGAGGATCAAATATAATAAGTTGTGGTACAGGACGTGTAGCGTGTGGTACCTAGAGTCAGACTACCTGGATTTGAATCCCTGCTCTGCTAGTCATCAGCTTTACGGCCTTCGGAAAATTGCTTAACCTCTATTTACTTTGGTTTCTTCACCTATTCAACTGAGAAAGTATACTGGTAACTAAATCATAGGGTTGTTTTGAAGACAGTTCAAACGTGAATCCCTATTATGGAAATCAGCACATGGTGATCACTCAATAAAAATTACATATTGTGAACTAAAATTTGTGTAGTTGCTAATCTATCATTAGCGTGAAATAAAAATTTGTTTCCAAACTCCCACATTGCCTTTATTAAACTATAAATTTCTTGAGAAAAAGAAACTAAAATAAAATCAACAGGGCATGGTCTAGATTTTTGAAGAGCAAATTACATAGATAACTAATTATAACACACGGTGCTGTAATGACAGAGATAGAAGATGTCCCTTATCAGAACACTGACTGATTCAGCAGTTTCCATTTCCTTTTCTCACTCTCCACAACTCACAGAAGCCAGCTCTCAGAAATGGAATCACGAGTATGGAGGGGGTTCCCCTAAGAAGTGAGTGAGGGAATGCAATTCTGGGTATCACTGAGAGCTGGGAGGCAGAGGGTGGGGTGAGAAGGAGGCATTGCCTGTGATGTAGGTTTCTAATGATACAAGTGGCAGAGATACCTTTATTTGGAATTGGTAGCAATAGGGGAAGATACATGGATGCCAAAGCTCCGGTGAAACCTACCACGGCCCCTGATCTTGCTTCTGCTTCTCCTCCCTCAAGACTGGCACTAGCCATCATTGGGGTGGGAAGGAAACAGAGCCCATGTGTATTAAAAGACCTAAGTCTACAGACACTTAGAAAGGACAGAATTCCAAAGGCATGGTCGCACTTGGCTTCTGTCCTCTGTTATTCTCCAGCATCAAATGTATCAACTCTAACCCCTTTGGGGGGAATACAAGGCCTGTCCTGGTTTGGTCCCAATTTAGCTTTATCATCCATATTCACCCCCACTGCTCTGCAGCTCCACTGAAGCACCCCCTCTTTCCTCTGAACCCACAATGTCACACTCAGGACTCTGCCTCAGCTGGGCACTCATCTATAGATGCCTAAATCCCGGGCAGTTATCCAGACACAACTAAAGTTCCATCCCTTCCATGAAGCCTTCCCCAACCCTCTGGTGGAAGGTCACTTCTTCCCCTCGTGGGATTCTGAGCTTTCATTTCTTTTTCTACTAGGAGTCCTAGCACTTTCGGCTAAATGCTACAATTACCTGTTCATACACTCTACCTGCCCCCACGAGATCAGGGGCATCTCAGAAACAAAGATCATTAAAACCAACTAAATCTATTTCTCATTATAAAATGAGGTATGCTGATTGATTGTGAAAGAATAAAATAACAAAGTATGGAAAAGAAAAAAAAGCATATAATCTGGCTGAGAAGGTAGAGACCCTTCCACACCACTGAAATTATGTATTGAAAAGAATAAGTAAAAAACTGCTTCAATTTGGCATGATTTATGTAAGTATAGTATAGGATCCTTAAAATGGTTCAAAGAAATGGGAAATCAAGACTTCATTTTGGCCAAAACCATTGAACAGAAACTTCAGCATATTTATCAATAATTTCTTTCAGATTAAACAACTGACAACAACCTATTTTTCAACCAGTGATGTTGGAAATGTTTTTTTAAAAATTAGTTTATAAATTTGTGGGCTGACCAAGAAGGTAATAAAGTCTAACTAAGTAAAATGAGAAAAATTCAGAAAAAGAAAAAAATAAGAAAATAAATCACCCAGGGACCTATCACACAAATATAAGAACTATTCATTCTTTAAGGCATGTATTTCCAAGCCTTTGTATTTTTTTCCATGCTTAGGGTTGGCAAGGAATATATATATATTTGTACAAATATATATGTGTATATGTACAAATACATGTATATATAGTACAAATATATATATATATTTGTACAATTCTTCAGACTTTGTAGAATTTGTATAATGTCGTATCTTGCTTTTTTTAACCACTGATGTTATAAGCATATTTATGCCACTTCATTCATTTTAGAGACTTAATAATAAATGATCTAGTGGATAATTTATCATTCCCTGATGGAGAAAAATTTAGCTTTGTTTATTTTAGAGTTATAAACGATGCTGGGTCAGGTATCTTTATGTTTGAAGATGGCTCCATATTTGGGTTGTTTCCACAGAACTCTTTCCTAGAAATGCTTTTTCTAGGTTAATGGCTACAGATATTTCTAGGCACCTGACATATTGACACCCACCTCTAAAGTATTTTTATGATCCACAACTAGCGTTTAACACAGCGCCCTAGTCACTACATGACTAATAAATAGACAAATGACTGAAACATGACCTCATGCTTTCTATTCCTCCAGCTTTCATTCAGTTCTTTGCCTCTGGGAGGAGGAAGGGTTGTGCAGCCCTCCACAGCATCAGCCCATCAACCCTATCCCTGTGGTTATAGCAGCTGAGGAAGCAGAATTGCAGCTCTGTGGGAAGGAATGGGGCTGGAGAGTTCATGCACAGACCAGTTCTTATGAGAAGGGACTGACTAAGAATAGCCTTGGGTTGACATATACCCCTCTTCACACTCACAGGAGAAACCATTTCCCTATGAAACTATAACAAGTCATGAGTTGAGAGCTGAGAGTTAGAGAATAGCTCAAAGATGCTATTCTTGGATATCCTGAGCCCCTGTGGTCACCAGGGACCCTGAGTTGTGCAACTTAGCATGACAGCATCACTACGCTTAAAAATTTCCCTCCTCACCCCCAGATTCCATTTCCCCATCCGCCAGGGCTGCCTATAAAGAGGAGAGCTGGTTTCAGACTTCAGAAGGACACGGGCAGCAGACAGTGGTCAGTCCTTTCTTGGCTCTGCTGACACTCGAGCCCACATTCCGTCACCTGCTCAGAATCATGCAGGTCTCCACTGCTGCCCTTGCTGTCCTCCTCTGCACCATGGCTCTCTGCAACCAGTTCTCTGCATCACGTGAGTCTGAGTTTCGTTGTGGGTATCACCACTCTCTGGCCATGGTTAGACCACATCAATCTTTTCTTGTGGCCTAAAAGCCCCCAAGAGAAAAGAGAACTTCTTAAAGGGCTGCCAAACATCTTGGTCTTTCTCTTTAAGACTTTTATTTTTATCTCTAGAAGGGGTCTTAGCCCCCTAGTCTCCAGGTATGAGAATCTAGGCAGGGGCAGGGGAGTTACAGTCCCTTTTACAGATAGAAAAACAGGGTTCGAAACGAATCAGTTAGCAAGAGGCAGAATCCAGGGCTGCTTACTTCCCAGTGGGGTATGTTGTTCACTCTCCAGCTCACTCTAGGTCTCCCAGGAGCTCTGTCCCTTGGATGTCTTATGAGAGATGTCCAAGGCTTCTCTTGGGTTGGGGTATGACTTCTTGAACCAGACAAAATTCCCTGAAGAGAACTGAGATAAGAGAACAGTCCGTTCAGGTATCTGGATCACACAGAGAAACAGAGAACCCACTATGAAGAGTCAAGGAGAAAGAAGGATACAGACAGAAACAAAGAGACATTTCTCAGCAAAAATGCCCAAATGCCTTCCAGTCACTTGGTCTGAGCAAGCCTGCCTTCCTCAACTGCTCGGGGATCAGAAGCTGCCTGGCCTTTTCTTCTGAGCTGTGACTCGGGCTCATTCTCTTCCTTTCTCCACAGTTGCTGCTGACACGCCGACCGCCTGCTGCTTCAGCTACACCTCCCGGCAGATTCCACAGAATTTCATAGCTGACTACTTTGAGACGAGCAGCCAGTGCTCCAAGCCCGGTGTCATGTAAGTGCCAGTCTTCCTGCTCACCTCTATGGAGGTAGGGAGGGTCAGGGTTGGGGCAGAGACAGGCCAGAAGGCTATCCTGGAAAGGCCCAGCCTTCAGGAGCCTATCGGGGATACAGGACGCAGGGCTCCGAGGTGTGACCTGACTTGGAGCTGGAGTGAGGCATGTGTTACAGAGTCAGGAAGGGCTGCCCCAGCCCAGAGGAAAGGGACAGGAAGAAGGAGGCAGCGGGACACTCTGAGGGCCACCCCTACTGAGTCACTGAGAGAAGCTCTCTAGACAGAGATAGGCAGGGGGCCCCTGAAAGAGGAGCAAGCCCTGAGCTGCCCAGGACAGAGAGCAGAATGGTGGGGCCATGGTGGGCCCAGGATTCCCCTGCTGGATTCCCCAGTGCTTAACTCTTCCTCCCTTCTCCACAGCTTCCTAACCAAGCGAAGCCGGCAGGTCTGTGCTGACCCCAGTGAGGAGTGGGTCCAGAAATATGTCAGCGACCTGGAGCTGAGTGCCTGAGGGGTCCAGAAGCTTCGAGGCCCAGCGACCTCGGTGGGCCCAGTGGGGAGGAGCAGGAGCCTGAGCCTTGGGAACATGCGTGTGACCTCCACAGCTACCTCTTCTATGGACTGGTTGTTGCCAAACAGCCACACTGTGGGACTCTTCTTAACTTAAATTTTAATTTATTTATACTATTTAGTTTTTGTAATTTATTTTCGATTTCACAGTGTGTTTGTGATTGTTTGCTCTGAGAGTTCCCCTGTCCCCTCCCCCTTCCCTCACACCGCGTCTGGTGACAACCGAGTGGCTGTCATCAGCCTGTGTAGGCAGTCATGGCACCAAAGCCACCAGACTGACAAATGTGTATCGGATGCTTTTGTTCAGGGCTGTGATCGGCCTGGGGAAATAATAAAGATGCTCTTTTAAAAGGTAAACCAGTATTGAGTTTGGTTTTGTTTTTCTGGCAAATCAAAATCACTGGTTAAGAGGAATCATAGGCAAAGATTAGGAAGAGGTGAAATGGAGGGAAATTGGGAGAGATGGGGAGGGCTACCACAGAGTTATCCACTTTACAACGGAGACACAGTTCTGGAACATTGAAACTACGAATATGTTATAACTCAAATCATAACATGCATGCTCTAGGAGAATTCACTACTCGAATGGCCACCATTAAGCATAGTATTCTGTAGGGCATATTCATGATGAATCAAGCTCTTAATAGCAATTATTTACATTGTTGAGGCTTACTCCTCCTACTGAGCGCTTTTTATACATTGCTCATTTAATCTTACCAATGCAATAGTACAGCTTAGGTACTATTAATACCTCCACTTGACAGAAAAGTAACCCAGGGCTCAGAAAGGTTAGACAACTTGGCTGAGGTTACACAGCACGTAAACGGTCAATTGTGTTCCAAAACTGGACTTTTATTGAACTACAGACTATGCTGTTAACCATTGACCAAGTTATTTCCCAAAGTATGACCCGCCTATACTCAAATCTTACCCCATTCTTTAACAGATGATACTTTATCCATTGCAACCACTTCCTGTCAGGATTCTGAGTTGACATAGAGTGTTTGAGCAGTGATTGTTGAAGCCACTTAAATAGGATCTTTAAGTGTAGACCTGGGAACTGATATTTTTATCAAGCTCATGAGGTGTTCCATAGCATGTTAATGACTGAGAGCCACTGTCAATAGAATTCACCACTGTTTTCTAAATGTGGTAAGTCTCTGCATATGGCAACAGGTGTATTATACATTATTTCTCTAGAATCTACACTCTACAAAATAAATAGCTAATGTTAGAGAAGGAAAAGACAATCAGCTTCTGTGTGGAGCAGGATGCTGTCTATAGGTTTACTGTGAAAGGTAAGTTATTTAATAGATGGATTGTTTGCATTATCTGTACAAGAAATCCATACTAAGCTAGGGTCCTTTTTGCAGAAGAAAGAGAAATTCAAAATATTTGTGTGAAAACCAAACGTGTTAATTTTTACGAGCTATGCTTATTTCATTTTGTTTCAAATAATCTATTTTTTGTGTCCAAACATGTTTAGAATTGTAGTGTTCCAACTCTTTAAAGCATAAACACTACTACTTAGCAAATATTAAAATGCATATACTATGTGAACTACATCCCATTTGACCTGATCCCATTTCTAGGAATCTGCTTCATAGAAACACTGCCAAAAGATAAGATATGTAGACATGAGGATATTCTTTGCAGTGTGGTTGGCAAACAGCAAAGAAATGCAAACAGTCATCAGTAGGGGATTAATCAGTAGAGGATTAAGATGTCCATCAGTGGAATATTCTGAAGTCAGTAAAAAAAAAGTAGCACACATCTATAACTGTGGAAAGTGTCCATAATATTATATGTAAAAGGCAGACCTAATTACATTCAGTATATGCATATATATTCTCTACATATGCTATGGAACTATCTGTAAAGTATATTATTTTGTTTTATTTTTAAATGCCATATATACATATATATTTACATAGGCAAATATTTGGAAAGATACACATCAAATAGCTAACTGATTTCTTTGAGGAAATGAGGCTTTTTTTTTTTTTTAGGAATGAGGGTTTTTCCTTTTTATATTCTGCACTTTTAAAACTTTGAGTTATTTTCTGATTAGCTTGCATAGCTTACCTCTCTGGTCTCATCTTACCCTATTCTTTGATGGGTGATATTCCATCCATCACAACCACTTTCTGGTAGGGATTCTGAGTTGATGCAGAGAGGATAGAGCTCAACCTGGCTTATACTGTTTTGATGCCATGATGGCTTTCATATAATGAGGGTACAGCAACAAACACGTCTTTTTGACAAGGCTGTTTCTCTCTCTCTCTCTCTCTCTCACACACACACACGCACACACACACACACACACACACACACACACACACAAGCAGCTTTTGTCCCCATAGACGCAGTGAAGGTGTCATCATTCCTTCTTTATTGGCTTTCAGGAAAAAATATAGGGGCATACAATATTTGCCTGCACTGAATTGTTTCTCAAGGTCTAGAAACCCAAAGCTAAACGAAGTTTAATCATGCCCAACATTCCCTAAATACAAGTGTTATGAACAAACAGTAAGTTGAACAAAGACCCCTGATAGGGAACTGGAGAATGGGTACTGCATTTTTAAGCAGTTCAGCTGATCTGGCAGTCCCTAGCTCTCCTCCCTGGGAGAATGTCCTCTATGGACAATCTGAGATGTGCAATGTGGAGGATCTGCTTTCTGGAGGCTGCTGACTTCCTGTCTGTGTGAGTTAGCCTGAGGTTGCCTTAGGTATTGTGCAATCAGCAACTTTTTGGAACCAGTCTTATGGTTTCTTTGGCAATGTGACTCCCTTCTAATGTCTGTAGGCTACTATTTGCTTCTGATCAATTCCATGGGCCAGGTAGCCAGAAGCAGACAGGTTGTCAGTTACATAGTTTGCATTTGCATTTTAACTGGGGTTGGGGATGTGCATTTTCTTTTTTCTTTTTTTTTTTTTTTTTTTGAGATGGAGTCTCCCACTATCACCCAGGCTAGAGTGCAGTGGCGTGATCGCGGCTCACTGTAACCTCCGCCTTCCGGGTTCAAGCGATTCTCCTGCCTCAGCCTCCCAAGTAGCTGAATTACAGGTGCCCGCCACCACACCCAGCTAAGTTTTTATATTTTTAGTAGAGATAGGGTTTCACCATGTTGGCCAGGCTGGCCTCTAACTCCTGACCTCATGATCCGCCAGCATTGGCCTCCCAAAGTGCTGAGCTTACAGGCGTGAGCCACTGCGCCCAGCTGGGGATGTGCACTTTCTAGCACAGACTGCACTACCATTGTCACCCCGACCTCCCAGCCCCTGGTGAGAGACCTCTGCCTGCATCTTGGCCCATGTGGAGGTGATGAATATTTGACGCTTGGCCTCATTATGTCTCTCATCTTCCTGTCTCTGCTCATGCTAACTTTATCTTAGAGTAGAAAATCCTGCATTTACAGCCCTTTCAGTCTTCAGATTACTGGATTCTCAGTCAACAGGCTGGAAGGGCCTTTTTAGCAAGTCGCATTTCTTCTTTTTCAATTTCAGATGAGCCCATTTCAAAGTAGCCTAAACTCTTTCTTAAAGGACCTTACTGATATAATACACAGCAACTAAATTCCAATATTCAGAATCTTTTCTAACAAATTCCTTAATGCTGCAGCCTTGGTATTTGGCACAGGCTTTTAGCACCAAAATAAGACAGACCATAGTTCAACCAGCACGTGCAATACCTTGTAATGGGTATGGCAAAAGGTAGTGCCCAGACAGGACAGCATGGTGAATATCACCTGGGAACTTGGGAGAAAGGCATATTCTGAGCCCCACTTCCTTTCTTAATAGACTAGGGCCCAGCAACCTGTGTTTTCACAAGGCTCCAGGTAATTCTGATGCATGTAAGGTTTAAAACTCACTTCCATTTCACAAGGTCCTCACCAAATTACCTCCTACTTTCTCATTTCAGCCAGTTCCACACTTCAGTCAGGGCCTGTGACTTTTAACAAACCCTGTGTCTCTGCACAGATGCAGATCTCGTATCTCTCAGGATGCTGGCAGTTTCCAGGCAGAAAGCAAACAAGCAAACCAAACTCAAAGAGGCTTTGAGTAAATGCACCTTGTGGCTCCAAGACTATAGGGCATCGAGGTGGCCCTAGCTCCAGGCAAGGCTGGACGCAGCGGCCCTGTGGTATCTCATGAGTCCTCTTTGCTTCTCTTTCTGATCTCCCTTTCCTGTGAGAGGCCCTGGGTGGCTGCCAGTACCTGCCAGTGTACATGAATCCTTGTTCATTTTCTGCAGGGAAGAGTGAGTCTGTGTTCCCATTGGAAAAAACATCACTAGGCCCTTTTGGATTTGACTGACTTAGGAACCGAATTCCTAACCAGTCGCTGTGGTTATGGGGATGGGTTTCATTGATTTGCTTAAGTTAATCAAGGCACATAACTTGAATCTTTGGGTTTACTGAATTTTACATAAACTTAAAGCCTGAGAATGGTGGGGAAGGGGGTTTGCCCTGAAGAAATGTGAGTTTCTGGCATCAGGGAACATGCAGAATAGATGCTGGTCAGGAAAAACAAGTTTTCACTATAATGTGTTTGTCTTTTTCCTGTTATTTTTGTCTTGATGATATAAAAGGCACTAATACTTTGTGTGTGGTAAACATTTCTTCTCCTATGCTCTCTAGATTAGAAACTATTAGTCGTCCACTTTCCTGAATGACTTTATTTTTAATGAGATGCTGACTTGTGTTATTTCCAGTTGCCCAATGAATGACTATTGCCCAAATCTAGGGCAAAAGAGACATAAACTCTTCATGATGTCAAGGTAACCACTAGAAAATGGGGCTACATACCCACTCCAGAACATACTGAGAAAGGTAGAACTGGCCCTGCCATAAGCACTACCCACCTTCCTTCATAGAAGCCAAAGATCGGGCACTGAGGATGCAGGAGGAGATGAGACAATTCTTAGAACAATGAGTCCTCAATAGAAATTGTCCATATTAAGGAACAGAAGGGAGTCCTTTCATAGTGGATGGACAAAGGGGTAGACAAGGAGACTGCAAGCGAAGGAGACACTTCATACTTGCCGTTTTTATTCCTCCTCTTTCCTGGGAACTGCACCCACAAAAATACATTATGTGGGATTGACCACATCCCAAATGCTAGGTGGCTCCTGATTAAAATAAGCTGATTTGCATCTTGAGTTTTTTAAGCTTACCATAACATAAGCATTTCTCATGTCACTGCATTGTTTGTAAAGGCTGCCTAATAGCCAATCAAGGGAAGATCCCATAATTTTCTTAGCCATTTCCATATCATAGGCAATTTAAATTGGGTCCAATTTTAAGTTGCTATAAATATGCTGGGGACCAAATACACTTATGCATTGTTCATTTTTTCCATATTTGAATTTATTTCTATGGAGAATAGATTCCTAGACATGGACCCTCTTGGCCAAAGGCTAAGAACATTTATTTCAAGGTTCCTTATGCATATTAGCACCCATATTAAACACATCTTTAGGTCCTTGGCTTAGCGCATATCTCTCTTGAATGAACAGATGTCTGAAAGCCTGGCTGTACTCTCATCGCTCAGTAGCTCAGGCTTTGCTAATACAGCTCTGTCCATCTGTGTGTGATTGAAGTTGGGCTGTGCTGCTCAGGACTCCTGGCATCATTGCATAAGTCAAGTCTACACCGTTAGAACAGCTGTGGGATAACAGAGAAGTTTCTGCTCTGCCAGGGAAAATATGACTACAGAGCTTTAGTGAGAAGGAAGTAGCTAAGTGTGGTCTGGGGTAACACCAATATCTCACCTCCTGTTGCTGTGGAAACCACTTCCCCACAAACAGCCCCAAGACAAGTGAGCACTTGAACTGTTCCTGCAAATACCCTGAGCCCTGTGGTTACCCAAGACCCCCTTGCATGTGCAAGTCAACAAGACACCACGGTGCTTAAAAAACATCCTGTCTCATGAGCCCCGGTTTCCATCTTCCCATGACTCAGGGCTTACCTCTTTAGAGAAGGGGACACAGCTCAGACCCCACAGCTGGTGACTGAGTGCCCAAGTCCTATCCTCTTCTGCTCACACTCTTGGGCCCTCACGTCCTCCTCTCTCACGATGCCCCCCTGTTCCTGGGCCTCCTCTCACGAGTCAGTCTTTGTCCTGCCTTTTGCTGTTGTTCCCTGCACTCTCTGGCTGGGGTCAAACCACATCGCCAAAGTCCAGGGACAGAGGTACCCAAGTGAAACAGAGAACTTCCTAAGGGATTTTCAAAATGCCCTGGGCTATCTGTTCAGGAAGATTTTCTTCCCCAAAGTGTTTTCACTTTCTATTCTATAAACCTTAAAGGCAGGGTACGGTCTTGTCCTACTTAGTGAAGGAGAACATTGAGTAGGTTTCAATAAGGGGCAGAACCCAGCTACAATCGCTTCCTGGTGGCCAGCTGAGTCATAAAATTGCCACAGGTCTGCCTCACAGGTGATTTGCAGAGATGGCCTCTTGCTGGAAAAATTTCTTCTTAGACCATATTATGTTCCCCCAGTAGAGCTGGAATAAGAGGCAGACTATCTAACTAGCTGCAATTTCTACAGAGGGAGATGGAGGCCAAACCTAAGGCTCAAACAGAAATGGAAGGGAAAAGTGGGGAAACAAGAAATCCCCAACTTCCTGCTGGTTCTTCTCACCCCCAAATCTCCAACTTCCTGCCAGTTCTTCTCATCCCCAAATCATCCCCTGAACAGTGCTGTCTCCATCTACTTCCTTCTGATTTTATCACTGGGTAGAAGGAGTTGGCTCACTTGTCCCCAGTGAAAAATGACTCAGGGTCACGCTGCTCCTTCCCTCAGAATGCCCAGGTCCCCAAGCACCCAGGCATCTGCTGCTTTTCCTAGGACCCCCAGAAGCCCCCCTAGCAAAATGGTAAATGGCAATTATGAGACTCACTGCTGGTGCCAGGCGAGGGCTGGTGCTTCTGCCCATCTCTGGAGAGAAGCAGGACTTGGAGGGTGGCAGCCTGCAAGGGCACCAGTCGGTTTGAGGGCCATCCTGGGGACCCCAGGCCTTTGAGGTCCTATCTGGTGGTGGGACACAGGGAAGGGCCATAGAGGTGTTTTCTGGCCTGACCTGGGGTCTGCAGGGAACCAGGGAAGAGCTGCCCCTGGCAGAGGGAAGAGAGGAGGAAGTGTTAGCAGGAGGAGGCTGCCTGAGGAGACCGCCTGAGCCACTGAGGTAAAGTCTAGGGAGCTGAGGTTGGGCAAAGAATCTTGAACAAGTGGATAGGCCCTATGCTTGCCAAGACAGAGATGGGAAGGCAGCATGGGACCAGGAATTCCCTTGCTGATTCCTCAATTTTTATAACTGTCTCTTTTAACAGCTTCCAGAATGAAAGTGGCTGAGGCTGGCATGTCTGTGCCAACCCCACCAAGTTCTGGTGCCAAGTGCATCATTGATCTCAGAGTCAAATCCCTGAGTGACCTGGAAGCAACAAGACACTGTTACGTTTGTGGCAGATTAGGAAGCAGGGACCCAGGCCCTAGGGACGTCCCTTCAATTCCTGAACCTACCCCTACCCAAGCAACCACACTCTGGGACTCTTCTTAACATGCATTTCAACTTATCTAGACTATTTAATTTTTGTAATGTATTTCTATGCGTTCTTGACTGCTTGTCAGAAGGGACTTCACAACACCCTCTACGCCCCTTCCTCAGCCCCTCCAGTCACACAGCGGCTGACACATATTCAGGCACATGGCTATTCTTTGTGGCTCTCATACAAGGTGGGTGGCTACGTTCAGCTTTTTCTAGAGGACATTGTTCCAAAGCTGTCAACCAACAAATATTTATAGAACATTATTTACCATTTCTATGTTCAGCTATGTAAAATAATGAATTTGTTTTGAGTAAACCAGTCTTAAACTGTTGGTGATCCTATTGGCTTTGTTTTGTGACAAAGCAAGGTGGTGGGATGGGAGGGGAAGAGTAGAAAACTCTGAAGAGGGGAAGTCAACAGAAAGGAAATGACGGTAATGCCTCTCCCCAAATAATGAAACACTACTTTATAAAACAAGGATTATTTTATAAAATATTATGCACCCAGTGTATAATGCATATGCACTAGGTAAATTCATGCTTGATATATATATTCATGCATTTAAGTTTATTTTTCTCATGGGTCAAGCTCTCTTAAAAATTATTCATTGTCCTTCAAATTCTAACAATGTCTCCAAGGGCTAAGTATTATTAATATTCCCATTTGATAGAAGAGGAAATGTTGGCTCAGAGGGTTAAAACAACTTGTCCAAGGCCATGCAGCAAATAAATAGTGTAACTAATATGCAAACCTATGAGCATTCCAGAACCACCTGGGATGGTCGTTTAAAATGCTCACAAGAGAATTGGGTTTGGATGTGGGAATCTAGACTTTTACCAAACCCCTATGTGATATACATACAGACCAAAGACCAAAAACTACTGAATTTCTCAATAAAACTGGTTTTTGTTTTTTTGTTTGTTTGTTTGTTTGTGTTTTTGAGATGGAGTCTTACTTGGTCACCCAGGCTGGAGTGCAGTGGTGTGATGTCGGCTCACTGCAACCTCCACCTCCCAGGTTCCAGTGACCCTCCTGCCTCAGCCTCCCAAGTAGCTGGGATTACAGGTGCATGGCACTACACCCGGCTAATTTTTGTATTTTTAATAGAGACGGGTCTTCACCATGTTGGCCAGGCAGGTCTTGAACTCCTGACCGGAGAGATCCGCCTGCCTCAGGCTCCCAAAGTGCTGGGATTACAGGCATAAGCCACTGTGCCCGGCCTCAATAAGAATTTAACCACTCTTTTAAAAATAAGACACACATGGTAATAGACATCTTACCTGGGTATTATTTCCCTAGAATCCATGCTCCACAAAATCAGTGGTTAACATTAGAGAAAGGAAAGACAGTCAGCCAATATATACAACAAGACTTCTATTGTGAATGCAGAATTATTTGACGGATTGCCTAGATTGAGGTTAAGAAACTATGGTCCTCAGAACAAATCTAGCATGACCCTGTTTTGTAAATAAAGTTTGGTTGAAACACAGCCACTCCTGCCCTTTTACATATTATTTATTGCAGCTTTCCCAAGACAAAGGTGGAGTCACATTGTTCTAACAGAAATGATATAACCCACAAAGACACCAGTATTTACTATCTGGCCTTCTATAGAAAATGTGTGCTAACTTCTGGCCTGTTATGTTTTTAAGTATAAGAAAGTTAGACTGAGTCAGGATTCCTGCTGTAAAATGCAAGTGGGAGAAATTCAACATACTTGTGAGAAATGCAAGATATATTAACTTTTTGATAAGCCCTACTTACTTTGTGTGTTTAAAACAATCTATTTTTTAGTATCAAAAAGTGACATTTTGATAATCGGCATTTTTGAAGAGAAATTACACAGTCTGTAGAAAAATTTAAAATTTACATACTCTTCAATCTTATTTCTAGGAATCTATTTCAAGAAACACTATCTAAAGAAACAAAGGAGGGCCAGGTGCAGTGGTTCACTCCTATAATCCCTGCTCTTTGGGAGGCCAAGGCAGGTGGATAGCTTGAGGTCAGGAGTTGGAGACCAGACTGGCCAACACGGTGAAACCTCATCTCTACTAAAATACAAAAATTAGCCGGGCATGGTGGAAGGCGCCTGTAATCTCAGCTACTTGGGAGGCTGAGGCAGAAGAACTGCTTGAACCCAGGAGGCAGAGGTTTCAGTAAGCCGAGATGGCACCACCGCACTCCAGCCTGGGTGGCAGAGTGAGACTCTGTCTCAAAAAAAAAGACACAAAGTGTTGGCACATTGCTGTTGTTTGCAGCTCTGTTTGTAAAACAACCAATAGAAATAAATTCTTTAAAAGATGAATAGTTTAAACCATTGTGGTATAACCACATAATAAACACAAAATTACTGAAAAGAATGAAGTGGATATACATAGTGAAATGAAAGGTATCTAAGATATTAATGTAAAACTATGTATATAGAATATACATTCCATATGTGTATCTCTATACCAATATCTATATTACCACATATTTATTATATAACTGTACATATAATAATATTTTGCTTTGGTAAAAGCTATATATATTTACATAAACATAAGAAGGACATTTGATGTGTGTGATATATCCCAATCTATTAAATGTGATTTCCCTGGCAACCATAACTTTTAAGAAATGAGGATCTCCACTTTTCATTTTCCATTCTTTGTGCTTTGATTTTCATAAGTATGAGTATGTGATTTTTAACTCAAAAACCAAGATTTGAGAAGCTGGGGCCTTGCACTAAAAACTGGTTCTCTCTTAGTCCTCTTGAACCACTTGCTCTGGGTCCCTCATTGAGGGGACAAGCTTTGCAGATTTCAGTCTAGTTCAGAGAACTTCAGGAATGCTCGCTGCTGTTATGTTACCCATTCTATGAAGAGATCAAGGCAACAAACATGTCCTGTCTAGACCCAAAGAGTACATTTTGACTCTCTCTCTCTCTCTACACACACACACACACACACACACACACAAACACACCTGCATAAATAGCTTCTCTCATGCAACATTTTATATTCCCTTCCAATTTTGAGATATTCCTCCTCTAGCCCGTCATAGCAAACCAGCTAGGGCAAGTGTGGGGGCATTATCCGGAATCATGATAGTAGCCATCTCTGCCTTGATGAAGCCATAGAGTCTCATTCTTTCTTCCCCTAAGGCCTCTCAACATCTGATGACTGGCACCATTGGCCCATGAACTTTAAAATATTTCAAATAGATCTAGGATTTATTTCACATCTCAACAACATGAATATTGCATAAATCCTTCATATATTAGATGAATACTAAACTGACAGCCTATTATAATCGGGGGAAAGGAAAAGCAAAAGATTCTAATAGACTGCAAGTTCACATTGGCTAGGTCTCTTTCCTTGGTTAACCTCTTTTTTAAGAGTAAGTGGCAGACAAAGTAGGGTTCACTAAATAGTCCACATGTTCCCCTTCATGGCATTTGCATTGGGCTCTTGTGGCTAATTTTGGCCAATGAATTGTAAGATTAAGTGAAGCATGTCACTTCTGGACCAAGACAGTTAAAAGCAGTATGCCTTTTCTGTCTTCTTTCTCATTCCAGAATCTACAGCTACAGGATGGAAGCAGCCTGAATTCCTGAGTCACCACCTGGAGGAGAGCTGCTCTAGGATCAATACTGCTCAGAGTGTAGTTCATGGGTCAGCAGCATCAGGATCACCTGAAACCTCATTAGAAAGGCAGAATCTTGAGTCTTACCAAGACCTGTAGAATCAGAGTCTCAGGTGGAACCCAGGAATCTGTGTTTAGACAAGCCCACCAGTGGATTCTGATGCAACTAAATTGTGAGATCCAGTGATCTAGCCCACATCAGATTTTGTATGAGTGGAAAACTTTTACCTTGTTAGACCACTGGGAGTTTGTTTGTTATCTAGGTACAACCTATTCTATCCTTACTTATATATAGACTATAAACATAAAATGCTTAACTGTTCTCCAATCATCAGCTCCACCTTAACATCTTGGGGAGATCCTATCACGTTTTGGTCACATCCAGTTATTAAAATTCCTTCAGTTTAGAACCCTAATCTTAAATTTGACTTAACTAACATTTCTACTTCTTCCTTTCTCCTCGCCCTTCACCAGAGCAAAACAGGCTCTGGTAGTTGGAGTGTGATGAAGCTTTAGTTTGGTTCTGAGATACCCTCTCTCCTTCTCTTTTTAACTCCTCTGGCATGTTGGAAAGAGGGGTTGTCTGTGTGGGGTAATATAAAGAGAAAATTTTGCTGGTTGTGGTGGTTTGTACCTGTAATCCCAGTGCTTTGGGAGGCCAGGGCCAGAGGAACACTTGAGGCCAGGAGTTGGCGACCAGCCTGGGCAACACAGTGAGATCCTGTCTCTACAAAAAAAAAAAAAATTTAATTAGCAGGCATTGTAGTGTGCAGCTATAGTCCTAGCTACTCAGGAGGCTGAGGCAGGAGGATCGCTTGAGCCCAGAAGTTCTAGTCTGCAGTGAGCTGTGATCACACCACTGTACTCCAGCCTGGGTGACAGAGCAAGACCCTGTCTCTAAAAGAATTTTTTTTAATTTAAATGTTTAAAAGAGAGAGGGGAAAGAATTCTTTTAACTGCCTACAGATGTAGTCCCTGCCCCCACTGCTAGGTTATCCCTGCATCTTTTAAAAAAATATTGAAGTTATGGGCAATGCATGTATATTTCCCTCGGATAGATGGGCATTCCTGAGGGTCCTCTCTCTGCATAGTTTCTTAGGTGAGAGATCCCACCCTTGCCCAACATCTTTCACCTCTCTCTTCTGCTCACACCACTGGCAGCATACCCTGGGCCTTTGCTAGCCTGGAAGACACCATTGAGCATGTTACAAAAAAGCACCATGGAGCACACCTAGCCCTGTGTGAGTGCAAGACCTTACAGGTGATGGGCAGACTGGCTTTCAGCACCCTCTTGCCCACACATCCAGGGGCCTTTGTAGACAGCGGCCCTGAGACCACCCCATCAGCTACTGCTGTTAAGATCCTTGTAAGCTAAGCAGTGGATCTCCTATTGGTAGGATGAGCACTTTAAGACTCAAAGGGGTTACTATTAATAACTATGCTGGCACAACTGGCATAAACTGGGTCATTTCCCAGACAAAATGGGACATGTGATTCCCCCAACCTTTGCGGAGTGTCACTGGGAGGATGGCTCGAGCCCAGCTCCCTTCCACAGGATCACTCGGCCAATGGAAAGCTCATTCCATGTGGTGGGAGAGCAGCCTCCAGCAATCCTTTTCCCTGCTTTGGTTCCTATCTTCTGTTTTCTTCTCCCCTGCTCATTTTGGCTCAGGCAAATCATGAGGTTCACCATGTAAGCTGACATCCAACTGGAAAATGAGTTGCCTTGTTTGCAGGTACTTCCAGTTTGTACAAGTTACCCTCTGGAGACCCCTTCACTGGGCTTCAAGAGCAGTTAGAAGTAAAGACCTCTCCTTCACAAAGGTGGAACCCACTAGGCTGGCCACTTTCTTTCCTTTTCCTATGTCTACAATGCCCTGGAAGGATTGTCTGGCCCCAGTTGTTAGTGACTTAGTTTAGAATATAAAGTCTATAATGAAAACTTAGTCTCAGATTTGGGAACTAGCCATCATTTGTGGGGCAACAGGGTATATCCCGATCAAAATCTTTTTACAAAACCGGTAAAATAATTCAGGAAAGACCAGGCACAGTGGCTCACGCCTGTAATCCCAGCACTTTGGGAGGCCAAGGCGGGCAGATCACCTGAGATCAGGAGTTCGAGACCAGCCTGGCCAACATGGTGAAACCCCATCTCTACTAAAAATACAAAAATTAGCTGGGCGTGGTGGTGCGTGCCTGTAATCCCAGCTACTCAGGAGGCTGAGGCACAAGAATCACTTGAACCCAGGAGGCAGAGGTGGCAGTGAGCTGCGATCATGCCATTGCACTCCAGCCTGGGCGACAAGAACAAAAACTGTCTCAAAAAATAATAATAATAACAATAATAATTATTATTATACAGGAAAATACAGAATGGCAAAGGGGTATATTATTACTGCATTATTAATGTAAAAATTGAGTATAGTGTTGAATAAAGTGAGAAAATCCCTAAGACAACTGGCATATAACAGGAGAGTCTGAATTGAACCCCCAATTTGGGAAGAACATGCTTGATGTGATGTAATCACAGGCAGGGGATTGGTCATCTTCACATATAAAGACAGAATTAATATGAGAAAGTTACATACATTTGGTAGATACTAGTTGGGTTCCAAGGTCTTTCTCTCTTTCTTTCTCTTTTATCCTTACATGATTCTTCGGAAAAGCAACCCCTCTGGTAGTCTGTGTGGTTTTCAGCCCATCAACATTGCTTGTTATAGACATTGATCAGCTGAAACAAATCAGTAAATCCACTTCTCTGGCCACAAAGATGAATTAAGATACAGGTTGGCAAACTTGCTCTGTAAAGGACCAAATGGAAACTACTTCAGGTTTTGTGGGTCATACAGTGTCTTTCACAACTACTCAGCTCTGCTTTGTCGTATGAAAATATGATTCATTCCAGGTAAGGAGTCCTTGCTAGACTGTGGGCTGTAAACAATACAGAAACAAATAAACCCAACTGCATTCCAATAAAACTTTTTTATGGACACTAAAACTCCAATTTCATACAATTTTCATATTTCTCAAAATAATCTTCTTTTGGATGTTTTCAATGACTTAAAATGTAAAAACATCTTAGCTCGCAGGCCATACAAAAACAGGTAGTAGGTCAAATTGGGCCCAATGGCCATAGTTTGCTGGCCCCTGGGTTAAGAGATGGGCTCTTAATCCAAGCCAGCCAGACCAATAAAAGTGGAACTCAGGCTCTTGGCTCAAAATACGAGGATACAGACATTGTCTTCCCAATTTGCTCTGGAAGTTTCTGGAAGCTATTCTGCCAATAGAGTAACTAGGATGAATATAGTAACTTCTTTCTAGGATGAAGCTCTCAAATGCAGGGAGATCAGAAATTCAGAAAGACATGTATAGTCCATAGCGAAACAAGGACCACTGAATCAAGTTTTGCCTGAAACTAATTCTATTTCTTGAAGCTTCAGTTATGTGAACTAATAAGTTCCCTTTATCATTTAAGCCAGATTGAGTTATTTTTCTGACACTGTGACTTAAACCATCCCTAACTAACATAGACTGCAATGTTGTAAGTATGGGTCCCCAAACGTGGAACTGGCTGAAGGCAGTAGCTAAGGTCAAAGTCAGTGGGGATACCTCTAGTTACCAAAATTGCCGGTTACCCCCATGGCCTGTTATATATTCTAAGTCCATCTTCGAGCCAAAGTTTTATCAAAAACGAAAATTCAGGGTATTGGAGACTATTTCTTGCATCAGTCTTAGTAAGGCCCACTAAGAAAGAAATTAACTTACTTTGAAACTGATTCTTCTGATAGCAGAGAAGGGGAAAAAAAGTAGTTTTTTAAAGAAATGTACTTTCTGCTTGCTGCCTGAAAACCAAGCTAATTAAGAATCCTGTGATCTGGAGCTTGCAGGACTAGAAGAGCAGAATTTTCCAGTCCAAGCTAATGTTAATATAAGCAAAAATGAGGAGGTGAGAGATTAGGCAGGACAGGAAAGCAGGTCCCGAAGCAGCCAAATCCACCTCCTTCTCAGATCCCACATTGTAAATATTTATCTTGATGATAAAATGAATGTATTAGTCAGTTATCCAGAAAAACAGAAACAGTAGGCTATTTCTCTCTATAGATATAGATTGGATACCAATGTTGATATAGATATAAATACCGAGATATTTATTAGGGGAATTGGCTCCCACAATTACGGAAGCCAAGAAGTCCTGCCATCTGCAAGCTGGAGAACCAGGAAAGCCAGTGGTGTGATTTGGTCTGAAGGCCTGAGAACCAGGGCAGCCAAAGTTGTCAGTCCTGGTCCAAGTTCACAGACCTGAGAAGGGGTCAAGAAGGGTAGGTGATGGTACAAGTCCCTGTCTGAGTCTGAAGGCTCAAGAATCGGAAGCGTGGATGTCAGAGGGCAGGAGAAGATGGATGTCCCAGCTCAAACGCAGACAGCAAAGTCACCCTTCCTCAGCCTTTTTGTTCTATTTGGGACCTCAGTGAATTGGATGATGCCTGCCTGCATTGGTGAGGGCAGATCTTCTTTAGTCTTCTGATGCTAATCTCTTCTGGAACACCACACAGACACACTCAGAAATGATGTTTATCAGCTACCTGGGTATCCCTTAGCTTAGTCCAGTTGACGCGTAACATTAACCATCACAATGAACAGCTGTGCTCTTTGTGAAGGTGCAGCTGTATTCATCAGAGGCAGGGAGCTAAAGACGCTGACCTTCGCACTTGTTTCACCAGCAGGGGGCAATGTGGAGTCAATACAATGGGGGAGCCGGTGGGCGGCGGAAGGGATGACCACAGAGCTCCCAGTGCTGTGCTGGAAGAGACGTGTTAAAAACCCAGTTCTAGAAATAACTGTATCTGATAGATTTTCTGCTTATGATTAACCATCCAATGGAATGAACCAAAAATAACTAGATCAGATGCCTTCAAAAATTAGAACGGAGTTGCAGTGCCTCTGAAACCTTAATGCTGGTTAAAAACAGCCTGTGACCCCACACCAACAGTGGTTCTCAAACTTGGCTGTGCATTAACATCCCCTGGGGAGTTTTTAAATTACTGATGCCAGGCCCCCACATCAATCCAATTAAATTCATAACTTTGGAGGTGAGGACCTGGCATTAGAATTTTTAAAAGCTCTCCTAAGTGATTCTAATGTGAATTCAAGGTTGAGAAGCCGTGTTCCACACTTAAGCCAAAGCCCTGTTCTACACTTAAGCCAAAGCCCTGTTCTACACTTAAGCCAAAATCAACAGACATCTCCAACAGGAAACAGACACCTCTATAAGCAGTATTCCTTCTTCAGAGGGTTGCCAGATACAATTTAGGATACCCTGTTAAATTCGAGTTTCAGAAAAAGAACAAATCATTTTTGGTACAAGTAGGTCCCAAATATTGCATGGGATATACTTACACTAAAATAGTATCCATTCTGTATTTTTATTTGCTAACTCTGGCCACCCAGCCCCAAGCCTCATCTCGTATAGTCATGGAAAACATCCTCCCCAAAAGCAGAGTGGAGAACAAAGATAACATTACCAAGGCTTTCAGCAACTTCCAGGTAAGGAGTCCTTGCTAGACTATGGGCAGTATTTGCTAGACTTTTACTAATATAAGTACTTAGCCCAAAACCCAGCACTTGGTAAGACCTCAACAGATGTTAGCCATCATTCTGAGGAAAGCTTCATTTATGAAAATGAGCTTGTGTGCGTAAATATGCATTGCAGCGTCATCTTGATATTCATTTAAGTAGAAAATTTTTCTATCACATTTCAGTTACAATATGGTTTATAAACTAATGGTGTCTGTTTCAACTTTTCAGGAAAGTATCTCCAGGGAAATGTCTGGTATGACTGTAGAAGTACTTGGTCCCTATCTTGCTGTTTCTGCCCCTTTTCATATTTCCCTACTCCTCCCCCAGAATTCCTCTCAGTCTGTGATTCCGATTAGTGAAACAAAATCAACAGAGTCGTCACAGTGAGAATGCTGGTTTACCTTTTATATAATAAGTACTGCCAATATATTAAAAGGTGGTGCTGAGCAAAACCATTCAATAAAGATTTGTCATTTGATACATATGGCACAATGTCTGCTGAGAAAGCTAATCACACTGATTGATCCATGCATTGAATGTACGAAGAGTTGAAGGGAAAGGGGAAAGGATGATAAAGACAATGTCATGAGATGTCAGAGAAAATACTAATTTCATAATGCAGCTCAACAATAGAAATCAATTTCAAAATGAAATATGATGCATAAACTAAGATTAAAGTTAGTTAATGTGGCTGGGCATAGCAGATGGGACTCTTAGAAGAGGTAGCCTCCAGGGTGGCAGGGCCATTGCCCTGGCTCAGGCTCCTGTTCCCTCCTGGGCCCACCAAGTTCACTGGGCCCTCGCAGCTTCCAGGCCCCTCAGGCATTCAGCTTCAGGTCGCTGATGTATTTCTGGACCCACTTCTTATTGGGGTCAGCACAGATCTGCCGGCCTCTCTTGGTTAGGAGGCTGTGGAGAAGGGAGGAAGAGTTAAGAACTGACGAATTCATCAGGGGAATCCTGTGGCCCCTGCGTCCTTCTCTGTCCCAGGCATCTCAGGGCCTGTCCTCGTGCCCGTAAAATTTCCCCTTAACTTCGGGGTTCACAGGCCTTCCCCAAATGTCTCAGATGGGGTTCCTCAGGAAGCAAACTTCCTGTTGTCATGTCTGCTCTCTTCCCTCTGCCCAGGGGCAGGCCCTTCAGGACTCTGCAGGCCCCAGGCCAGGTCACAAAACACTGCAGGGGCCTCCCCTGGAGTCCTTTACCTTGATGGGCCTTAGAGAGCTGAGTACTCTGAGGGGACCTCACCCCAAACCTCCCATCCTCCCTCCCGAGGGGTGGGCAGGAGCACTGGCACTTACATGACACCTGGCTTGGGGCACTGGGGGCTGGTTTCAGAATAGTCAACTATGAACTTTTGTGGAATCTGCCAGGAGGTATAGACGAGGCAGCAGAGCTCTTTGTTGGTACCAACTGCAAGAGACAGGACAGAAAGATCCCAAGTCATTGTTCACAAGGCAAGCCAGCTGCTCCTGGTCCCTTTCCTTGAGAGTCAGGAAGAACTGGGAGATATCACCGCTTGGGGTGGGGATATAGGGACAAAGAGATCCAGAAGGAAGCTGGCATTTCTTCTTTTCCCTGACATTTTAATTTCTGCATCTTTCTCTTGGTGTTTCTCATTCTCTGGCTGTCTTGGTTCTGGGTCTCTATGTCTCTTTACTGGAAATTTAGTTTTCTGAGCAAACTATTTCCCATCCCATCTCTCCTTGGGGAGTTCCATCTGAATTCATAAGGACAGCCAAGGCCACACCACTGAGAACCAATTGGACCCAGATCCTACCTCTTGTCAAAATCCCCGTGGGCCTCCATTTTCTCATCCATAGAATGGGACTCACTCTCCCTCTGTCTCCCAGAGGTGGAGAACAGAGTTGCTGAAACCTCTTAGGAAGAAAAATCCTCCTCGGGAAATAGTCCCTGAAATCCCTCTGATGTTCTGTATTTGGAGGTCTTAGAGATAGACTCGGGCAGTGGGGTCCAAGCCATGGCCAGACAGTAGGGGCACAAGAGCAAAAGACAAATTCACACAAGGGACAGCGGGCCTGGGGGCAGAGGGCCTCAGTGAAGAAAAGGACAGCAAGGGCAACTGCAGGGGTCCCCAGGATGCTGGGCAGAGTGTGAGCTCCCATGGCTGCCGGGAAGAGCTGAACTCAGGACTTGTAGCCGCTGCCTCCTTCTGGGGTCTCAGCCATCTCTTCTCTTTACAGGCAGCCTTGGGGTATTAGAAGATATAAACTTGGGGAGACTGAGGAGGAATTTTGTTTCTTTTTTCATTTTTTAAACTTTTAAGTTCGGGGTACATGTGCAGACTTGTTACATAGGTAAACTCATGTCATGGGAGTTTGTTATACAGATTATTTCATCACCCAGATATTAAGCCTAGTACCCATTAGTTTTTCCTGATCCTCTCTGAAGGGGAAAATTTTTTAATCATGATACTGGTGTCATGCTGTGCATTGCACAAACCAGGAGAGCTTCAGCTCACCACAAAGATTCAGGCTATTTGCAAGAATGCTTCAGTTGATCCCTTGGTGGGGAAATGGTTTCCACAGTGAAAGGAGGTGAGATGCTGGTGTCACCCTGAGACTGGGTTAGCTGGTGCCTTCTCACAAGGGCAGGTCTTTAGATAAAGCCTTTCTCCCATTGAGCAGAACCTTCTGATAGCCTCCCCAGCTGTTCCAACAGCATAGATGTACCATGGACATCAGAGCCAGGCATGGTGGCTCATGCCTGTAATCCCAGCATTTGGAGAGGCCAAGGTGGGAGGATTGCTTGAAGCCAAGAGTGTGAGACCAACCTGAGCAACATAGTGAGACCCTGTCTCTATAAATTTTTTTTTTTTTAAAGTAGCTGGGCATGCCTGTAGTTTCAGCTTCTTTGGACGCTGAGGCAGGAGGATTGCTTCAGCCCGGAAAGTCAAGCCTACAGTGAGCTCTGATCATGCCACTGCACTCCAGCCTGGGCAACAGAGTAAGACTTTGTCTCAAATAAATAATTAGGTAAATAAATAAATTTAAACAGGTGGTCCTCCCTGAGTTTGTTTAACAGCTCAGTTGTGTCATCAAGAACTCAGGCTTCTTAAAACATCTCCCCTTCCCCCACCATTTTGTTGGCTTTTCTTATTTGAGCTTGTCACCTCGTGGTCCCAAAATGGCCGCTGCTTTCTCAGTCATCACATCCTCATAATGTCTCATCCACAAGCATACGAGGGAGTCTCATAGGAGTACAGGAAGAGCAATGTTACTAGTGTTTTTAGTTCAAATAGCTTTTTATATGATTTGTTATGTGAACTATAGATTACACCAAAAAGCAGTAAAGCTAATTTTGAAAACACATAAAATACAGAAAAGAATAAAAACTCATTTAGAATCTCAAAGCTGGGTAGGCAGCAGGCAAACGGAGGCAGGAATGTGAGAGTTTTTTTCTACATTCCCTATTGTGGCATATGTGCATTCTGATGCAAAACCTGAAAAAAAAATTTCATTGAAGGTAGGAAAAATTCTAGTACCCAAACCTAGCCACTTTTTTTTTTTAAAAAACAGTTTGGTATATTTCTTTCCAGTGCAGTTTTTTTCTAGGCTTATGATAGTACTGTTTGCTCATTTGCTTTTTTCCTTCTTCTTACTGTGTCTGGTGGGGGAAGACATTACTGTTGTCATGATACAGGTTTTAATTTTGTATTTTTTTATTTATACAGCCATGCATCACTTAATGACAAAAATACATCTGAGGAACTTGTCATTAGTCTGTTTTGTTATTGTGGGAATATCATAGACTTACACAAACCTAGATGGTGTAGTCTACCGTACACCTTCACTGTATGGTACAGCCTGTAGCTCCTAGGCTACAAAGTTGTACAGCATGCCACTGTACTGAATACTGTAGGCAACTGCAATGCAATGTTAAGTATTTGCATATCTAAACATATCTAAACATAGAAAAGGTATAGTACAAATACAGAATTATAATCTTATGGGACCACCACTGTATAATATATGCAGTTTGTCATTGACCAAAGCATTGTTATGCAGCATATGACTGTGCTTAATATTAAAAGACTTTTCCAAATCATTCCAGTATTTTTAAGAACTGCCTAATTTACTTAAGCCTAGTGCATTAATATTGTCATGCACTACTGTAACATATGTGGGTTGGTTTCAATTTTTCCTTTTTTTTTAGATGGAGTCTCACTCTGTTGCCCAGGATGGAGTACAGTGGTGTGATCCCAGGTCAATGCAACCCCCACTTCCCAGGTTCAAGCGATTCTCCTACCTCAGCCTCCTGAGTAGCTGGAACTACAGGCGTGCACCACTATGCCCAGCTAATTTTTGTATTTTTAGTGAAGATGAGGTTTCACCATGTTGGCCAGGCTGGTCTCGAACTCCTGACCTCAGGTGATCTGCTTGCCTCGGCCTCCCAAAGTGCTAGGATTACAGGTGTAAGCCACTGCACCTGGCCAATTTTTCATTGTTATAAGTTGTGCCAAACATCTGTATGCAAAAAACTTTCTCCATAAGTGAGGTTATTTCTGTAGGATATTTTCCTAGCTGTGGGCTTCCTGGGTGAAAAAATAAGGGCATCTAAGGCTCCTGATCTATATAGACACCCCATATGTCATGCATATTCATGTCTATTACCCAGAGTCAAACCCAATGATGGCATATTGTAGGGAGCTATGAATGTTCAATGAATCAAACAGCAGTTAAAAGCCTGGCCCCATCATTCTTGTCATTCCCATAGTCCAGACTTTCCCTATTCCATTCTGTCCATTTGGGTCTGGATCAAACACAACTCGAACTACTTAAGATTCTGGGGTATCATCTTACATGTCACTTCTGTGCAATGGAAACACAACACTAGAAATATCTGTTCCATAGGAGGAAATGACCATGGTGCCATTCACAAATAGATCTGTTCTTGATAGAAGGTACCAGCTAAGCTTGGCTTCTTGGTAACACCAATTCTTGACGTCCTCCTCATGAGTTAAGCATTTCTTAGAAGCACTCCGATTAACACGATGTAATGGTCCTTTTCACCCAGGGTGTGGTTTAAATGTGACTTGTGCTGCCCAGAACGCTGTGGCATGACCATTTACATCACACCATGTGGTCAGAGGAGCTGCAGCACAGCATTAGAGAGCTGCTCTGTGGTGGAAGTGTTAATCTGAAGATCTCTCCTTGTACGTATGACTTCAACACTAACATCTCACCCTCTCTCACTGTCAAAAACATTTCTGCACATTCAGCCCCAACAAGTGAGCAGTTGAGTTGCTCTTGTACATCCTGAACCCCTGGGGGACCCAAGGTACCCCAACATGTACAACTCAGAGCAAGACACCATGCACTTAACATCTTCCCCTCTGGTCATCCCCAGTCTCCAGCTCCTCATGGTTTAGAGTTGCCTGTAAAGGGTTGAGGACATGGCTTGGACCCCAGAACGATGTAGGTGGCAGTGAGTGCCCAGTCCTGTTTTGGCATTGCCTACACTCCTCTGCCTGCCCAACACTGAACAGGTCTTCTTTGGTGCCCTCCATCTCCTCTCCATGGCCCTCAGCTCACAAGTCTCATCTGTCCCGTGAGACTCTCTTGACCCTTGTCCTTTCTTCATTTTAGAGTTGTTTCCCTATGCTCTGGACAGACATTTAAGCCATATCACTTAATTCTTGTGGATTAAGATTCTCTAAGTAAAATCAAAGAACTTCACAAAAGGTTTCAAAATGTTCTGGGCTATTTTCTGAGGACTTAGATATCTAACCTAGATCTGAAAGGCAGGAGAGGGCTAGGACCCATTGTTAGTTGGGAAAACTGGGGCCTAACTCAGTCATTCACAAGATGCAAACTCTGGGTCTAGTTGGTTCCTAGGGTGAGGAAGTGGCAGAGTTCCTTCAGTTCTCCTGAGAAGCTCTACTCCTACAGCGATTTAGAGACGATGGTCTCTTGCTGGGAAAAGTCTCTGTAGACTGAATGAAGTTCCTACCCAAAAGAGATGGAACAAAGGCCAGCCATTCCAAGAGCTATACTCCCTGAAGAGGGAGCAAGGGAGTGAGAGTAAGACAGAGGCAGAGATTTAAAAGAAACACTCAAAGTCAAGGATGAATGCCTGACTTCCTTAGTTCCTTTTGTGCCCTACTTCACAGTCCTGAGCAGTGAGGTCTTCATCAACTTCTTGCTGGTCCCTTTTCAAGAGTGGAAGAAATTTACTTGGTTTTTCTCAGGTTCTGGATGCTGGTTCCCTCACGGTTAAGGCACCCCATTGTCTCCTGCCTCTCTTATGTTTCTCCATATCCACTGCAAATTTGCTGACTCCAGCAGCTGGTGCTCTTACCCTGGCGTAATGTCAGCATCAGTCCTTCTGTCTGCAAATAGGGCATATGGAGGAGACAACCCATGGGACAAGGGACAAGGAGCACGTAAGCACAAGTAGGAGGTGGGAGCTACTATGGACTTTCATATCCAGTGTGAAGGTAAAATGAAGGTAAAATGAAGACATTTCCAAGCAAGCAAAAAATGGAGACTTCACTATCAGAAGACCCACAGTAATGAAAATACTAAGAGGATTCCTTTAGGCAGAAGAAAAGTGATTGCAGATGGAGCTCAGAGATGCAGAAGAATTTAAGAGGACAGGAAGAGCAAATATGTGATGAAAACTAAATGAATATTGACTGTATAAAGTAATTAAAATATATCATAGGATTTTAATTTTAAGACCGCTCACCACTGGTTTTATAATAGGCAACCGAAAATTTGCAGTGCATCTACTGGGAGGTGTAGGAGAAGCAGCAGATGCATGGGGTGTGAATCTTATCTGAGGGAACAAAGACAACAGGAGTTGCTCAGGAGAAGAAGCCCAGGCGGGTCACAAAGGAGCAAAGGGAGACAGCATAGCTCAGAGTTGAGGCCTGCAGGAAAAGAAAGCTGGAAATAATCTGGCTTTTTGTTTGTTTCTCCTTAATTTCCCTAGTCTTGTCTCTCCATTTTAGTCTTTATTTTACGCTACAGGGAATCAAGCTCCCTGAATAGTCTATGCCCTTCTCCTAACTCTCCTTGGGGAATTTTTTTTCTAATAGATTAAATCACAAGATAGCTGAGAAAAGTATAGACATCTTTTATGTTACCCAAGGGGTTGAACTCTAGGAGACTGCTGAGGTCATTGTAAAACTTACCAGCACCAGTGAGAACTAAATAGACCTAGATTCTACCTCACGCTAATAACCCAATGAATTAGACTTCAACCATCTCATTTATCTCAGTAGGATAAAACTTCTCTGACTCCCATCCTGCTGCCCAGATCAATAGACTGCTTTTCAACCTTCTTGAAGAAAACAATGATGTCACTTTGAAACCCCATTTGAGGATCCCTAATTTCACACGAGGGTTTTCAGGCCACAGCACTTGGAAGATGTCGCCTGACTTCTGCCCAGGGAGCCATCAAAGCACATGGATGACAGACTCACCTTGTGCACAGGAGCAGAGGGCCATGGTGCAGACGAGGACAAGGAGGGCAGCTGCAAGGCCCTTCATGATGCTGGGCAGGCAGAGAAGTGGTCAGAGTGAGCTGGGGCTTGGAAACTCACAACTCCTGGCCTCCTTCTGGGGTATGAGCTGTTGTCTCTCCTTTTTATAGGCAGACTGGACCATGGGAACATTGGAGGTGCTGATGCAAGACATTTTAACTATGGTGGTGTCATGTGAGTTCTCAGCCCAGGGTTGCCTATGGTTACTTGAAAGGTTTAGGGTACACAAACGAGTGGTTCACTTGTTGATTGAGGGGCTTATGGAGAAGTTGTATCTCCAGATGGGTGACCAGGAGTTGGAAGCACCCAGGGATTATGCTTAGGATTATGCATAATCATGTGATTATGTTTTCACATGACAGATATTTCTCAGAAATGAGTGGTCACAGCCTCCTTTGATAGAGCAGAATGCTTTAATGGATTTTCACAATTGTTTTTCCTTTTAAGAGAGTCACATGCTTCAATCTTTTATATACAGTTAGGCCTTTCGTGATCTAATGAGAAATCTTCCCCTATCCTAAGGCAATAAAGATATCCTCCTATGTTAACTTGTAGAAGCTTTATTGTTTTAGCATTAATATTTAAATTACAATCCATCTGGAGTTGATTTTTATGTTTGGTGTGAAGAAGGATTCAAGATTTATTTTTTGCCACATGAATACCCAATGGACCTTGGCAACTCATTGGTAAGACCATTGTATAAGTCAGGATTCCCCAGAGACACAGAACCAATGGTGTGTGTATAAAAAATAAGAAATTAGAGAATTGGCTCATTTAATTATGAAGGCTGACAAGTTCCAAGATCTGCAGGGTGAGCTGGCAAGCTGGAGACCCAGGAGAGCTGCTAGTGTAGTCCCAGTTTGAGTTCAAAGACCTGAGAATGGGCAGGCTTAAGGCCCAGGAAGAGATGATGTTTCAGTTTAAGTTCAAAGGCAGGAGAAAAACCTATGTCCCAGTGTGAAGGCAATCAGGCAAGAGGAATTCCCTCTTACAGGCAGGAGGGTCAGGCTTTTTGTTGTATTCAGAACTTCAACTAATTGAATGAAGCCCACCACATTAGAGAGGGCAATCTGCTTTACTCGGTTTATTGATTTCAATGATTTTGTGGTCTGCTTTTGGAATTTCTGTTCTGTTCCAATGGTTTATTTTCCTATCCTTGTGCTAATACATTATGTTAATTTGTTTTTCACTTTGAAGGAGATATCCCTGTATGCCCCTGACAACTGGACTCATAAAACCTTTCCTGAAATGACAAGTCCATAAATAGTTAAAAGATTTATCTCCCACCTCATGGAATACATACGTTTTTTTCTTTGTATTTTTCTTTCTTTCTTTCTTTTTGTTTTTGAGATGGAGTTTCGCTCTTGTCATCTAGGTTGGAGTGCAATGGCGCAATCTCGGCTCACCGCAACCTCCACCTCCTGGGTTTAAGCGATTCTCCTGCCTCAGCCTCCTGTGTAGCTGGGATTACAGGCATGTGCCACCATGCCTGGCTAATTTTGTATTTTTAGTAGAGATGGGGTTTCTCCATGTTGGTCAGGCTGGTCTTGAACTCCCGACCTCAGGTGATCCACCCGCCTCAGCCTCCCAAAGTGCTGGAATTACAGGCATGAGCCACCGCACCCAGCTGGAATACATATGTCTTACAGAGTGTCCAACATATGGCCACTTCTTGTCTATCATGCCCTATCAACATGATGTCACCAATGTAATGGATCAATGTGTTGTTTTGAGAGATACATGAAAATTCAGATCTCTTCAGACTACAGTATGCAGAAGATGAGAGTTAATAGTCTACAGGAAAACTGTAAGTGAATATTTTCCATTCTTATGAATGGGAACTTTTTCTTATCCTCTTTCCTACTTGTTATGGGACAGAATGCATTTGCCAAATCAATAGGTACATAACATGTACTTAATACCTGGCATGTGTCAGTACCTGGTTATAGAAGCTGCAATCAGGTTACTACCTGGTTGAGCTCACAGTGTTCTACAGTCATTCTCTAGGATCCATCCAGTTTCTGCAGAAGCCAGACTTGCAAATTAAATAGATATGATAATAACCATTTTCCTTGCATTTTTTGTATCCTTAAGGGTGGCATTAGTCTCCACCATCCCCTCCACTAGATTGCAATATTGTTTCTAATCTACTCTTTTTTCCTGGGAGAAGGGGGCAGTTTCAGAGATTTCCACTTCACCTTCCCTCTAGAGATGCTTGTTCTATTAACCATTGCCACAACTCTCCATGGGTCAAGACCCCTTGATTGTCACTCCAACCTTGCTGGCTATAACGATATTTAGAACCCCTTGGCTTCTGTTTGTTAAATGCTGCTACCTAGCCTCCACTGTTTCAAGGCAAGAAAGCTCCACTGCTTCAAGGAGAGAGGGCCCCACTGCTTCAAGGAGGAAGAGCTATCAATGGGCCAAGTTTTGTGACAGCCACTCTTACCATCAGCCCTAGCCTATAAAGAAGGCGGGACCACTAACTTCTTAGAAATGCTGGTGCTCCTCTCACCAGGGAGTCCTGGTGGCTTTGGTGAATAGTGCATTCCCATGGAACATAATCTGGTGAGTCTTCTGGCCTCATGTAATGTATCCACTCCAGCATGACCACTTCCATGACTCTTTTAATCCCTTCCTTCTCCATCTGTCATGGCAATTCGGGTATTTTAACTTCACTCGGCATGAGCCATTGCTTTCTCAGGCTTCTGGAGCCTTTCTGACAACAAATCTGTACCAACCCCTGGGGTCCTTCTCAAGAGGTTACAGCCTATATCCGGAAAGAATACTCCCAAGTCAGTAAGTTGTCTCTTATCGAGGCTTATATTCCAACTCCTTTTATCAAGCACCTCAAAATCCAAACCCAAGTCTACTTCCCCTGCTCAGGCTGACACATGCTTGCTAAATTCTGCTAGTGCTTTAGAGTATAGTCCCTTTTCTCCCTTATTAGGAATATAATTTATTGACACAAGAATGTGTTACCAGAAGATATGGAAAATATGAATGGTTTCATTTCCACTAAGGAATTAAATCAATAATTAAAAACCATGGTTAGAAAACATCTTCATACCTAGCTGGTTTCATAAGCAAGTTCTACCAAACATTTATGGAAAAAATAATGGAAAGACAGCCTTTTTAACAAATAGTACCTGAACAATTGGACATCAAAGACCAAAAAACAAATCTCAACGTAAACTTCACACCTTCCACAAAAATTACTCAAAATGGATCATAGACTTCATGATCAGGGTGATTCAAACTCCCATTAAAGTTGGGGAAGTCAAATAAACTGGGACATGTGTGTTATGTAAGACATGACATTTAGAAAAAAATAAGAATTGAGCCCAGGAGGTGGAGGTTGCTATGAGCTAAGATTGCGCCAGGGCACTCCAGCCTGGGTGAGAAAACCAGACTCTGTCTTAAAAAATAAAGTAAAATAACAATAAAATAAATAGAAAAAATAATTTTAGGACCTAGGACTAGGTAAAAAAAAATTCACATTTGATACCAAAAGCATGCATAATCCATAAAAGAAAAAAGCAACAAATTAGATTTCATCAAAATTTTAAAATCTTGCTCTTCAAAAAGCCCTTGTCAAGAGAATGAAAAGACAAACTACAGACTGGGAAAAAGTAATTGCAAACCACTTAATTGACAAAGGACTTGTATTCAGAATATATAAATAATTCTCAAAACTCGAAAGTAAGCAAATGTACCATCCAGTTAGAAAATGGACAAAAAACATGAATAGACTGAGGAGAATACACAGATGGCAAATAAGTAATGGTATTTTGATTGTGTCGGGTTTTAAAATCCTTATTTTAAAGATACATACTGAAATATTGTGGTAGTCAGAATAACATTTCCCCCAAAAGAATATCCACATCCTAATCCCTGAGACCTGTACACAGCCAGAAGGAATTAAGGTTGCTAATCCTGACTTTGAGATAGGGAGAATATCCTGGAGTATCTGAGTAAGCCCAGCATAATCACAAGGATCCTTATAAGGGAGTGTCAGTATCAGACTGACACAATGTGAGAAGAACTGGACCATCCATTGCCCACTATAGCCAATCCATGTGGGCAGCCTCTAGAAGCCAATAAAGGCAAGAAATTGGAATCTCTCCTACAGCCTCCAAAAACAATTGCCACCCCACTAACAGCTTGGTTTTAGCCTAGTGAGGCCCATTTCAGACTTTTGACCTCCAGAACTGTAAGAGAATAATTCAAGTGGTTTTAAGCCTCTACATTTGTGGTAATTTGTTACAGAAGCAATAGAAACTAAAATAAATATTTACAGATAAAATAATGTTGTAGTGGTTTTTAAAGACGGCCATATTTCTGTGACACTCCTCTCATTGATAGATGAGATCTAGGTTCTCTCTCCTTGAATCTGGACAGGCTTGTGGCTGTTTTCACCGACAGACTGTAGTGGAAGAGACATGCTGTGACTTCTGTGGCTAGGTCATAAAAGGCCATAAGTATGACCCTAGTTTACTAGGAACACTCATCTTTGAGTCTCAAGGCTGCCATCTTGAAAGGGCATGTTGACGGCTCTAGTTGACAGCTCCAGCAGAGCTTGTCCTTCAAACATCCCAGTCCAGGCGCCAGACGTGTGAATGAGGATATCGTCTTAGAAGAGGATCTTACAATCCAGATAGTGAAGGTTACTTATGACAGGCTATTGTGACATCATCAGTTATATCACATCCGTATAGTTAGAGCAGTTGTGAAAGAGCATCAGCACCTTCCACTCTACAGGAGAGAAATAGGCAGCCCATGGTTCACAGATATATCCATTTTTGTGAGGGAGCCTGTGGCCATACCAAGTCCCGATCACCCACTCACTGAGGAAATTATTTCTTCAGAACAACTTGAATGGACTGAGCAAGCAATTTTCTCAGAAGTGTCCCCATTCGATGGAGAAGCTGAGCTATTCTCTCTTTTTTTTTTTTTTTTTTTTTTTTTTTTTTGAGACAGAGTCTTGCTCTGTCACCAGGCTGGAGTACAGTGGCGCGATCTCAGCTCACTGCAACCTCCATCTTCCGGATTCAAGAGATTCTCCTGCCTTAGCCTCCTGAGTAGCTGGGACTACAGGCACGCACCACCACACCCGGCTAATTTTTGTGTTTTTAGTAGAGACGGGATTTCATCATGTTGGCCAGGCTGGTCTAAATCTCCTGACCTCGTGATCTGCCTGCCTTGGTCTCCCAAAGTGCTGGGATTACAGGCGTGAGCCACCGCGCCCGGCTGAAGGTAAGCTATTCTTGCATATACTTGGAACTTCTGTGTTGACCAAAGGGTGTTGGCAACCCCTGAATTATGTAACTCCCAACATGACACTAACATTCTGATTAAAATATTTTCCTCCAATCATCCCCAGTTTCTATCTTCCCACAAAATGGAACTCTCTATAAAGAGAAGGGGCAATGGCTTGAACCCAAGAAGGAGGTGCCAGCTTCAAATACGCAAGCTTGCTTGTCTTAACTATGCTGACACTCAAGCCCAGAATCCCTTGCCTGCCCAGCATCACACAGGCATTTTCAACTGTCTCCACCATTCTCCTCCCCCTATTGTGGTCCTCTGCTCCCAGACCTCCTTGGTACTGTGGGAGAGTGTCATCTCTTCTGCCTTATTCAGATGTTACCCTTTTTGGCCCCAGGTGAGACCACACCAAACATGCCCTGAAAATAAAGATCACCAGAGTTGAAAATGGAGCACTCAAAACAGGAATTCAAATCGCCCTGGCCATTCTCTTCAAAAAGTCTTTTTTTCAAAAGGGTCCAGGCTATCACATTCCACCAAGTGGTTCAGAGAGTGGGAGCAGGAGATGCTAATTTCCACTTTCCTGATAAGATAATTGAGGCCCAATTCACAGAGTAACTGGCAGCTCTATTTATTTCCCACTGGTGCATGTAAGCCTAAATTCATGTCAGCTATTCCGTAGAGGCCTGTCCTATTGGTGATATGTGACATATCCCAGCTTCATCTCTTTAGTATTGCGATATCACAGGACAGACAAATTTCCCTCCCAAAAGAGATGAACTGGAAGATGAGACATTTTAGTGAGCTAAATCCCTAAAAGAGTAAAAATAAAAATAAAAATGGAGTGATATAGACAAAGGCAAAGTAATTTGTAGGAAAGACATGTGTGTCCCAGTTCATCTGAATTCCCCAACTTAAGAAATGCTGTGTCCTTCTAGTTCCTTCTAGTTCCTTCTGATCTTTTTTGGGTTAAAGGGAGAGCAGGGGGCATGGAGAGGGGAAGTTGGTTTTCTATGGCTTCTCAATAACTCAGTCTCTTGCTGTGCCTTCTCCTACAGCTGGTGTTGACTCCACAGCCTCCTGCTGCTTCCCTTATACCCCCTAGAAGATCCCTCAAGATTTTGCAGCAGACTGTTATAAAACCTGCAGCCTGTGCTCTAAGCCCAGTGTTGTATAAGGGCCATTCCTCCTTCCCATTCCTGGGGGAGACACTGGAGCAGCCCCCATGGGTGTAAGGAGGTGGATTGGACACCATCCTGGGAATACCCAGCTCTCTGGGCCCCTCACAGGCACAGAAGAGTCTCTGAGGTATTTTCTGAACAGTCCAGGGTCATCAGGGAGACAGGAGAGGCTGGCCAGGGGCAGAGGAAGAGAGAGGGAGGACATGATGGCAGGAGGGTGCTGACTGAAGAGATTCTCATGAGATACTCTGGGAAACTGGAACCCTAAGGCATGGGAGCTGATTGCTGAGAAAGAGAGAGACTCTGAGAGGACAAGTCAGAAAGAGGGATGGAGGGGCCACAATGGGTCCAGAAATTTCCCAGCTGGCTAGATTCTTCTTAATCTTCTGCCTTTCCCCATAGCTTTCAGACTAAAAGAGGTCAGCTGGTCTGTGTCAACCCCAGAGATGCTGAGTCCAGGAATACATCAAAACCCAGAGCTAAATCTGAATAGCCCAGAAAAAAAAATTAAATCCATCAGTAGATTGGGGAACAGGGAGCTGAGCCAGAAGAATAGCACTTACAACCCCAGAAGCTACCTCCTTTATGGTCTAGTCCCCCCATAACCAAACCAAACTTAAATTTTAATTTATTTCACTTTTATTGTGTATTTCCAATTTTAAATTGTTTTTATTGAATGTTTTCTCTAAGAAACCACATAGTACACAGTGATTCTAGATGGTGCTGAATGTTTGTGCTAAATCCTCTCTCTAGATATTCGACCAAATTCATCAACCACAGAATTTCTGGATATGCATTTTTCAATGAATATTTGATCTTTGCACTATGTTGTAATGTTTCTAATATAATAAAAATACTTTCCTTTATTTAAAAGTAAGCCATGGAATTCTAGCTATTATGTTGATTGCTGTCTTGAACATTAGGAATATTGGTTTGGTGGGATGAGGGGGGAAGTTGAGGAAAACTGGAAATGTAAGAAACAACAGAAAAAAGAGAAGACATGCTACCTGGTAATGTTGTCAGGCCTTACAATGGAGATAGCAGCCTAGAAAGCCAAAACTGAAGTAATGATGTTATAAATTAAACTATAATTTATATTCCCTAAAATAAAATCAGCACTTTATATGAACCAAAAAGGAAGACCTTCCTTCATATGCATCTTTACTTTTTTAAAAAATAAGTCAAGCTTTCTTAAGAAAAACGAAGCTGGGCGCAGTGTCTCAGGCCTATAATCCCAGCCCTCTGGGAGACTGAGATAGTAGGATCACTTGAGCCCAGGACATCAAGACCAGCCCGGGAACATAGTGGGATCCCATTTCAATAAAAGAATTTAAAAATTAGCTTGGCATGGTGGCGGACACCTGTACTCCCAGCTACTTGAGAGACTGAGATGGGAGGATCGCTTGAGCCCAGGTGGTCAAGACTGCAGTAAGCTGTGATCATGTTACTGCACTCTAGCTTCAGTGACAGAGTAGGAAAAAAAAAACAAGAAAAAAAATAAAAAATGACTTAAATTTATAGAGAAGTTAATATGAGTTAAGAACTTTCGTGTATTGGCTCATTTTATTCCTGAAAATATCACTATGACGCATATACCATTGTTACCCAATTGGCAGATGGGGAAACAGGAGTCTGGAGAGTTTACAGAATTTCCCATAACTCTATAATTAGCAGTGGTGGGATTTAAACCTGGGTCCATACCCTATGCTCTTAACCATCAGATCTCTGCCTCTCAACGTGTTATTACACCTAGAACAGATTTAACCTGACATTTCCTGTTCCATGATGTGAGCATTCTGGTTCCAATCAGCCAGGTCATCCTCTTGGGTGGGCAAAGTAAAATGACTCAAATCCCTCTATCTATTACCACATCTTCACTTTTCTCCTGCTTATCAAGCCAAAGGTCAGAGTGCAGGCCAAGACTCTCTGCTTGCCATCTCTCTCCCTTCTTCTTCCCCCTATCCAGGTACTACTGAGGCACATCAACAAATAAGTAGCCTACGTAAAATGTAACCAGATGATGAGAACACTCCTTCTTTCTTTGATGGCACCTCCAATCTCTACAGACTTTTCCCTTGGAGTTCTCTCATTTGCCTTTATGGGAGCAGCACAGATCACAGCTCTGCTGTGATCCAATACCATTACCATTTTATGATCATGGCTCTCACTGCAGCCCCAATCACCCAGGCTCAAGCAATCCTCCCAACTCACTCTCCCAAGTAGCTGGGACTACTATAGCACTATAGTACTCCCTGCCCTTGGCTATGATTCTCTCCTCTCCCTCCCTTTTCTCTCTCTTTTTTTTTTCTTTACGTCTATAGATAGGAAGGATGGGGAGAAACTTAGGGCTAGTCCTGCCATCTCCAGAGAATATTATCCCTGGAGGTAGTATGTTATGGTCTTTTTAGAATAAGAAAATAGCTTTTTGCAGCAAGATAAATCCCATTCAGCATCTTGTTAAATTACACAGAAAATTCTGGGAAGAGAGAGAGGGCAGTGAAACTGCCTAATGCTGAAAAATGAAAGAAAATAATTACTCATCAAATTACTCCAGAACTTTGCAACTTTGATAGAAAATCCACTTCTACTTCCCCGAATTTTTAAAGATATACGCAACTTATGTCAGAGTTAATATTCTTCATATACTAAGAACAAATTCATAAGAATATAACAAAACATATTACATACTTAATTGTATTGAACACTGTAATTTTGCTTCTAAATGAAATTAACGTTTTCCCTTTCCCATTATTCCCTCCTCACTATAGAGTTGAAAATGGCCATCCAGAGGAGGTCTTGGTGGCACTGAATCCAAGAGGAAGCCAGGGGTCTTGGGGTACAAATGAAGAGCGAGCTCAATGCCACGTCCTCCTCTATGCAGACATGGTCCAGGCTCCACCCACACTGGGACCTTTAAGTGTGCTTCCTCTGCCTTTCCAACACAAATGTTTATAAAGCTTTATTCAAAATAGCCCCAAACTTTATTCAAGATATTACCCAGATGTCTGTCAAGTGGTTGATAGGTGAACCAATTGTGGTACAGTCAGTTCTATAACATGACACATACATTCCTGTTTTTTTTGTTTTGTTTTGTTTTTGTTTTTGTTTTTGTTTTTGTTTTTGTTTGTTGAGACAGAGTCTCGCTCTGTTGCCCAGGCTGGAATGCAGTGGTGCGATCTCAGCTCACTGCAAGCTCTGCCTCCTGGGTTCACACCATTCTCCTGCCTCAGCCTTCCGAGTAGCTGGGACTACAGGTGCATGCCACAATGCCCAGCTAATTTTTCTATTTTTAGTAGAGACGGGGTTTTACCATGTTGGCCAGGCTGGTCTTGAACTCATGATCTTATGATCCACCCGCCTCGGCCTCCCAAAGTTCTGGGATTACAGGCACGAACCACTGTGCCCAGCCCATTTTGTGTATTCTTATATGGCTTATTCACTTAGTGTTTTTCATGGATAAAATCACTTGTAAGCAAATGGAAAAACTTGTGTTATGCTCAATTTTTTTCTAACATCTCAGTCATATTGTAACAAATTCACATTTCCTTTTTTTGTTATTTTATTTTATTTTAGATGCAGGAAGGGTACACGTGCAGGTTTGTTACATGGATATATTGCATAATGGTGAGGTTTGGGCTTCTAGTGACCCCATCACCCAAATAGTGCACACTTTACCCAAAAGGTTATTTGTCAGCCCTCACCCCCTCCCACACTCCCTGCTTTTGGAGTCCTCACTCTCTATTATTTCAATCTTTATATCCACATGTATCCATGGTTCAGCTCCCACTTAAAAGTGAGAACATGTGGTATTTGATTTTCTGTTTCTGAGTTATTTCACTTAGGATAATGGTCTTTCTCTCTATCCATGTTGCTGCGAAGGACATGATTTCATTCTTTTTACAGCTGCATAGTTTCCCATGGTGTGTATATGTACCACATTTTCTTTATCCAATCAACCATTGATGGACACTTAGGTTGATTCCATGACTTTGCTATTGTGAATAGTGCTGCAATAACATATGAGTGCAGGTGTCTTTTTGATAAAATGATTCCTCTGGATAGATGCCCAGTAGTGGGATTGCTGGGCAAATGGTAGTTCTATTTTCAATTCCTTGAGAAATCTCCATACTATTTACCACAGAAGCTGAACTAATTTATCTTCCCACTAACAGTGTCTAAGTGTTCTTTTTCTCTGCATCCTCACCAACATCAGTTATTTTCTTACTTTTTAATAATAGCCATTCTGACAGTGTGAGGTGGTATCCTATGGTGGTTCTAATTTGCATTTCTCTGATGATTAGTGATGTGAGCATTTTTCGTATATTTGTTGGCCACTTGTATGTCTTCTTTTGAGTAGTGTCTGTTCATGTCCTTTGTCCACTCTTTAGTAGGGCTACCTGAGGGATTTTGTTGATTTGTTTGAGTTCCTTATAGATTATGGATATTAGTACTTTGTTGGATGCATAGTTTGCAATTATATCTCTCATTTGGTAGGTTATCTGTTTATTCTGTTAATCATTTCTTTTGCTATGCAGAAGCTTTTTAGTTTAATTAAGTCCCATTTGTCTATTTTTGTTTTTGTTGCATTTGCTTTTGAGGTCTTAGTCATGAATTCTTTGCCTAGGTCAATGTTCAGAAGAATTTTTCCTAGGTTTTCTTCCAGGATTTTAATAGTTTCATGTCTTACATTCAAGTTTTTAATCCATCTTTAGTATTATTATAATTTTTGTATATGGTGAAAGATAGGGGTCCAGTTTCATTCTTCTGCGTGAGGCTGGCCAGTTTTCCAAGCACCATTTATTGATTAAGGTGTTCTTTCCCTATTTTCTATTTTTGTTGACTTTGTTGAAAATCAGTTATTGTTTAAGTCTGTGGCTTTACCTTTGGGTTCTCTGGTCTGTTCCATAGATCTATGTGTCCACTTTTGTACCATTATGCTATTTTGGTTACTACAGACTTGTAGTATAGTTTGCGGTCAGGCAATGTGATGCCTCTGATTTTGTTCTTTTTGCTTTAGGATTGCTTTGGCTATTTGAGCCCTTTTTGGCTCCATATAAATTTGGCTCCATAGGAAAAAAACTGTTTTTTCTAGTTCTGTGAAAAATGACATTGGCAATTTGATACAAATTGTGTTGAATTTGTAGACTGCTTTGGGCAATATAGTTAGTTTAATAATATTGATTCTTCCTATTCATGAGCATGGGATGCTTTTCCATTTGTTTGTGTCATCTACAGTTTCTTTCATCAGTGTTTTGCTGTTTTCCTTATGGTGGTTTTTCACCTTCTTGGTTAAATGTATTCCTAGGTATAGGAATACATTTTTATTTTGTGGCTATTGTAAATGGGATTGAGTTCTTTATTTGGTTCTCCGATTAAGCACTGTTGGTGTATAGAAATGCAACCATTTCTGTACATTAATTTTATATCTGAAACTACTGAAGTCATTTATCAAGTCTAGGAGTATTTTGGCAGAGTCTTTAGGGTTTTCTAGGTATAAGATCATGTCATCACTGAACAGAAATAATTTGCCTTCCTCTTTTTTAATTCAGATGACTTTTATTTCTTTTTCTTACCTGATTACTTTGGCTAGGACTTCCAGTACTATGTTGAATAGAAGTGGTGAGAGTGGACATCCTTGTCTTGTTCCAGTTCTTAAGAGGAATGCTTTCAATTTTTCCCCATTTAGTATAATGTTGGCCGTGGGTTTGTCATGTATGGTGCTTATTATTTGGAAATATGTTCTTTTAATGCCTATTTTGTTTAGGGATTTTATCATGAAGAGATGTTGGATTTTATCTAATGCTTTTTTAAATCTATTCAGATGATCATATTGTTTTTATTTTTAATTCTATTTATGTGGTGAATCACATTTATTGATTTGCATATGTTGAACTATCCTTGCATCCCTGGAATAAAATCCACTGTACTATGGTGAATTATCTTTTCGATGTGCTTTTGGATTTGGTTTGCTAGTATTTTGTTGAGAATTTTTGCATCTATGTTCATCAGGGATATTGGCCTATAGTTTTCTTTTTTTGTTATTTCTTTGCCAGATTTTGATATCAGGATGATGGTGATCTCATAGAATGAATTAAGGAGGAATCTCTCCTCCTCGATTTTTTGGAATAGTTTCAATAAGATTCATACCAGCTCTCCTTTGTACAATTGGTAACATTCAGCTATGAATCCATCTGGTTCTGAACTTTGTTTTTCTTGGTAGATTTTTTTTAATCATTACTGATTCAATTTCATTACTCCTTATTGGTCTATTCAGGATTCTATTTCTTCCTGGTTCAACCTGGGAAGTTTGTATGTTTCCAGGAATTTATCCATTTCCTCTAAGTTCTCTAGGAACACAGAGGTGTTCCTAGTAGTCTCTGGTGATCTTTTGTATTTCTGTGGTATCAATTGTAATGTCACCTTTATCATTTCTGATTGTGTTTGTTTGAATCTTTTCTTTTCTTGGTTAATCTAGCTAGAGTTCTATCAATTTTTGTTTATACTTTCAAAGAACCAACTTTTCCTTTCATTGATCCTTTGTATGATTATTTTGGAACTAATTTCATTTAGTTCATCTATGATCTTTGTTAATTTTTTTCTTCTTCTAGCTTTGGGTTTGGCTTGTTCTTGTTTTCCTAGTTCCTTGAAGTATGACGTTAGGTTGTTAATCTGAGATTTTTTTTCTATCTTTTAGATGTGGGCATGTAATGATATAATTTTTCCTCTTAACACTACTGTTGCTGTATCCCAGAGGTTTTGGTATGTTCAGTCTCTATTTCCATTAGCTTCAATTTTTTAATTTCTGCCTTAATTTCATTGCTTACCCAAAAGTCATTCAGGAGCAAGTTGTTTAGCTTCCATGTACTTATGTGGTTTTGTTTTTTGTTTGTTTGTTTTTGTTTGTTTGTTTGTTTTGAAACCGAGTTTCACTCTGTCGCCCAGGCTAGAGTGCAGTGGTGCGATCTCAGCTCACCGCAAGCTCTGCCTCCCTGGTTCACGCCATTCTCCTGCCTCAGCCTCCCGAGTAGCAGGGACTGCAGGCCAACCACGCCCAGCTAATTTTTTTTTTTTTTGGTATTTTTAGTAGAGACAGGGTTTCACCGTGTTCGCCAGGATGGTCTCGATCTCCTGACCTCGTGATCCACCCGCCTCGGCCTCCCAAAGTGCTGGGATTACAGGCTTGAGCCACCGCGCCCGGCCCCATGTACTTACGTGGTTTTGAGAGTTCCTCTTGGTATTGATTTCTAATTTTATTCACTGTGGTCCAACAAAATACTGGATATGATTTCACTTTGTTAATATATTGAGATTTGCTTTATAGCCAAGTATATGGTCAATTTTAGAGAATGTTCCATGCACAGATGAAAAAAATTATATTCTGCAGTTGTTGGGTGGAATGTTCTTTCAATGTCTAATAGGTCCATTTGGTCAAGTGTTCAGTTTAAGTCCAGAGTTTCTTTGTTAGTTTTTTGCCTTGATGATCTGTCTAGTGCTGTCAGTGGGGTGTTGAATTCCCCGTCAGTATTGTATGACAGTCTATCTCTTTTCTTCGGTCTAGTAGTATTTGTTTTATACCTCTGGGAACCCAGTGTTGGGTATGTGTATATCTAGGATAATTAAATCTTCTTGTTGAATTGAACCCTTTATCATTATATGATGCCCTTCTTTGTCTTTTTTATTGTTGTTGATTTAAAGTCTGTTTTATCTGATATAAGAATAGCAACCTCTGCTCTTTTTTGTTTTCCATTTGCATGATGTTTCTTTTTCCTCTCCTTTACTTTGAGCCTATTGGTGTATTTACATGTTCAATGAGTCTCTTGTAGGGTACAATTTGCCAATCTATATCTTTTAGGCCTTTTACATTCAAGATTAATATTGACATGTGAGGTTTTGTTCCTGTAATAGTATTGTTAACTAGTTGTTTTGTAATCACTTTATAAGATCTGTGAATTTTGTACTTATGTGTCCTTTTACTGTAGCAAGTATCATCCTTTTGTCTCCATGTTTAGAACTCCTCTGAGTATTTCTTGCACAGTTGGTCTAGTGGTGACAAATTCCCTTAGTGTTTGTTTGTCCGGAAAAAACTTTATTTCTCCTTTGTTTATGAAATTTAATTTGGCAGAATATAATATACTTGGCTGACTTTTTTTCCTTTAGGGAAAAGACTTTATTTCTCCCCTGTTTATGAAATTTAGTTTTGCAGGATATAATATACTTGGTTGGCTTTTCTTCTCTTTAAGAAGGATAAAAGGCTGGGTGCGGTGGCTCACACCTGTAATCCCAGCACTTTGGGAGGCCGAGGCGGGTGGATCACAAGGTCAGGAGATTGAGACCATCCTGGCTAGCACAGTGAAACCCTGTCTCTACTAAAAATAAAAAAAAAATTAAAAAAAATTAGCTGGGCATGGTGGTGGGCGCCTGTAGTCCCAGCTGCTTGGGAGGCTGAGGCAGGAGAATGGTGTGAACCCAGAAGGCGGAGCTTGCAGTGAGCTGAGATCATGCCACTGCACTCCAGCCTGGACAACAGAAGGCTAAAAATAAGATCCCAATCTCTTCTGGTTTATAAGGTTCTGCTGAGAAGTCTGCTGTTAGTCTGATTGGACTTCCTTTATAGGTGACTTGATCCTTCTTTCTAGCTACCTTCAAGCGTTTTTCTTTAGCACTGTATTTGGATAGTCTCATGACTATGTGCCTTGTTGATGTTCATCTTGTATAGAATCTCACAGTTTTTCTCTGAATTTCTTGTATCTTGATGTCTAACTTTCTAGCAATAAGAGAAATGTTCCTGAATTATTCCCTTGAGTATGTTTTCCAAATTGCTTACTTTTTCTCTTTCTCACTCAGGAATGCCTATAAGTTGTAGGTGTGGTTGCTCTACCTAATCCCATATTTCTTGAAGGCTTTGTTCCTTTTTTAAAATTATCTTTTATATTTTTCTGACTGGATTAACTCAAAAGATCAGTCTTCAAGCTCCAAAATTCTTTCTTCTTCTTGGTCTAGTCTATTGCTAAAGCTTTCCACTATATTTTGAAATTCCTTTACTAAATTTTTTCATTTCCAGAAGTTCTGTTTGTTTGTTTTAATATAGCTGTCTTTCATATCCTGAATGGTTTTCCTGGTTTCTTTCTGTTGAGTTTCAACTTTCTCTTGGATATCATTGAGCTTCCTTACAATCCATATTTTGCATTCTTTATCTGTTATTTCAGAATCCTCATTTTGGTTGAGATCCATTGTTAGAAAGCTAGTGAGAGCCTTTGGGGCTGTCAAAACATTCTGTCTGTTTCTACCACCAGAGTTCTTGAACCGATTCCTCCTCATCTGAAAGTACTGTTGCTTTTTATTTTTGAATGTGCTATTATTTGGATGGGAATTTTATCTTTTTTTTCCCTTGAGGGTATGACTGTCATGTATGCTGTGATTATTTGCTTCATTTCTTGGTGCTTTCAGGGGGCCAAGGCTCTGTATAGGTTCCTTGGTTATAGACAGCTTTTGTGCAGTGTTTTTCTAAAATGTTGCTTGTTTTAGCAATGTATTGGGAGTATGAGCTGACTCACTATCTTCTGTGGGGCTGAGTGTGGAAGTCTCAGGAAGCTTATCTCATACACTAGCACTATGCCCTTCTGATAGCGGGTTTTTATTTGGTGGAGCAGTTCAGTCTCCAGTCTAGTAAGTGGCACTTAATAAGAGCCAACTCACCCTCAGTAGCCAAGTGATAAGGAGAGGCACCTGCCAGATGGAGGGTGGTTGGGGAGTTCGTGTTGGGATATGCTGAAGTCTTGGGGTAGGGACAGGTGAGGTTGAGAGAGTCACAGCACCAACTCATCACCCTGGGCAGGCAGGAACACAATCTGCTTCCCTATCATGCCCCTGCCACAGGGCCTGCAATATTCAGTTCATACAGACATTGTCCTTTGGCTCCTGGCTGCAGTGTGACTGAGTTCTGCAGAAAAACCCCTCTGGTGGCTACCACTGAAAGGGGCTCAGGGCAAAGCCTCTTCCCCCGGTCCAGCTCTGTGACTTGTCTGCCCTCCATTGCCTGCTTCTCAGTGTAGGAAGAGGGAGATGGGCCCTGACTTTTGTGCATGTCCAGGTAGCACAGGCTTATTTTCAGTGGGGGTGCAGCTTCTGCAAGTGGCACCTGGAAAGGCTGTCTCCACGTGTGCTTGCACCAGCCTCCAGTGGGGAAAGCCTCTGCTGTGTCTGCAACAGTGGATGAGGGAGAAGGAAATGATCCCTCTCCACACCTATTCTCGGCCACCAGTGCCTCCCCCTTCAGTGATCAACACCATTTCCACATTTCCTTTGTCCCAAGGGAGGCTTTGACAGGCTGCACTGCATCCTCCCCTAGGGATGCCCACACTGAGGGCTAGATCTCAGGGGAACTCACAGCTCTCCAGGGACCCACTGATCCCCTGTGGGTGCCAAATTCAGAGTGAGTTCTGGAGTATGTTTGCAGGGGATCTGGTAATGCAACGTAAGGGCCGAGGTTCCCTGGCAGGGCAGTGGCCCATAATGGGTGAACAACAAGTATGGCATCTGCTGTTTCAGGTAGGACCTGAGTGGAGTGCAGATCCACCAGCACAAGCTGGCCAGCCAATTCTCTCACCCTGGAAAGTTACCAAATTGCCACCAACAGAATTGTCTGTGGTTGTGAGGGCAGAGGGGCTCCCCAACAGCTTAGTGGTCAGCAGTTTATTGCAGGGATGAAGGGAGCAGAGAAGCATTCCCACTGACCTTTTCCATGGGACCCCAAGTTCCTCATAGGTCAATGTCTGCCAGACTCTTGCTGCTTTCCTTTCTTGTGCCCCAGCTTCTTCCCATGGGTTCTCTGACAGGTCCTGGCTGTCTTCCCTCAGTTTTCCATTTGGATCATGACCATTAACAGGTAACTTCGATCTTCTTTCTGAAAAGAACTCGCATCCAACATTCCTAGTCAGCCTTTTTTTTTAAATTAAATTGAAAATAATTTGCATTTTATAAATATGCATGATAGCAGAACTGACTATACATCTATACAATGGAGTACTACTCAGCAAGAAAAAGGACCCAACTACTGATACATACAATGATATGTTTTGAATGTGTGTCTTCAACCAAATCTCATATTGAAATGTGATCCCTAGTGTTGGACCTGGGGCCTGGTGGGAGGTGGTTGGATCATGGGTGCAGATTTCTCATGAATGATTTAGCATTATTCTCTTTGATACTTTCCTCACAATAGTGAGTTAATTATCATGAGATCTAGTCATTTAAAACTGTGTAGCACTTCCCCCCTCTCTCTCTTGCTCCTGCTCTGGCCCTGTGATATGCCTGATCTCCTCTCACCTTCCACAATGATTGTAAGTTTCCTGAAGCCTCCCCAGAAGCCAAGTAGATACCAGCTTCATGCTACCTGTATAGCCTGCAGAACCATGAGCCAATTAAACCTCTTTTCCTTATAAATTACCTAGTGTCTGATATTTCTTGATAACAACGTGAGAATGATCTAATACATACAAAAGTATGGATAAATCTCAAAAGCAGAATGATAAACAAATGAGTCCAGACTGGGAAAAAGCTACAAACAGTATTATTCCATTTACATAATAGAATGTATAAGGCAAAACTATAGAGACAAAAGTCAGATCTGGTTTCCAAGGACTGGGGATAGGAGAAAGTGACTACAAAAGGAACACAAAGGGACTTTATGGAGTGATGGGAATGTTATCAATTTTGATGGTAGTGGTGGTTACATGACTGTCCATCTGTCAAAACTCATCAAGTTGTATACATAAAAATGATTAACTATATCTGTATTTAAATTATATGTCAATAAACCTGACTCCCTGCCACTCCCCCAACACACACACACACACACACACACACACACACACACACACAAAATCAGAGGACTGCAGATATGGGCCGGGGGGTGGGTAAAGCAAATTGAACTAAACTCCAAAAAGTGATGCACTGAACTTTAACTTTCAATAGCTATGTCTGAGTTAACATGACAGATTA